>NC_000005.10:81927988-82231019 GCF_000001405.40 Homo sapiens
GACCTCATTTAACCTTAATTACCTCCTTAAAGGCTCTATCTCCAAATACAGCCACAGGGAGAGTTAGGGATTCAACGTAGAAATCTGGAGTTGGGGATGAGGGAAGCACATAATTCAGTTCATAACAAGGGTGTTTACAATGCCATTGACCTTATTTTTCAGTCTTCCAACTCTAGGGGCTCACAGACTTATTCTTTCCATTTTCAGGGATTTTTCTCTTTCAAACTGGGCCAAACGATATCAGTTCTTAGTGGCCATAGGATCTTCCTGGGAACATCTCTATAGTTTATCTAGTTTAGTATGCTAGCTCATGGAGGTGAAGCCATGAAAAGGTCTGTTAGAGGACTGTGTAACTGTTTGTAAGTGGCCTCATTTTGTAGGCTTCATTATAGTGAGCCTTATTTGGAATTTCAGTGCAATGATAGAAATTTGGTTTTATTTATGGTGGGTGTTACTATTTTTTTTTTTTTAGAGATGGGGTCCCACGATGTTGCCCAGGCTGGAGTGCAGTGGTGCTGTCATAGCTCACTGCAGTCTCCAACTCCTGGGCTCAAGCAATGCTCCTGCCTCAGCCTCCCAAAGTGCTGGGATTACAGGCGTGAGCCACTGTGCCTGGCCCATCATTGATCTGTCTCATAGAACACTGAGTACAGTGACGATCACTTATTAGAATATTAACCCTGTTGGAGGTAGTATTAGTGAACATTTTATCTAAACACAAAAGGGCTAGCTCCAGGTTATTATCTGTAAATACAGTTATATCTAAAATAGAGCTGACCAATAGAATTATAATGCAAGTTGTAAATGTAATTTAAAAACTTTTGAGTAGCCACATTAAAAAATTATAAAGAAACAAATGGAATACTTTTTAAAACATTGTATTTAACTCAAAATATTATGATTTCAGAATGTGGTCAATATTTTAAAATATTCATGAGATCTTTTACACTTTTTATTTTTAATGTCTTCGAATTATGGTGTTTATTTTACACTGAGAGCACATCTCAATTCTTACTAGCCACATTTTAAATTGCTAGTGGCCACTGCATTGGACAGCATAGGTCTAAAATATCCATATGTAGATACAGAGGTCACAGTTTCAGAGCTGGAATAGAAATCTAGGATTTAGAAGATTTCATTTTTTGGTCACATTAAATACATCCGTCTTGTATACACTTCCATACAGTAGGGAATTACCCCTGTTGTTTTTTCTCCCTGTGGTAGAAAGGGTCTCCCTTCTAGGTGTCAGGATTATGACTTAAGTTCCTCCTGACAATCATTTGGTCAGGCGTCAATTCTGATAGGAACCTGTCTACAGTGTGTCTACTTGTCACCTTCCATCACAGGACAAGATGATTACACATGCTTATTAGGGAAGCCATGTTCTTCCAGTCCTGGCCATTGACCGATCCAAGGAAGGAACTTATTGAAAAGGTTAATGCAGCTTTCAAAAGAATCTAACAACTTGCTGATAGTTGTGGCCCCAGGAGATGATGACTCTTCATGGGCAAGCATATACTCAATATAAACTGCTTTGAATTTTTATTCATTTTCCCTAAAAATAAACCTCACCATCATTTGTTAACTTTTGGGAGCAATTTAGTCTTTTCTTTTTATTTGTCTTAGCCTCTCATTGTTCTAAGTTAGATTTTTAAATGTCAAGTTGCAAAATGTAGAAGGTTTGAGGTTCTTTGGAGGAAGATACTGCAACTGGACTCCTTGGCCATCTGTTTCAGGTGAAAACGTGTCAAATCTCATGCCTGAAGAGCTGCCTCTAATTCCTTCCTTGGTCTGCTGCAGCCCCTAGCACAGCAGCCTGCACATAATAGGTACTCCAAAGGTAGTTTTGAATGAATAAGAAAATATTTTGTAGTTTGATATCCCAGTTGAGCCAAAACTGGAATGCAGACATCAATGTATCAAGTGATATGAATGGGGAAAAGAGAAGTCCTTTTTGTATCTGGGGCTGGGGACAGAGGCAACAATGAGATGGAGGGGACAAGATGACATCAGGTCATCCAGGCCTGCTCAGGGGCCAGGACTAATCTGCATGAAGGAAAGGTCATTGTCCCCATTTTTGCACCTAAAGGGCTTGGCTCCAAAGGAGGGAGGATTGACTGTGTCACTATGACATCTGAAATATTTTGCCACAGGAGACAGAATCCTAGGCAGGGCAGCTTCCTTCCTGAGGAGCAGCAGGAGTGCCTATTGGAGGCTGTGGGACCCACAGCAAGTTTGCAGACTCAGTGGATGTAGAGAAGAGATTGGGTGTAAAAGTAGCAGAGCATGGGCTCTTAAATATGTCTGAAATACCCCCGGGGGTCCCAGAACAACTTGTAGTAGAAGGAGACATGGTCAAGGCACTATGGTTCTATGGTTAAGAAAGTCGATGGCAGTCTCAAATCACATAGATAAGGCCTTGGGATGTTAGATTTACAGTTCCAAAACATCTCAAGATCAGAGCTAATGCTTAACCCTCAGATCTCTACTCCTATCCATACCCTGAATTCCTACTCCCTTCTCTTTCTCTAATAACATAGACATTAAATAATTCATCACATAATTCATACTGTGTTAGGTATTAAAGGGGGTATCAGAATACAATTTTAAAATAAAACCAACAAACATGACAACTTCTATTAAAGGCCAGTAGTTGTTGAAGAAACACTAAAAAGAAAGTTATTATTTTGAATAAAAGAAGCTTACCAAGCTATGTGTGGCTTGGTAAGTATGTAATTAAAGATCCAGGGAGTTGCATAATTTTATTAAAATGGAACTGTAAATCAAATGGCTTAAACTTTTATAATGTCAAACATTGGTTGTTACAAATGAGGGTGTTCATTGAAGGCCATATAATGCCTTTATAAAATGTGTAGCAAGAAACTTCAGGAACGTACACCTGAACAAGTAGGCTGCAGCTCTTGAATTCTAAAAGGAATTCAATTTTAGCTCAAATAACATATTGAGCTGCTTGAATAACAAAGTTCCATAATTCTCATCAGAAGAGTGATTAACTTATATCAACAAAACTCACACACATAGACACACACACACAAACACATTTACATTTTTTAAGGTAGAATTGAATATGGCGAAGCCTGAATTGAAGGTTCTTTTTTTTTGAGATGGAGTCTAGCTCTGTTGCCCAGGCTGCAGTGCAGTGGCACAATCTCAGCTCACTGCAACCTCCGTCCCCGGGTTCAAGAAATTCTTCTGCCTCAGCCTCCCGAGTAGCTGGGATTACAGGCATGTGCCACCAGGCCCGGCTAATTTTTGTATTTTTAGTAGAGATAGGGTTTCACCATGTTGGCCAGGCTGGTCTCAAACTCCTGACCTCAAATGATCCCCCTACTTCAGCCTCCCACACTGTTGGGATTATAGGCATGAGCCATTTGTGCCCAGCCTGAAGGTTCATTTTTTTTTTTCTTTTCTTCTCTTTATGAGATGGAGTCTCGCTCTGTTGCCGAGGCTGGAGTGCAGTGGTATGATCTTGGATCACTGCAACCTCCACCTCCTGGGTTCAAGCGATTCTCCTGCTTCAGCCTCCTGAGTAGCTGGGACTACAGATGTGCACCACCAGGCCCAGATAATTTTTGTATTTTTATTAGAGACGGGGTTTCGTCATGTTGGCCAGACTGGTCTTGAACTCCTGACCTCAGGTGATCCACCTGCCTTGGCCTCCCAAAGTGCTGGGATTACAGGCTTGAGCCACTGCATCCGGCCTCATTTCTCTAATGAGGATTTGCTTTTGCTTCTGTCAGATGCTCTGGGGCATCACTGAGCCAAAAGCACCTGGTGTGAACTGTCCTAGACCATGCAAATTAATGTGAATATCAAACAGTGGGTGGGCAGGTTTGTACTTATGACTGTACCAGGTAAATTTTTTCTCCCTCACCCCGTGCAAGATCTGTGAGTGTGAGTTTTCCTTCAATGGTTCTTTTTTCCAGCAGAGATTTTTTTCTCTCTCATCCTCTTACTATAACCCTTTTAGGATTGTGGCTAATGTTTGGTAAGGCCTCAACTTTGACTCTCCATTCATGAAATTCAAGGTTTCTTATCTCCTGTGTTGTCATTAATCACGAGGCTCCAACATCCTTTTATTGGCAGATTCCTGAGAGTAGCCTGTGGTGTTTCCTTACTATGTGGTTTAAACTCTCTTTTCAACCATGGCTACTATGGATTTCCCTTTGTTGTACAAAGAGGCTTAGGGTGGACACCAGCAGTGGCACTTGGCAAAGGTGTTCAGCAGGTACACAGGTCCCGCTGACTCTCAGCACCTGGTGAAGACATGAGTTTGGTCTAGGCTATGGCTCGGCCACAGGCAGGGATGCTACCTCCCTCTACAGCAGTGAGTGAGAGGATAGCCTATCATGAGGTGGGAGTGGGGGTGTTGCCTTAACTTCCAAATGCTAACTGGGTGTAGAATCTATCTGGCAAGTTATTTCATCTCAGGCCTTTAAAATTATTATTGTATTGACTTCTACATGATATTTGTATTATCTTCTGCCAGTCTACATTTTGTTCCTTTGTAGGTAACCTGTTTTCTCACTATGATAACTCTGAATAGTTACACTTTATGTTTGAGGTCTACAATTTCACTGTGATGTGTATATTTCTTTTTATTTCTGTTTCTTGGTATCTGTGATCCCTGAATCTTAAAGTTCTTATTCTGTTTTTCTTACAACTCATATTCATCAATTCTGGAAAATCCACATTATCTCTTCAAGTATTTCCTCTTACCCATTTTTAATATTTTTTCATGTTGGAATTCTTAAGTTGGACTTTCTCATTCTATTCTGTCCTTTCATTTGTATCTGTTAATAGAGTGACTAACCATTCAGATTTGCCCAGGAAAAAGGGGTTTCTTGAGACGTGGGACCTTGAATACTAAAACCAGGCAAACCAAGGTCGTTGGTACCCTACTCTTCTCATATTTTCCATCTCCATAGTTGCTGTATTTTCTGTAATTGTTTCAGATCTACCCTCCAGTTCACTAATTGTCTCTTTAGCCGTGATTATTAGACATTGTAGTAAGTGTATTTTTTTTGCTTCTTCTTTTTTTAATACTTTAAGTTCTAGGGTACATGTGCACAATGTGCAGGCTTGTTACATGTGTATTCATGTGCCATGTTGATGTGCTGCACCCATTAACTCGTCATTTACGTTAGGTATATCTCCTAATGCTATCCCTCCCCCCTACGCCCACCCCAAGACAGGCCCCTGTGTATGACTTTCCCCTTCCTGTGTCCAAGTGTTCTTATTGTTCAATTCCCACCTATGAGAACATGCGGTGTTTGGCTTTTTGTCCTTGTGACAGTTGCTGAGAATGATGGTTTCCAGCTTCATCCATGTCCCTACAAAGGACATGAACTCATCCTTTTTTATGGCTGCATAGTATTCCATGGTGTATATATGCCACATTTTCTTAATCTAGTCTATCGTTGATGGACATTTGGGTTGGTTCCAAGTCTTTGCTATTGTGAATAGTGCCGCAATGAACATATGTGTCTTTATAGCAGCATGATTTATAATCCTTTGGGTATATATCCAGTAATGGGATGGCTGGGTCAAATGGTATTTCTGGTTCTAGATCCTTGAGGAATCGCCACATTGTCTTCCACAATGGTTGAACTAGTTTACAGTCCCACCAACACTGTAAAAGTGTTCCTATTTCTCCACAACCTCTCCAGCACCTGTTGTTTCCTGACTTTTAAATGATTGCCATTCTAACGGCTCTGAAATTGAGGCAATAATTAATAGTCTACCAACCAAAAAAAGTACAGGACCAGATGGATTCACAGCCGAATTCTACCAGAGGTACAAGGAGGAACTGGTACCATTCCTTCTGAAACTATTCCAATCAATAGAAAAAGACAGAATCCTCCCTACCTCATTTTATGAGGCCAGCATCATCCTGATACCAAAGCCTGGCAGAGAAACAACAAAAAAAGAGAATTTTAGACCAATATCCCTGATGAACATCGATGCAAAAATCCTCAGTAAAATACTGGCAAACCGAATCCAGCAGCACATCAAAAGCTTATTCACCATGATCAAGTGGGCTTCATCCCTGGGATGCAAGGCTGGTTCAACATACGCAAATCAATAAATGTAATCCAGCATATAAACAGAACCAAAGACAAAAACCACATGATTATCTCAATAGATGCAGAAAAGGCCTTTGACAAAATTCAACAGCCCTTCATGCTAAAAACTCTCAATAAATTAGGTATTGATGGGACATATCTCAAAATAATAAGAGCTATTTATGACAAACCCACAGCCAATATCATACTGAATGGGCAAAACCTGGACACATTCCCTTTGAAAACTGGCACAAGACAGGGATGCCCTCTCTCACCACTCCTATTTAATATAGTGTTGGAAGTTCTGGCCAGGGCAATCAGGCAGGAGAAAGAAATAAAGCGTATTCAATTAGGAAAAGAGGAAATCAAATTGTCTCTGTTTGCAGATGACATGATTGTATATTTAGAAAACCCCATCGTCTCAGCCCAAAATCTCCTTAAGCTGATAAACAACTTCAGCAAACTTTCAGGACACAAAATCAATGTGTAAAAATCACAAGCATTCTTTTTTTGCTTCTTAAAATTATATGTTTTATCAACCTTTTCTTTTTTTAATAATTTCTCAATTTTAACAATAGAATCTGTATTTTTAAACATCCTTACTATATTATCACATTTTATGTCATAGTCTCTATTAGGTTTTTCTATTATATAATGAAATTCTTAAGGCTGAATCTTACGATTTATTTTTCCGCAGACTCTAATTCATAGTGCATTATTTTCACATATGTTTTGTAAATTTAGATTTTGAGGCTCATTTTCAGAGAAGTTTGATCTACAGAAATCCTGGATAGTCTAGTTCAGGGGTATCTCTTTAGAGAGGTTTTGAATTTTCTTCTTTGAGGTGTCCAAGGGATATCAGTAGCCCAGGATTACTTTTTATGCTGATTTCTCAGTTTGAAGGGCTCCAGGAGTAGAGAGTAGTATAAATTTGAAGTCCATAGTCTGGGAATCAAAGGCCTATGGTTATAGATTTCTGAGGGAGACTTTTTCTATTCAGAACTCAGCCCAAAGTAAACTAGCTTTCTTATCTGGTGAATGGAAGCTTCGTTGACTCTTATTGGCAATATAGCTTTAGGCAGCTCTCTACATAGGCATAAAAACTCAAGCCCTTAGATTGCAAGCCACAGTGCCTTGACTGGTTTCATGTTCTATTTTAGTTTAAATGTCTGCATATTCCCATATTTTTTTGGCAGATAACAATATGATGATAACAACAACAACAATAATAATAAGAGTAGCTAACACTTGTACAGAATATACAGAATGGGCCAGATATTATTCTAAACATTTTAAACTTAATTCTCATATAACCCTCTGTAAGGCATGTAATAATATTTTCCCAACTTTACAGATGGGGAAACTGCCACAGATAAGTTAATTAACTTGCCCAAAGTCCCACAGCTATAAAGTGGCAGACTAGGTAACCAAATCCAGGCATGTGATTCGAAAGTCTATGTTTTAATCATTAAAAAACACTGCCTCTCAATTAGAGCGTTAATTTTTTTCAGCAATTCTTATATTTTCATAGTAATTTTCAGGTTATTTAAACTGCCATATTGCCAGAAAAGGAAATCCTAAATCTTGATCTTACCATTTTATCATACTCTAATTCTAACCTTTCACTTTCCCATCCTATTTTCAAGGGGATGCAGTAAAAATATATGTTTATTACAATGATAAATGACTATTTATATCTGAGTAATACTAAGGGATTCCCAAATAGAAAAATTTATTAAAGAAAATCCTGAATTTTCTAAGATGAGGATTGCTATTTAAACTTAAAGGAAGAGTGGAAGGATATACTAATAAGTGAAATCACTAAAGCTTTGGTAAAAAAATGAGGAGTTGCTGTAGTCCAGTTGCTATCAATGGATAGCCCTCAAAAGGCAGCCTTAGCATACATGAAAACTTGTTAGAGATATACATTATTGGCCTCACCTCAGATCTACTTACTAATTCAGAAACACGGGGGCTGGGGAAGGAGGAAGAGGGGTAGGGGATGTACCCAGAAATTTGTGTTTAACAATTTCTTGAGGTAATTCTGATGCACTGTAATGTTTGAGAACCACTGCTATCATCTATTTAGGATTTAATTTATTGCAAACACCAGTGTCCTTTATAGAGTGGGATGTTGTTTTACATGTGACCACAGTAAGTCTCCATGCATCATAAAGCGTTAACCCTCAAGGTGAAGTTTATTGCTTCTTGGGTGAAAACAGGGATATTAGATTCCCTTTCAACCTCTCCTTCCTGTTATGTTGTAGCATGTAATAGTTCCCTTTAAACATCTGGATGTTAAAAAAGGCATCCTTGCCAGTTAACTTAAAGGGAAAGTGAAAAGTTTGGAAATTAACCCTTCTTTTTTATGAAAAAGAGATAAGAACACCATTACTCTTAATGTCTTTTGCATTTCTATTTAGGAAGCAGTAGTTGAATCTCTGGATTTTTTATAGCAGATCAAAGATACAAGCTTTACGACTTTACTACCATAAGTACTGACTAAAAATAGATTATATACAGGCTGCCTGTAAAGTTTAACAGTATTTTAACTAATTGTCAAGATTGTTTCTCCAGCAGTTATTTCTAATGTCTATGTGTAAAATGTTTTTGATGTTGTTCTCTCGTTTAGCAAACATTTATTTATCACCCTGTGCCAGGCACTGTGCTAGATGCCAAGAATACAACTATGGCCAGGACTGACATGGTTCCTGTTACCACAGAGTTGACAGGTTAGTAGAGAAATAGACAAGAGCACAGGTAATTACAATACAGCATGACAAGTGTTATGATAGGTCAAATAAAGGGCACTATTGGAACTGTTCTCAATAAAAATGCAACATAACTGCTGTCTGAGTGATTTATTGCTCTTGATTATAAAATATGCTTGCAAGATAGAAGCTAACTCCTACTCATCCTTCAGAAGGCAGCTCAAATTGTCATGTACCCATATCCTCCAGTGAATTTTCCTTTCCACCCCACTACCCTGCCCCTTACACTTGAGATTAGGATCCTTTTCATGTGTGTCCATCAAACTTTATCTATTTGTATTACAGTACTTCTCACATGCATTCCAATGATCTATTCAAATGTCTGTCACTCTGCTATACTCTAAACTCTTGGAGGGCAAGGACTCCATCTTATTTGTTTTTGCAATTCTAACATGGTGCTAGCACCAAAACCCATTTATACTCTTTTATGGCATGCTTTGGGTTTGTCTGTTCACTATGGATCACTATTGTATTCTTTATCAGTTTAAATAATGTACTTTTGGCCAGGCACAGTGGCTCACGCCTGTAATCCCAGCACTTTGGGAGGTGGAGGTGGGTGAATCACCCGAAGTCAGGAGTTCAAGACCAGCCTGACCAACATGGAGAAAACCTGTCTCTACTAAAAATACAAAAAATTAGCCGGGCGTGGTGGTGCATGCCTGTAATCCTAGTTACTTGAGAGGCTGAGGCAGGAGAATCGCTTGAACCCAGGAGGCAGAGGTTGCAGTGAGCAGAGATCACGCCATTGCACTCCAGCCTGGGCAACAAGAGCAAAACTCCATCTCAAAAAAAAAAAAAAAAAAAAATATATATATATATATATATATATATATGGATATATAAAATGTTCTTTTTTTAAATTTTTTATTTTTTTTGAGACTGAGTCTCACTCTATTGCCAAGGCTAGAGTGCAGGAGTGCAGTGGCGCGATCTCGGCTCACTGCAACCTCCGCCTCCTGGGTTCAAGTGAACCTCCCGCATCAGCCTTCCAAGGAGCTGGGATTACAAGTGTGCGCCACCACACCCGGCTAATTTTTGTGGTTTTAGTACAGATGGGTTTTCACCATGTTGGCCAGGCTATTCTCGAACTCCTGACCTCAAGTGATTTGCCCGTCTTGGCCCCGCAAAGTGCTGGGATTACAGGTGTGAGCCACTATGCCTGTCCAAAAATGTGCTTTTTTATTGATCTTTTTGCTGCTAGGAACATGAGCTCATCATAACCCCCTTCCCTTAATATGAATACTTATATAGAACATGTGTCTTAATATTACCTTGAAATCAGAATCAGTAGCACTTGTATCTACAGAGAACAAAAAACAAATTTTAAGGGTTGGGGAGGGAATTATGAGAATGTTACCTGGTACAACATCACAACCTCACTTAGTGATTTTTTGACCTGGTTGATGGTCTCTCCATTTTTCTCCCATTCCACCCAAGCCTGTCCTTTGAAAGCAAGAAAACTAACCTAAGCTGCATATGTGGTGAGGTCTAAAATAAGGAAAGTATAAGATGCTATTGGAGTACCTCGCATGACACCTAATCCAGACTGGCTTCTTAGAGGAAGCAACATCTAATGTAAAATATGAGGAGTAAGGGAGAGTTAAGAACACCATTACTCTAGATGAAGAGGAGAAAGGTAGAGGAAGTTTATGCTATTCTGGTAGCTTTTACCTGATACCCAAAGTAAAAATTTAATTTTAGTTTATGGTTCATTTTACACACACACACACACACACATACACACACACACACACACACACACACACACACAGTCTTATATTTCCAAAATAATTATTCTCCAGACCTTTACTAAAAATGATACACCTTTGTGATTTTCTATCTTTTTCTATGTCATTTTTTTTTTTTTTTTGAGATGGAGTCTTGCTCTTTCGCCCAGGCTGGAATGCAGTGGCGCGATCTCCACTCAGTGCAAGCTCCTCCTCCCAGGTTCATGCCATTCTCCTGCCTCAGCCTCCCGAGTAGCTGGGACTACAGGTGCTCACCACCATGCCTCGTGGATAGTTTTTCGTATTTTTAGTAGAGATGGGGTTTCGCCATGTTAGCCAGGATGGTCTCGATCTCCTGACCTCATGATCCACCCACCTAGGCCTCCCAAAGTGCTGGAATTACAGGTGTGAGCCACCACGCCGAGCCCTATTACCATTTTTAAAAAATGTTTGTTGGGTTTACAAGGAGAAAGCCACAAGAAAATGTTACTCCTAATCTAACAGTAGGAAAAAGCCGGCTGGGCACGGTGGCTAACGCCTGTAATCCCAACATTTTGGGAGGCTGAGGCAGGTGGGTCACGAGGTCAGGAGTTTGAGACCAGCCTGGTCAACATGGTGAAACCCCATGTCTACTAAAAATACAAAAATTAGCCAGGAGTGGTGGCTCAGGCCTGTAATCCCAGCTACTCGGGAGGCTGAGGCAGGAGAATCTCTTGAACCCAGGAGGGGGAGGTTGCAGTGACCCGAGATCCCGCCACTGCACTCCAGCCTGGGTGACAGAGGGACACTCCGTCTCAAAAAAAAAAAAAAAAAAGCCATATAATCTACAAAATCATGATTTTTTTTTAGCTTATCAGAGAACTGAGCTATGAAGACAATCGGTTGAATTGAATTACAAAGTGTGACAAGCCTCTCTGATGGGAGATGAGACACACAAACTGTTTTATCATCTTTTTATCCAAACTAAAGAGGGGTGAATCATAAAAGTGGGTAATAAGAAAACAAGTTAAATTTTAACAAATTATTAAAGGACAAGTTAAGAATATCTGGATGCTCCAGACATGAGAGGAATCTGCAACTCCTGGCCAGCCAGTTTCTTTTTTTTTTTTTTTTTTTGAGGCGGAACCTCACTCTGTCGCCCAGGCTAAAGTGCAGTGGTGCAATCTTGGCTCACTGCAACCTCTGCCTCCTGGGTTCAAGCAATTCTTCTGCCTTAACCCCCCGAGTAGCTGGGACTACAGGCATGTACCACCACAGCTGGCTAATTTTTGTATTTTTTTTAGTAGAGATGGGGTTTCACCATGTTGGCCAGGCTGGTCTTGAACTCCTGATCCACCTGCCTCCACCTCCCAAAGTGCTAGGATTACAGGTGTGAGCCACCACGGCTGGCCTATAAGGCCAGCCACTTTCTATGAGTCTACTCTGGATGCCCACAATAAAGACTGGATGAGGAAAGCACAAGCAAACAGATGTGAAAGAGTCCCCTTGAGAAGCACAGGTATGTAAGCACTGCCAATGTTTGAGGATGCAGTAAGGGTACCAGGAGAAATGCATCCATGCTTTGGCCCCAGCATGATTATAAAGCAGTGATCAGCTGCTGACAGGTTACGGGAATGGACCCTACTTGTGCTGGAGTGAAACCGCCTTTGCAAACATGACAGTGAGAGAAATCTAACATGTCTAACATGGCTGACTCCCATCTTGCTTCTAGCCTCACAGGCTGGCTGTCTTTTCTCATTCATAGGGTATAGGCCAGCTAACCATGGGAAGAATTTAGTTTATAGTTTAACTTTGAAGCAAGGATTATAATAGTCCCTCCCTAAAACTGCCCCCCAACCCCATCCTTGTTTGGTGGCTGAAATTGCCTTTGTAAATCAAATGAAAGGCCACAGGATTAGGATTATGGGAGGGGCCTGAATTCTGCCAAAATGTAGGAATGGTTTCTAAAATCCCTTACTGCTTAGAAGTCATGTGGCCAGAGGTTACAAGATTTGTGACTCCTTCAATTGCTCCTATTGATAACATCACTACTGTAAAACCTAAGATTGGTGGGGTTTTTTTAAAGGGAGTCTTGTTCCGTCACCCAGGCTGGAGTGCAGTGGTGCAATCTCAGCTCACTGCAACCTCCGCCTCCTGCGTTCAAGTGATTCTCGTGCCTCAGCCTCCCGAGTAGCTGGGACTACAGGTGTATGCCACCACACCCAGCTAATTTTTGTATTTTTTAGTACAGATGGGGTTTCACCATGTTGGCCAGGCAGGTCTCAAACTCCTGACCTCAGGTGATCAGGTGATCCACCTGCCTTGGTCTCCCAAAATGCTGGGATTACAGGCATAAGCCACCATGCCTGGCTTAAGATTGGTCTTTTGAGATGTTTTTCAGACTGACTGCCCACCTCCAAACTTGTGACTCACCTCACCCAGGGGAGGACTGTTTTCCACACCCCTGTGATTGCATCCAGAACCAATCAGCAGCACCTATTCCCTAATCCACTGCCCACCAAACTATCCTTGAAAAACTCTAACCCCCAAGACTTTAGGGAGACTGATTTGAGTGATAACAGCCTCTCCTATGGGGCCTGGACCCATGTTAATTAAACTCTTTCTTTGTTGCAATACCATTGTCTCAGTGAACTGTTTTTTTTTCTGGGCAGTGGGCAGGAAGAACCCATTGGGTGATTACACTAGACTCTTCTGTGATATAAAGTAGGAAGGCTGCTCATGGCCAGCATCTTTCACTGATACAAATCTGCCCCTGGGGAGCAGGACACTTGCTCACGTCTGAGACCCCCATCTGATACAAGGCAGAATTTGCCTGCTATGTGGGGCGAGAGGCAGGAAACTCCTCCATGCTCTTGACTACGAGTTGGCAAACTATAGTTCATTTGGCCAGCTCAGGTTAGTTTTCTTGCTTTTGTAAATACAACTTTATTGGAACAGAGCCACACCTGGTTTTTTGTTGTTTTTTTGTTTGTTTTTGTTTTTTACTTATTGTCTGTGGCTGCTATTATGCTATGACCTAAGAGTTAAATAATTGGGTTGGAGACTGTATGGCCCTTAAGCCTAAGATATTTACTACCTGCCCCTTTAATAAAAAGATTCTTGCTCTTGACTCTGCTCTGAGGAAAAGGAAGAGCTAGTTTACTGCTGGAGGAAGGGAAGAAAAGCTGAGAAAGTCCCACTCCTGGGCTGGGCGTGGTGGTTCACGCCTGTAATCCCAGCATTTTGGGAGGCCGAGGTGGCGGATCACCAGGTCAGGAGATCGAGACCATCCTGGCTAACACGGTGAAACCCTGTCTCTACTAAAAAAATACAAAAAAATTAGCTGGGTGTGGTGGCGGGTGCCTGTAGTCCCAGCTACTCCAGAGGCTGACACAGGAGAATGGCGTGAACCTGGGAGGCGGAGCTTGCAATAAGCCAAGATCACGCCACTGCACTCCAGCCTGGGCGACAGAGTGAGACTCCATCTCAAAAAAAAAAAAAAAGAAAGAAAGTCACACTCCTGAAGCTCAGGTTCTCAAAGACCATCTAAGACTGAGGCTGGAAAAGAAGTGTGTTAGTCCGTTTTCACACTGCTATAAAGAACTGTCTGAGACTGGGTAATTTATAAAGGAAAGAGGTTTAATTGACTCACAGTTCAACATGGCTGGGAAAGCCTCAGAAAACTTACAATCATGGCAGAAAGTGAAGGGGAAGCAAGGCACTTTCTTTACAAGGTGACAGGAAGAAGTACCAAGTGAAGGGGGAAGAGCCCCTTATAAAAACCATCAGATCTTATGAGAACTCACTCACTATCACAAGAACAGCATATGGGAAACCACTCCCATGATTCAGTTACCTCCACCTGGTCTCTCCCTTGACACATGGAGATTATGGGGATTACAACTCAAGATGAGATTTGGGTAGGGACACAAAACCTAATCATATCAAGGAGAACCAAAAAACTATCTACCTGTATGAGCACTGAGTAATAAGTAAAAGCACTACAACTGGGATGAAAGTAAGGGAGCTCTTCTATGGTGCAGGAGATCAGGGCCTGTGAACACTAACAGTGGAGCCCAGGTACTGAGGAAAACCCTCCAAAACTCTAAATCTTACATTGAGCACAAGGTAGTCCACCACTGGTGCAATGAAACCCAATATTGTGAAAAGAAAACCCCACCTCAGCTCAACTCCCAACTAGGTTGACCAACTCTGCACACCAGTAACTCAACAGAAAAAGAGACTTGCCCAATTTGAGACATAAATATCATTTACCTTAATTTCTACTTTTCTTTTTTCATATTCAAACCAAAAATATGAGATGCACACAAAAAAGCAAGAAAAAAAGAATACATCTTCAGAATACCAAACAGTCAATAGAACAAGACCTAATGGTGACTGAGATGTTAGAAATATATAGATAATCATGACTGATATGTTGAAGGATCTAGTGGTACAATAAATGAATGAACGGTAGGGAATTTCAGCATAGAGAAGAAAATTTTTTTAAAAAAAAATCAAATAAGAATGCCAGTAATGAAAAACATGTTATCAGAGATAAGGAATTCCTTAGATAGGCTTATCTGCAGACTGGATAGAATAGAGGAAACAATCAGTGATATTGAAGCTATGTCAATAGAAATTATCCAAATGGAAGTGTAAAGATTTAAAAAAAAGACCGAGGAAGTGGGGGAAAGAACAGTACCTCCAAGAGTTGTGGGATAATTAATTGTGTTTTTAAAATAGCATCAAAAACCATTAATAGTTAGATATAAATGTAGCAAGAGTTGTGTATGACTTCTGCATGGCAAAGTAGAAAATGTAGATGAAATTAAAGAATAACTTTAAAAATGTAGAAATAGACAATGTTCATTGATTGGAAGACAATATTTTTAAGATGTCAAAATTCTCTCTAAATTTATCTGTAAATTTAGTGCTCTTCCAATAAAATTTTTGGCAGGCTTTTATGGTAGAAATTGACAGACTGTTTCTAACATATGGATAGAAATTCAAAGGATTTAGAATAGCCAAAACAATTTAGAATAAGGAGAAGAACGTTGGAGTACTTAACCTACACAATTTCAAGATTTACTATAAAGCAACAACAATCAATACTGTGTGATATTTGTATAAGGATAGACATATAGATCAGTGGAACAGAATAGAAAATCCAAAAATAGGACTATGTGTTCAGACAGCCCCCAATTTACAATGGTTAGACACAATTTTTTAACTTTATGATAGTATGAAAGTGATATGCATTCAGTAGAAACTGTGCTTCAAGTACCCATGTGACCATTCTGTTTTTCACTTTTAGTACAGTATTTAATAAATTACATATAAAACATTCAATACTTCATTATAAAACAGGTTTTGTGTTAGATGATTTTGTCCAACTGTAGTCTAATGTAAGTGTTCTGAGCACATTTAAGCTAGGCTAGGCTGGCTGGGTGCAGTGGCTCACGCCTGTAATCCCAGCACTTTGGGAGGCAGAGGCGGACAGATCATGAGGTCAGGAGATCGAGACCATCCTGGCTAACACGATGAAACCCTGTCTCTACTAAAAATACAAAAAATTAGCCGGGCATGGTGGCAGGCGCCTGTAGTTCCAGCTACTTGGGAGGCTGAGGCAGGAGAATGGCGAGAACCCAGGAGGCGGCGCTTGCAGTGAGCCGAGATAGCACCACTGCACTCCAGCCTGGGCGACAGAGGGAGACTCCGTCTCAAAAACAAAACAAAACAAAACAAAACAAAACAAAATGGTAGGCTAGGCTAAGCTATGATATTTGGTAGGTTAGGTGTATTAAATGCATTTTCTTTTTTTCTTGTACACATGAGGTCTTACTATGTTGCTCAGGCTGGTCTAGAACTCTTGGGCTCAAGCGATCCTCTCAGCTCAGCCTCACAAATTGCTGAGATTACAGGTGTGAGCCACTATGCCTGGCATTAAATGCATTTTCAATTTATGATATTTTCAACTTATGATGGGTTTGTCTAACATAAGTCAAGGAACATCTGTATATGATTATTTTTACCAAGATAATTCAATGGAGGAAAGGATAATTTTTTCAACGAATGGTGCTGAAACAATTAGATATCCATATGTAGATACACACATATATATCACATACATATATACATATGATCATATATATATATATATATATATATATGATCAGAGACCAAATGATGCTCTGAATGAGAATCTCCTTAGCATACATCTGTATATTTATTGGCCATTTGTTTATCTTCTTTGATGAAGTGTCTGTTCAAATCTTTTGCCTATTTAAAATATTGGGTTGTATGTCTTATTTTTAAGTTGTGTTATTTATCTATTCTGTATATACAAATATTGGCAGAGCAGAAACTTTTCTTTCCTTCCTTCTCTTTCTTTCTTTCTCTCCTTTTTCTTTTCTTTTTTTTTAATAGAGTTTCACTCTTGTTGCCCAGGCTGGAGCACAATAGTGTGATCTTGGCTCATTGCAACCTCTGCCTCCCAGGTTCAAGCAATTCTGCTGCCTCAGCCTCCTGAGTAGCACCTGCCACTGCGCCCAGCCTAATTTTTGTAGTTTTAGTAGAGATGGGGTTTTGCCTTGTTGGCCAGCCTGTTTTCGAACTCCTGACCTCAGGTGATCCGCCCTCCTTGGCCTCTCAAAGTGCTGGAATTACAGACATGAGCCACTGTACCTGGCAGAAACTTTTCATTTTAATGGAGTACAACTGAAAATTTTTTTTTTTTGAGATAGAGTCTCGCTGTATCTTCCAGGCTGGAGTGCAGTGGCATAATCTTGGCTCACTACAACCTCCGCCTCCTGGGTTCAAGCGATTCTCCTGCCTCAGCCTCCTGAGTAGCTGGGATTACAGGTGCCTGCCACCATGCCGGGCTAATTTTTGTATTTTTAGTAGAGACGTGGTTTTGCCATGTTGTCCAGGCAGGTCTCAAACTCCTGACCTCAAGTGATCTGCCTGCCTCGGCCTCCCAAAATGCTGGGATTACAGGTGTGAGCCACTGTGACTGGCAAAAAAATATTTTTTTTAAAAGGAAGGCTCATACAATTGATGTTGTAATTTAAGAAATCATTACCTAACTCAAAGTCACAAAGATTTTCTCCTATGTTTTCTTCCAGGAATTTAGAGTTTTAGACTTTACTTTTTGATCAGAATACCTATATCTGACCTTTCCACACAGACTGGGTTTTATCAAGCATGGCGGCTAGGTTCCGAAGATGAGCATCCCCAAAGGACTAGGTGGAAACTATATTGCCTCTTATTGAAACCTCCCAACAGGTTCTTCTTGTTCACTGTTCAGATAGAGGCAATTTATCAAGGCAGGGGAATTGCAATAAAGAAAGAGGAGATTACAGTTTTATTATTACTCAGCCTCTCTGCAAATTCAAAGGCTACGGTTCTTTAAAGATAGTTTGACAGGCGGGGGGGGGAGGGGGGGGGCTAAAGAAAGGGGAATGCTGATTGGCTGGGCTGCGGATGAAGTCATAGGGAGTTGGAGCTATCCTCTTATGCTAAGTGGTCCCTCAGTAGGAGCCACAAGACCAGAAGAGCTAGTTTACCACTTTGGGTGGTGTCAGCTGATCCATCGAAATGCAGGGTGGAAAAAATACCTCAAACACCAATCTTAGGTTGATATGGTTTAAATTTGTGTCCCCGCCCAAATCTCATGTCAAATTGTAATTCCCATTGTTGGAGGAGGAACCTGGTGGGCGGTGATTGGATCATGGGGGGAATTTCCCCGATGCTGTTCTCATGATAATGAGTAAGTTTTCACAAAATCTGGTTGTTTAAAAGTGTGCAGCACCACCCCCTTCACTCTCTTCCTCCTGCTCCAGCCCTGTAGGACATGCCTCCTTCCTCTTTGTCTTCCACTATGATTGTAAGTTTCTTTTTTTTTTTTTTTTTTTTTGAGACGGAGTCTCGCTCTGTCGCCCAGGCTGGAGTGCAGTGGCGCGATCTCGGCTCACTGCAAGCTCCGCCTCCCGGGTTCACGCCATTCTCCTGCCTCAGCCTCCCGAGTAGCTGGGACTACAGGCGCCCGCCACCACGCCCGGCTAATTTTTTTTTTGTATTTTTAGTAGAGACGGGGTTTCACCGTGCTAGCCAGGATGGTCTCGATCTCCTGACCTCGTGATCCGCCCGCCTCGGCCTCCCAAAGTGCTGGGATTACAGGCGTGAGCCACCGCGCCCGGCCGATTGTAAGTTTCTTGAGGCCTCCCCAGTCATGCTTCCTCTACAGCCTGCAGAATCGTGGGCCAATTAAACCTCTTTTCTTTATAAATTACCAGTCTCAGGTAGTTCTTCTTCTTCTTCTTTTTTTTTTTTTGAGAGGAGTCTCGCTCAGTCCCAGGCTGGAGTACAGTGGCACGATCTCAGCTCACTGCAACCTCCGCCTCCCAGGTTCAAGCTGTTTTCCTGCCTCAGCCTCCCAAGGAGCTGGGATTACAGGCATCTGCCACCATGCCTGGCTAATTTTTGTATTTTTAGTAGAGATGGGGTTTCACCATGTTGGCCAGGCTGGGCTCGAACTCCTGACCTCATGATCCGTCAGCCTTGGCCTCCCAAAGTGCTGGGATTACAGATGTGAGCCACCAAGCCTGGCCATTAGGTATTTCTTTATAGCAATGTGAGAATAGACTGACACATAGTTTTATAATAGTAATGTTAACTATAGTAGTAATTGGGAAGGTTAGTGATCTTGTGGCTCCTGGCTGCATGACTCCAGAGCCATAATTTCTAATCTTATGACTAAAATTTATCAGTTTACAAAGGTGGTCTGGTTCCCAGGCAAAGAGGGACTTTGTTTTGGGGAGGTGCTATTATCATCTTTGTTTCAAACTTAAACTATAAACTAAATTTCTTCCAAAGTTAGTTTGGCCTGTGCCCAGGAATGAACAATGGCAGCTTAGAGGTTAAAGGCAAGATGGAGTTGGTTAGGTTATATCTCTTTCACTGTTATAATTTTCTCACTATTATAACATTTGCAAAGGTGGTTTCATTATGACCTAGACTTGGAAGTCATATAGCTTCATATCCCCCATATTCCAGATTCAAGGGAAGGGGGAACATCAACCCTACCTCTTAATAGTAGGGGAATCAACATCACATATTAAAAAGTGTATGTGACTGGCTGGGCACAGTGGTTCACATCTGTAATCCCAGCACTTTGGGAGGCTGAGGTGGGAGGATCACTTGAGCCCCGGAGTTTGAGTCTAGCCTGGGCAACATAGTGTTACCCCATCTCTACAAAAAATAAAAAGTTAGCCAGAAATGGTAGTGCACACTTGTAGTCCCAGCTACTTGGGACGGCGAGGTGGGAGGATTGCTTGAGCTTGAGAGGTTGAGGCTGCAGTGAGCCATGATCATACCACTGCACTCCAGCCTGGGTGACAGAGTGAGACCCTGTATCACATAAAATAAAATTAAATTAAATTAAATAAAAATAAAATAAAATAAAGTATGTGAGATGGAACATCTTTTTGTGGCCATCTTGGAAAATATAATCTGCCACATCATTCTACAGTTTAAAAAAAAGTTGCTTTATCTTATGCCTTATATTTTTTATTTCTATTTATTTATTTTTATAGAGATGGGGGTCTCACTATGTTGCCCAGGCTGGTCTTGAACTCCCGGGCTCAAGTAATCATCCCACCTCAGCCTCCCAAAGTGCTGGGATTACAGGCATGAGCCACCATGCCTTGCCTGAACCACCATGCCTTGCCTTCTATCGCCAAGAAAAAAGGCATAATACTTGGTTAATCTCTTTAGATTTTGGAGATTATGCTGCCCCAAATGGTTTGTAAACCATTTACCATTTACCATGAAAGGCTGCCAGATTTGTTGAAGCTCAGAACAAGGGAAAGCTCTCTAGATAAACGAGTGATTGTGGCAGATTGGGCAACTATAGAGAACTTGTGGGAAAATCCTAAGAAGAATCACAACAGAGGCCCCTATGATTTGGAGGAAAGCCATGTACTCGTTGCCAAGTTACTATTATCCTTTTGAGAAATGGCTCTTAGCTTGCTAATCACCCGGATAGGAGCAGAAAGCCTGATCATTAGGAAACTAGCTGATCACATGACTTTAGCTGCTTATTGCAAAACAGTTTACCTGATATGCCAAGCCACAAAGTCCTCAGCAGCACTCCAGAATTAAGTGGTGAAGGTATAAGCAAGTATATTGAATAGGTCGCTTAAATTCCCATGGTGAAATTTCCACAACACTTCTGACCCACCCTTGGCCTACCTATATGGACTCATGAGTTGACGTAAAGATCTGCATTGATTCAAATTATGTTCTTTGGTCAAAAATTTGTTTGGCTAGGTGCAGTGGCCTATAATCCCAGCTACGTGGGAAGCTGAGGCGGGAGGATCACTTGAGGCCAGGAGTTTGAGACCAGCCTGGGCAATACAGTTAGTGAGACCCCATCACTAGACAGAGAGAGAGATTGAGAGAGAGAGAGAAAGAGAGAGAGAGAGAGATTGAACTTGCCTGATTGGAAACAAGCCTTGAGAAAAAGGTTATGGATGGATTCTTAGAATGGACTCAGATAATGTCATTATTTGTGCCCCACATGAATGGTCATCAAAAGATCCCTACTGCGGAAGGTAGGTAAGATGACTTATTCTATGGATAACAGATAATCTTCCCCAATTACCTCAGTGATAGGTAAATAATCTATTTGTGGCAGAGATGGAAGTGATACTTTGGCCCAATTCTCTTGGTGAGAATTCCTCTCTCTAAGGCTGACCTATGTGGCCATAATGAGTGTCTCGTCTGTCAATTGTAGCTTTCAATCCTAAACCCCCTGATGTGGCACCATAAATGTGAAGGTGAACGCCTGCTAGCAAGATGACTACATGGGACCTTTATCATGGAAGAAGCATTGATTTCCTATTTCGAATAAATACCTATCCTGAATATGTCTTTCTTGCCCACCATGCCCCTTCTCACCCATCACTGTGGGCTTATTGAATGTCTCATAAATTGTCATAGATTCTCATTTGCTACTGACGAAGGAACTCACATTACAGAGGGAAAAAAGTAAGGCAGCGTGCTAATGCCCACAGGAATTCTTTGTCTTATGACACATCTCATCAACAGAAGCAATAAGTTTACTTATAGAATATGAACAGCCTATTTTTAGTTACAACTCCAGCTGGGAGAAAAAGACCTCGTAAGGCTGAATTATGATTCTGCAGTATGGTCTGAGCCAGCAACCATATATGATGATGTTTTTCCTGTAAGTGAGTCAAGTAAACAAGGATTGAAAATGGGCATGAAGATTCTCACAATTACTCCAAATGCCCATTCATATAATATTGGCTTCTGTTCTCCCAACTCTGGCTATTTGTGGTTTAGAAGATGAGTGAAGCTTCCAGAGGACACAAAAATGGTTGTACTAGAATAAGAAGTTTAGGTTTCCACCAGGTCATTCTGGCTCTTTTCATCTGGGGCAAATGGGCCCAGAAAGAGATTCCAGTCTTGGCTGGGATGACTGATATTTATTATCAAGGGAAAATACGAATGCTATATATAATGGAGGCAGGGAAGGGTATGAACTAGGAGATTCCTTGGCATACCTGCTTATTTAACCAGGCCCAGTGGCTGAAGATGCCTACAATCTCATACAGCAGGAGGATTGCCCCATTGTGTAAATAACTTTCATCAGCTGAAGGTAAGGAAACCTGGAATGGGTAGGTTAGGAGGACTTTATAAAATTCAAAATATGGTGTGCTGACAACTTGCAGCAGCGATTGCCGTAGCATCTCTTTGGGGAAGTACAGGGAAAAGAGTATGTGTTTTGTGATCAAACTACAGATTGAAGTGAACATTTAAAATTTCTCTGGCCAGGCCGGGTGCGGTGGCTTATGCCTGTAATCCCAGCACTTTGGGAGGCCAAGGCGAGTGGATCACCTACGGTCAGGAGTTCGAGACCAGCCTTGCTGACATGGTGAAACCCCATCTCTACTAAAAATACAAAAATTAGCTGGGCATGGTGGCGTGTGCCTGTAGTCCCAGCTACTTGGGAGGCTGAGGCAGGAGAATCATTTGAACTTGGGAGAGGGAGGTTGCAGTGAGCCAAGATCCTGGCATAGCACTCTGCCTGGGCGACAAGAACGAAACTCCGTCTCAAAAAAAAAAAAAAAAGTTTCTCTGACCGTTGAGCATTCAAACTTGTTTCCTACTTTGAGAGCAATTCCACATTTTGTGAGTCTTGGTAGGTAGCAGGACCCTAACTCTCTCTCCAGAAGTCAAATTTGCCAAATAGTCCTTCTTCCCAACCCCAGCAGCTGGATTTCATGAGCAAGAAATCTAGGCTTGGCCAATCAGACTGGGGACTTAATTCTAAAATGAATCACGCAAATGGGAAAGAATGGTTAAAATATATTCCCAGTGGCAGTGGTTCCAGCACATTGTCTGGCAGTATGTTTACCTGTGGCAGGGCCAGCAGAAGCAGCATCCTAACCAAACTTGGATGTGACCTTGTGGTTCCTGCTGTCTGACTGCCCTTGGCTCCTGCCTTTTTTTTTTTTGTTTTTAGCCTTGTTCTTCAGTCTTCCTGTTGATTCTATGAGCTACTTGTTATTCTGCCAATAAATTCCTTTTCTGCTAAAATTAGCCAGTTAGTTTCTATTGCTTGTGACCGAGAATTTTATCTTTATGCTGCTTTGCTCAAAGTGCTTTGCACTTAGTAGTTACTGAGTAAGCAGTTGTTGAATGACTACATGGCTATCATTATTTACACCCTGCTGAAGTATGTTTTCTCTGGGACTAGATCCTTGATCTTATTTCATGTAAGACAGAAGAAAACTTATTTTATGACATATTAATATTTTCTGGGAGGTATATATTCTCTAAGATAAATGGTTCCAATACAAAATTTGCAAAGCACCAGGAAGGTAGTGGGCCTCTGGCACAATCAAGTGGAGTTTGGGGAAGCAAACACAGGACTGAAATCTTTAAATCTATCCTAAGCCAAAGCCTTCTTCCTAAGGGAAGGTCAGCTTGTTTTTCAGCCTGGTATTTGTTCACTGAGCCTTATCCACAGTGAAATTCAAGGTGGCAAGCCTCCCAAAGGCTTTACTGGGCCCTAAAAGCTTATGTTGAAGCCTCTGGTTGTGAGGATGTGCTAAGAAGGCTAAAAGGGACTGTTGGCTTCAGGATTTGAGGCTTGAACATTCTTGTACTCTAGGAATACGGTATCTTGTGATAAGTTTTTGTTGCTTCATGTTTTCTTCTTCCTTCTTATTCTCTCCCATCTTCTACAGCACATTATAATCCATTTTTTAAAGTTTTGATTTTCTTTTGTTTTCAATTTTATACCTTATTTTGTTACATTTATTCATGGAAAGTGTTATCTCTGATTACTTGACATTGCTTACATTTTATTTTCCTGGTATATTGTGCTTTTTAAAATAGAAATTTATTAATACACTGATTGTAGACACGGCGATATAAGACAACTTTTTTCAAAGTGGATCTAAATAGTTGAATGTTTCTGTCTGAAATTTACTAATTGTAATTGAAAATACTCTTATTGGGTAAAGCTTTTGGTGTGTCAAAAGAAAGATGATCTTACATGTAATTTACGTGCAGTTGTCACATATTATCTACCTATAATTCATCTGTAGTTCTTTTCACTGCTCTTATCATTTGGTACTCAGAATAGCAATCTGTAATAGTGTTTCTAAAAGCGTCTAGGAAATTTTCCATCTTGCATACATATAACATTTAAATTTAACTTTCATGTGGTTCTTAGGTATTCTGTTTTGGAAGAACATTATACAGTTCTGTGGTTGTTTTGCTATTAAAGCGTTCTTAACTGATTTCCATATCAATAGATTCTGTGCCTTGTTGTAATGTAAATAATCCCTAAAGATACAATATACTAGTGTTTGCTTTTTAGTAAACAACTCTATCAGTGACTTTTTTAAAGACCTGAGAAGGCTTATCAACATTATCAACATTATCAATATCAATGCCTGCCAGATTGTATGCATATCTTTACTCTTGGGAAAGCTTTGGTGGATTTAGCCTTTAGCATTCCTCCAACAACCAGATCTAAACAGCCTCATCACATGTTCAGACTCAAAATTTTTTTCTGCTTGTTTGTGGAGGGTCTTGTGTACAGACTTAACCTCCAATAAGGCAGGAGCAGTGCTTGTCTTGTTCATTGCTGTATCTCTAGCACTTAGCACAGTGCCTGGCATATGTTATATTCTTGATGTGTTTTTGAAACAAATGAATGAATATTAATTGGCTTAACACTTCCATTTTGCACAGAGAGCCAGTATGACATGAACTCACCTATTTGAAACAGGTCTCCTTGAGATCCCCAGTTTACTCTAGCCTGACTCCCTTCCTTATAGCCTAGAGGTATTGCTGATATTCTCTGAGTGCCAATGTGCCGATTCCAGACCATTTTGTTTGCCTATTATGTAAAATTTTTCTTCTGTTGAGCTCTATACCAACCCATTGGTATTATTATTATTATTATTATTATTTTGAGATGGAGTCTTGCTCTGTCATCCAGGCTGGAGTGCCGTGGCATGATCTCAGCTCACTGCCACCTCCGCCTCCCAGATTCAAGTGATTCTCCTGCCTCAGCCTCCCAGGTAGCTGGGATTACAGGTGCCCACCACCACACCCTGCTAATTTTTGTATTTTTAGTAGATGGGGTTTTGCTATGTTGGCCAGACTGGTCTAGATCTCCTGACCTCAAGTGATCCGCCAGCCTCAGTGTCAGGCCTCTGAGCCCAAGCTAAGCCATCATATCCCCTGTGACCTGCACGTACACATCCAGATGGCCGGTTCCTGCCTTAACTGATGACATTGTCTTGTGAAATTCCTTCTCCTGGCTCATCCTGGCTCAAAAGCTCCCCTACTGAGCACCTTGTGACCCCCACTCTGCCCACCAAAGAACAACCCCCCTTTGACTGTAATTTTCCTTTACCTACCCAAATCCTATAAAACGGCCCCACCCCTATCTCCCTTTGCTGACTCTTTTTGGACTCAGCCCACCTGCACCCAGGTGAAATAAACAGCTTTATTGCTCACACAAAGCCTGTTTGGTGGTCTCTTCACAGGGATGTGAGTGAAATTTGGTGCCATGACTCGGATCAGGGGACCTCCCTTGGGAGATCAATCCCCTGTCCTCCTGTTCTTTGATCCATGAGAAAGGTCCACCTACGACCTCAAGTCCTCAGATGGACCAGCCCAAGAAACATCTCACCAATTTCAAATCCGGTAAGCGGCCTCTTTTTACTCTCTTCTCCAATCTCCCTATCTCTCAACCTCTTTCTCCTTTCAATCTTGGTGCCACACTTCAATCTCTCCCTTCTCTTAATTTCAATTCCTTTCATTTTCTAGTAGAGACAAAGGAGACATGTTTTATCCGTGGACCCAAAACCCCAGCGCTGGTCACGGACTCGGGAAGGCAGGGACGCCTCTCTGATTATTCACCCAGGTTTCAGAGGTGTCAGACCACGCAGGGATGCCTGCCTTGGTCCTTCACCCTTAGCGGCAAGTCCCGCTTTTCTGGGGGAGGGGCAAGTACTCCAACCCCTTCTCTCCGTGTCTCTACCCCTTCTCCGCCTTTCTGGGGGACAAGAAACCCCCAACCCCTTCTCCTTCACCCTTAGCGGCAAGTCCCGCTTTTCTGGGGAAGGGGCAAGTACTCCAACCTCGTATCTGTGTGCCCCAATCCCTTATTTCCACTCCCCGACCTCTTATATCTCTGCACCCCAATCCCTTATTTCCACGCCACAACCTCTTATATCTCTGCGCTCCGATCCCTTATTTCCACACCCCAACCTCTTATATCTCTGCACCCCGATCCCTTATTTCCCCACCCCAACCTCGTATCTCTGCGCCCCGACCCCTTCTCTGCTTTTCTGGAGGGCAAGAACCCTCCCACCCCTTCTCCGTGTCTCTACTCTTTTCTCTGGGCTTGCCTCCTTCACTATGGGCAAGCTTCCACCTTCCATTCCTCCTTCTTCTCCCTTAGCCTGTGTTCTTAAGAACTTAAAACTTCTTCAACTCTCACCTGACCTAAAATCTAAGCGTCTTATTTTCTTCTTCAATACTGCTTGACCCCAATACAAACTCGACAGTAGTTCCAAATAGCCGGAAAACGGCACTTTCAATTTTTCCATCCTACAAGATCTAAATAATTCTTGTCGTAAAATGGGCAAATGGTCTGAGGTGCCTGACGTCCAGGCATTCTTTTACACATGGGTCCCTCTCTAGTCTCTGTTCCCACTGCAACTCATCCAAAATCTTCCTTCTTTCCCTCTCACCTGTCCCCTCAGCCCCAACCCCAAGCGTTGCTGAGTCTTTCTAATCTTCCTATCTGACCTCTCCCCTCCTCACCAGGCCGAGCTAGGTCTCAATTCTTCCTCAGCCTCTGCTCCCACACTCTATAATCCTTTTATCACCTCCCCTCCTCACATCCGGTCCGGCCTACAGTTTCGTTCCGTGACTAGCCCTCCCCCACCTGCCCAGCAATTTCCTCTTAAAAAGGTGGCTGGAGCTAAAGGCATAGTCAAGGTTAATGCTCCTTTTTCTTTATCCGACCTCTCCCAAATCAGTTAGCGTTTAGACTCTTTTTCATCAAATATAAAAAACCCAGCCCAGTTCATGGCTCGTTCGACAGCAACCCTGAGACGCTTTACAGCCCTAGACCCTAAAAGGTCAAAAGGTCGTCTTATTCTGAAAATACATTTTATTACCCAATCTGCTCCTGACATTAAATAAAACTCCAAAAATTAAATTCCGGCCCTCAAACCCCACAACAGGATTTAATTAACCTTGCCTTCAAGGTGTACAATAATAGAAAAAAGTTGCAATTCCTTGCCTCCACTGTGAGACAAACCCCAGCCACATCTCCAGCACACAAGAACTTCCAAACGCCTGAACCGCAGCAGCCAGGCGTTCCTCCAGAACCTCCTCCCCCAGGAGCTTGCTACAAGTGCCAGAAATCTGGCCACCAGGCCAAGGAATGCCTGCAGCCCAGGATTCCTCCTAAGCCACGTCCCATCTGTGCGGGACCCCACTGGAAATCAGACTGTCCAACTTACCTGGCAGCCACTCCCAGAGCCCCTGGAACTCTGGCCCAAAGCTCTCTGACTCCTTCCCAGATCTTCTTGGCTTAGCGGCTGAAGACTGATGCTGCCCGATCACCTCGGAAGCCCTCTAGACCATCACGCACGCCGAGCTTCGGGTAACTCTCACAGTGGAGGGTAAGTCCGTCCCCTTCTTAATCAATGCGGAGGCTACTCACTCCACATTACCTTATTTTCAAGGGCCTGTTTCCTTTGCTTCCGTAACTGTTGTGCGTATTGACGGCCAGGCTTCTAAACCTCTTAAAACTCCCCAACTCTGGTGCCAACTTACATATACTATTATAAGTACTCCTTTTTAGTTATCCCCACCTGCCCCATTCCCTTATCAGGCCGAGACACTTTAACTAAATTATCTGCTTCCCTGACTATTCCTGGATTACAGCTACATCTCATTGCTGCCCTTCTTCCCAATCCAAAGCCTCCTTTGCGTCCTCCTCTTGTATTCCCCCACCTTAACCCACAAGTATAAGAAACCTCTACTCCCTCCTTGGTGACCGATCATGCACCCCTTACCATCTCATTAAAACCTAATCACCCTTACCCTGCTCAATGCCAATATCCCATCCCACAGCATGCTTTGAAAGGATTAAAGCCTGTTACCACTCGCCTGCTACAGCATGGCCTTTTAAAGCCTATAAACTCTCCTTACAATTCCCCCATTTTACCTGTCCTAAAACCAGACAAGACTGGCAGGTTAGTTTAGGATCTGCACCTTATCAACCAAATTGTTTTGCCTATCCACCCCATGGTGCCAAACCCACATACTCTCCTATCCTCAATACCTCCCTCCACAATCCATTATTCTGTTCTGGATCTCAAACATGCTTTCTTTACTATTCCTTTGCACCTGTCATCCCAGCCTCTCTTCACTTTCACTTGGACTGACCCTGACACCCATCAGGCTCAGCAGCTTACCTGGGCTGTGCTGCCACAAGATTTCAAGGACAGCCCTCATTACTTCAGCCAAGTTCTTTCTCAAGTATCCCCCTCCAAAGCTCAAATTTCTTCTCCATCCGTTACCTACCTCGGCATAATTCTTCATAAAAACACACGTGCTCTCCCTGTCGATCTTGTCCGACTGATCTCTCAAACCCCAACCCCTTCTACAAAACAACAACTGCTTTCCTTCCTAGGCATAGTTAGATACTTTCGCCTTTGGATACCTGGTTTCACCATCCTAACAAAACCATTATATAAACTCACAAAAGGAAACCTAGCTGACCCCGTAGATCCTAAATACTTTCCCCACTCCTCTTTCCGTTCCTTGAAGACAGCTTTAGAGACTGCCCCCACTCTAGCTCTCCCTGATTCATCCCAACCCTTTTCATTACACACAGCCAAAGTGCAGGGCTGTACAGTCAGAATTCTTATACAAGGACCAGGATCGCGTCCTGTAGCCTTTTTGTCCAAACAACTTGACCTTACTGTTTTAGGTTGGCCACCATGTCTCCGAGCAGCGGCTGCTGCTGCCCTAATACTTTCAGAGGCCCTCAAAATCACAAACTATGCTCAACTTACTCTCTATATTTCTCATAACTTCCAAAATCTATTTTCTTCCTCATACCTGATGCATATACTTTCTGCTCCCTGGCTCCTTCAGCTGAACTCACTCTTCGTTAAGTCCCACAATTACCATTGTTCCTGGCCTGGACTTCAATCCGGCCTCCCACATTATTCCTGATACCACACCTGACCCCTATGACTGTATCTCTCTGATACCACACCTGACCCCTATGACTGTATCTCTCTGATCCACCTGACATTCACCCCATTTCCCCATATTTCCTTCTTTCCTGTTCCTCACCCTGATCATGCTTGATTTATTGATGGCAGTTCCACCAGGGCTAATCGCCACACACCAGCAAAGGCAGGCTACGCTATAGTCCAAGCCACTAGCCCACCTCTTAGAACCTCTCATTTTCTTTCCATCGTGGAAATCTATCCTTAAGGAAATAACTTCTCAGTGTTCCATCTGCTATTCTACTACTCCTCAGGGATTATTCAGGCCCCCTCCCTTCCCTACATGTCAAGCTTGAGGATTTGCCCCCACCCAGGACTGGCAAATTAGCTTTACTCAACATGCCCCAAGTCAGATAACTAAAATACCTCTTACTCTAGGTAGACACTTTCACTGGATAGGTACAGTCCTTTCCTACAGGGTCTGAGAAGGCCACCGCAGTCATTTCTTCCCTTCTGTCTGACATAATTCCTCAGTTTAGCCTTCCCACCTCTATAGAGTCTGATAACAGACCAGCCTTTATTAGTCAAATCAGCCAAGCAGCTTTTCAGGCTCTTAGTATTCAGTGAAACCTTTATATCCCTTATGGTCCTCCGTCTTCAGGAAAAGTAGAACGGACTAAAGGTCTTTTAAAAACACACCTCACCAAGCTTAGCCACCAACTTAAAAAGGACTGGACAATACTTTTACCACTTTCCCTTCTCAGAGTCAGACCTGTCCTCAGAATGCTACAGTGTACAGCCCATTTGAGCTCCTGTATAGATGCTCCTTTTTATTAGGCCCCAGTCTCATTCCAGACACCAGACTAACTTAGACTGTGCCCCAAAAAAACTTGTCATCCTTACTATCTTCTGTCTAGTCATACTCCTATTCACCGTTTTCAACTACTCATACATGCCCTGCTCTTGTTTACACTGCCGGTTTACACTGTTTCTCCAAGCCATCACAGCTGATATCTCCTGGTGCTATCCCCAAACTGCCACTCTTAACTCTTGAAGTAAGTAAATAATCTTTGCTGACAGGACTATGTTGAATCTCCTTAGGCACTCTAATTAGATGTCCCAGGTCCTCCCAATTCTTAGACCTTTAATACCTGTTTTTCTCCTTCTCTTATTCCGTTTAGTTTTTCAATTCATACAAAACCGTATCCAGGCCATCACCCATAATTCTAAATGACAAATGTTTCTTCTAACAGTCCCACAATATCACATCTTACCACAAAATCTTCCTTCAGCTTAATCTCTCCCACTCTAGGTTCCCACGCCGCCCCTAATCCTGCTCGAAGCAGCCCTGAGAAACATCGCCCATTATCTCTCCATACCACCCCCAAAAATTTTCACCATCCCAACACTTTACCACTATTTTGTTTTATTTTTCTTATTAATATAAGAAGACAGGAATGTCAGGCCTCTGAGCCCAAGCTAAGCCATCATATCCCCCGTGACCTGCACGTACACATCCAGATGGCTGGTTCCTGCCTTAACTGATGACATTCCACCACAAAAGAAGTGAAAATGTCCTGTTCCTGCCTTAACTGATGACACTGTCTTGTGAAATTCCTTCTCCTGGCTCATCCCGGCTCAAAAGCTCCCCTACTGAGCACCTTGTGACCCCCGCTCTGCCCACCAGAGAACAACCCCCCTTTGACTGTAATTTTCCTTTACCTACCCAAATCCTATAAAACGGCCCCACCCCTATCTCCCTTTGCTGAGTCTCTTTTCGGACTCAGCCCACCTGCACTCAGGTGAAATAAACAGCTTTATTGCTCACACAAAGCCTGTTTGGTGGTCTCTTCACATGGACGCGAGTGAAACTCAGGGTTCCAAAGTGCTGGGATTACAGGTGTGAGCCACTGCATGTCGCCCTTGGTATTATTTTCTACCTTCCTCATCACCATCTTTTTCTTAATCCTCTACATTCATTTAGACTTTTTGGTTCTTGGCTCATTGTCTTTCAACCTCACCCTAAGGCCTCCATGAATGACCCTTCCACTACTTTACTCTCATAGTTCTGTGCCTATTCAATGGTTAGGGCCTTTACTGCCTCTCTATATCGGCAACTCAGCTTGGATTGATCTCTGAGCTTTGTGCCCAACTGGAACAAACTGATATATCTGTAATTTCAACATCAGTCTCCTCCTCTCCAAACATGTCCTCCTATTCTGCTAGTTATCACTCTCTATTTCTTTTTTCTTTTCTTTTTTTTTGAGATGGAGTCTCACTCTGTCGCCAGGCTGGAGTGCAGTGGCGCGATCTTGGCTCACTGCAAACTCTGCCTCCCGAGTTCAAAGGATTCTCCTGCCTCAGCCTCCCAAGTAGCTGGGATTACAGGCGCCTGCCACAATGCCCAGCTAATTTATATATTTTTAGTATAGACGGGGTTTCACCATTTTGGTCAAGCTGGTCTCAAACTCCTGAGCTCAGGCAATCTGCCCACTTCGGCCTCCCAAAGCGCTGGGATTACAGGCGTGAGCCACCACGCCCAGCCTCATCTCCCTTTTATACTCTTTCTCCCAACCAGAATGAGTGGTACTGGGAAAAACAGTCACATAAAATTTAGGAATTAGGACCTCCACAAACAGAGGAATCCAGTCTTAGCTATACTCTCAAATCCTATATATCTGTTCTCAGCTTCTCCTCTTTCAAATCTATTTTAAAAGTTTACTTGTTTTCTAAGCCCCTCTCCTCACTTTTATTTTATTTTTTTAATTTCAATAGGTTTTGGAAGAACAGGTGGTGTTTGGTTACAAGGATAAATTCCGTAGTGGATTTCTGACATTTTGGTGCACCCATCACCCTCTTCCCCACTTTTAGAAAATGGCTGTGCTTGGCCAGGCGCGGTGGCTCACGCCTGTAATCCCAGCACTTTCGGAGGCCAAGGCGGGCGGATTGCCTGACCTCAGGAGTTCGCGACCAGCCTGGGCAACAAGATGAAACCCCATCTCTACTAAAATACAAAAAAATTAGCCAGGCGTGATGGCGGGCCCCGGTAGTCCCAGCTACTTGGGAGGCTGAGGCAGGAGAACTGCTTGAACCTGGGAGGCAGAAGTTGCAGTGAGCCGAGACTGCGCCACTGCACTCCAGCCTGGGCGACAGAGTAAGACTCAGTCTCAAAAAAAAAAAAAAAAAAAAAAAGGAAAATGGCTGTGCTTACTTCCCATGTTACAGAGAAAGTGGAAGCTATCAGAAATGAAGTTTCCTCAATCCTTTCTCTCTGGCATTTCTTTCCTCTCAAACACAAAGCATCTATTTCCAGTACATCTTTCTCCTTTGCCCTTCTTCCAGTTAATACAACTAAGTACTTGGGACTCACCCTGTGTCTCTTCAGGGGCTGTGTTGTCTCAATTATCTCCTCTTTTCTTCTGGTTCTTGTGCTTGGCCTACAAACTGGATCAAAGTCACACCCATTTAAAATGTGAAATACAAAAGTACCCCCCACCCCAACACTCCTTGGCTCTTATTCTTCCCTACCTGCTACCCTTTTTCCTTCTCTTCATAGAAAACTTGAAGTCTCCACTTCCTTGCCACTCTGAACATTTTGTTGTTTTTATTTTATTTTATTTTTTGAGATGGAGTCTTGCTCTGTCAGCCAGGCTGGAGTGCAGTGGCGCGATCTTGGCTCACTGCAACCTCCACCTGCCAGGTTCAAGCTATTCTCCTGCCTCAGCCTCCCGAGTAGTTGGGATTACAGGCACCTGCCACCACACCCGGCAAATTTTTGTATTTTAAGTAGAGACGGGGTTTCACCATATTGGCCAGGATGGTCTCGAACTCCTTACCTCGTGATCTGCCCACCTTGACCCCCCAAAGCCCTGGGATTACAGGTGTGAGCCACTGTGCCAGGGCTACTTATTCTTTTAGAGAGGCATCCGCCATCATAACACCCAAACTGCTTTTGCTAAGGTCGTCAGTGTCTTCTTAATTTCCAAAGCCAATGGTTGCTTCTTAGCACTTATCTTCCTTGATTTTCTTTGCTTTATTTTTGACAGTTAACCACTCTCGGGAAAATTCTCTTCTTGGTTTCTTATGATACTAGTCTTTCCTCATGCCCCTCCTAATTCTAAAAGAATCTTTAGAATTTGAGCATCTTTTCAAATATTGATGTTCCCTAAGATTTCACCCCCAGGTCTCTTCTTCTCTCACTCTATGTACTCTCCCCAGAATAGCCTCTTCTGTGACCAGAACTGCAATCACCTGTAAATCAATGACACCCAAATACAGGGACTGACTTGTTCTGAGGGGGTTAGAATCTAAAGTCAGCGTGAAAGGCAAAAATAAAACCGAGTTAAAATTATCTTTGAAAATCTTTAAAATTTCCTCTAAAATACTGTATACACGATTTTGAATGTATATACTATCAATCAAGAAATCCTACACAGCCAGTTTTCCTCCGCTATTGGAACAGAAGGTTGTTTCTTTAGTTAAACGCCAGATGAAGTTGTTGGCTTGCATTTAGCGGCCATGTTATAAGAAAAATATGTTTTTGTTTTTTGCCAAATGCATATAGTAGAGTTAATATAAGTTAACTAAGCACAGGAGATAACTTCACTGTATATATTTTCAGCTTGACCTCTTCCATGAGCTCTGGACTTATACACTAAACAACTGTCTATTGGATATCTCCTTTTGGATATTCCAATCCAGATTGTTTTAATTATATTTCTGAAAGCTGAAGAAATGAGATACCCACATTCCATTTAGCAAAGGCATTTATTGAAAGGATACAGGGATGTGACATGGGTGCAGCACACAGGCAAAGTGTTTTCATAACATCTTGACTGTTGCCCTTATTCCAGGCAGATGTCCTCTAGCACTGTCCAGCTGCCTATGCCCCAGTCTTCCCGCCTGGGGCCTTAGGCAGCTTCAGATTTGTGGAATCTCTAGGCCGAGCATTACACAAGCCGATAACCTCAGTCTGAATGGCCTTAATGAGACTAATGGAATTCATAAGGATCTGGGAAGGCATTGCAGTTCTTTATTTGTGTCTTTTCAAGTGCTATACTTCACCTATTGGCTGTTACATCACTCTCTGGACCATCTTCATGAGGACCTTATGACCAATTAGCCAAGTGAAATCCCAGCATTTCCCCATTTACCAGACTGAACATCTGACTTTTACACACAGCATGTGTATTATGTATATTAAGAACCAATATCAGAGATAAGTCTGTGAGGTGATGCATGTTACCTCCTCTTTATCACACCCATCAAACAGCATAAAGAATTAAAACCATCATAGTATTAAACAGTTAAACATTACATAAAAAATGTAGCAATACTCCTAACTGTGGGCAGCCTCACTCCAAATTCAGCATTCTGACAGCATGTAATTTTAATGGGATTGGACAGTTTTCATGGTATCCTCTTTCTTCCCTGTCGTTATTCACGTCTCATTGTATGCCTGCTTTGTATATATATATAGAAGGATGTTTCTTTCCATCTTTCTACTATCTATCCCTTCATATTTATACGATCAGCCCCTCATATGAGGAAGACTGAACCACAAAGGGGCATTCTCCATGGCCAACTCTGGACTGCAGAAGGTAGACACTGCCCATCTGGAATGTCCCATTATCATCCTTTGCTGGCATTACATTTTGGCTTTTTTCCCTTTGAAGTTGACCTCTTTTCCTCCATTGTTACTCCCTTTACAGAACAATAGGATACAATTTATACCCAGATGACAATCCTTTCTTTCTGTCCAAACATAGTAAAGATTATAAATAATTTGTTGTCATTTAAAACCACAGATATAAATTTTAATTTTTAAATTGAAGTTAACATTTTTATTATAAAATTTTTATTTTTAGTATTTTATTTCTTTATTTTTAATTTTAATTTTTATTATAAAATCATATCAGTGATAATACATTATTTTGCTTAACTCAAATACCAAAAACATATGAAGAAAAAAAAAAAATCACCCATGATCACCTGAAGTTAGAAGTTCGAGACCAGCCTGGCCAACATGGTAAAACCCCATCTCTATTAAAAATACATAAAATTAGCCAGGCATGTTGGTGGGCACCTCTAATCCCAGCTGCTTGGGAGACTGAGGGATGAGAATTGCCTGAACCTGGGAGGTGGAGGTTGCAGTGAGTTAAGATCCTTCCACTGCACTGTAGCCTGGGCAACAGAGCGAGACTCTGTCTTAAAAAAAAAAAAAAAAAAAAAATCACCCAAGATCTTCCTACCTAGAGGTCACCATGATTAATTTCTGATTATAACCTTTTACTGTTTTTCTACAAGACAATCAATGAGGTAATTCTTTAACACTCTGTTTTGTACCTGGTCATCTTTCCTTGTTAGAAAATACAGATTACACAATCACAGTAACGATTGTTGGTATGATTTCATTGTCTCTAGGTATCAATCCCTTAAATTAAAAAATGTATATATTTTGGTTTCCACAGCCCTGCAAAGCTGGGATTATTACCGATTCCACTTCATAGAAATATAGATCCTGAGGTTCAGAGAAAGTAAGTGACTGCCCAACATTTACATACCATGGAAGCGACAGGACTAAAGCTTGCCCTATGACTTCTTGACTTCAAATTGGTGCCCTTTCCACAGTATGTCTCTTGTCTCACTAATGAGATAATGCAGATGAAGGGGCTGGGCAAGTGCATATTATTGTTATTGCCTCAGGAGGCAACTCCTGATTTGATCTGAATCTAGAGCAGCTTCCTGAATTAAATCTGCCCAGAGGCTCCCAGGTTTGCAGACTAAACTTGTCTTTATGCAAAATATCATTATAACACACTAATATCAACATGCAGTTGAATCCTATAATCATAATTAATTCCTGATTAGTAAACATAGCCACACAACATTTAAGGAAACAGATCATTATTAAACAAGGACATTCAAGCCCTTACTAACAAAAGATGGACCCTGGAGCATGTGCATTGATCTTATCTCATTAACCCTGTGGTATTTTCTTTGCTGGATGGTGAGTGCAAAGTCCAGTACGAAAGAATATCTTGATGCATGGTACCAGGGAGTCTATCCTGGGGCCCAGAATGCACAGTGTGTTTGAACCAAACTTCTGAAGAATTTATGAGATTCTGTAGTTCTTTTACTGTCTAGATTATTTTCCACCAACTGCTTTCCAAATCAGTGAATTATGGATACAGCGTGCTGCAAATATCCTGTTGGACTCTTCTTTTCTGCATTGTCCAAATGTGTTATACATTCTTCTATCACAGTTTGCTATTGATCTACTTTATCATTTACTTCTTCTTGAGCCTTTCACCATCTTTCACCATTCTTCATTCAAGGTCCCTTTGGTCAAGATTTGGCTCATTTTCCCACGCCTGTGCCTACAAAGACCCTGGACTGCCCTTCCCTTCAGTGGTCCTGGACACTTCAGTGAGGATTAGGACTGAAAAGCCACAGGGGTGTAAATTGCCAGGCCATTATTAAAAGATAATTTCAGAAAAGGGTGAAATCATGACTTTCATACAGATATACCAATGAACATGTTTAAAAATTCATTTTACTCATATGAACCAGGCAAAATGGGATAGAACTGGTTTTTCCACTGGAGGGGTGGGGCAGCCAATTCAAATCACTACCAGACAGGATATAATTTACATATTTACCAATAACCTACAACTTAGCTCAATTGTAACAAATGTACCACACTAATGCAAGACGTTAATAAAAGGTAAAACTATGAGTCGGTTGCAGATAGAGAGATAGATAGATAGTAATTATCCATAATATCTGCTCAATTTTCTGGAAACATAAACATTTTCTACAAAGTAAAGTCTATTAATTTAAAATAGTGATATGATACTGCCAAAAAAAAGGGTCTATATCACAGTGAAGTTGAGAGAACTGATAACAGTAACAGCAGGGTGATTCAAGCTCTCCCTTACACTTTATTGTTGCCTTTAATACATATGAAGTACATATATGTTTTTGGGGTTTTGTTTTATTTTTATATTTTTAATAATTTTTGAGGTATAATTTATATACAATAAAATGCTCCCAAATTAAGTCTACAGTTCAATGTATTTTGATAAATGCATACACCCCATATGCTACCATGGTCTGAATGTCTTTCCCCAAAATGAGATCTTAATCCCCAAGGTGATGGTACTAGGAGACAGGGCTTTTCAACAAACTCAGAACCAGGTCCTCACTAGACACCAAGTCTGCTAGTGCCCTGATCTTGGACTTTCCAGCTTTCATATCTGTGAGACATACATTTCTGCTGTTTATAAGTCACCCAGTTTATGGTATTTTGTTATAGCAGCCCGAATAGACTAAGACAACATGTAACCATGGCCACAATCAAAATATTTTCATTATCCCAAAATGTTACCTCATACCCTGTGTAGTTAATCCTGTCTCCAATCCTCAGCCCTTAGCAACTACTCATTTATTCTAGATTAGCCACTCTAGATTAGCTTTGCCAGTTCTAGAAAATGGTATCATACAGTATGTATATGTCTGGCTTCTTTGCTCAGCATGATGTTTTGAGATTAATTCATGGTTGTATTTAGCAGTAATTAGTTTCTTCTTACTGCTGAGTAGTCTTCCATTGTATGAACATACTGTACCACAATTTGCTTCCCATTCATCTGGAAGGACGTTCAGATTGCTTTCAGCTTTGGCTCTTATGAATAATGCTTCTATGAATAATCACATACAAGTATTTTTGTGGATATATATATTTATTTCTCTTGAGTAAATATCTAGGAGTAGATATACATTTTGTGATCAATATGAAAATAAAAATTGTATTCTACTAGATATACATTTTGTGATCAATATGAAAATAAAAATTGTATTCTACTAGATATACATTTTGTGATCAATATGAAAATAAAAATTGTATACTACTAATATTCTATATTGATCACATTCCTTAGCTTAGAGCTTGACTTAGTTGATGATTCTAATTTAGAAACATTTTTGTTTCTGAATTTGGTTATTTTTATGTAATTAAACATGTTTGAAAATTATACGTTTTATTTGATTTTTTTTTTTTTTTGAGACAGAGTCTCGCTCTGTTGCCCAGGCTGGAGTACAGTGGCACGATCTTGGCTCACGGCATGCTCCGCCTCCCGGGTTCATGCCATTCTTCTGCCTCAGCCTCCCGAGTAGCTGGGACTACAGGGGCCCGCCACCATGCCTGGCTAATTTTTTGTATTTTTAGTAGAGACGGGGTTTCACCATGTTAGCCAGGACGGTCTCGATCTCCTGACCTTGTGATCCACCCTACTCGGCCTCCCAAAGTGCTGGGATTACAGGCGTGAGCCACTGCGCCCGGCCTTATTTGATTTTTAATAGTATACATATAATTACAGTATATAAAATTGGAGACTGTGACTTGAGACTTTGGATTCAAATATTTGTATGGAAACAGCAATGGAGAATTGTCATATTTTAATGACAATCTATAGTTATTTAATTATCTGTGCTGCCTTAGAAACATTAAAAAGGCCAGGTGTGGTGGCTCACGCCTATAACCCCAGCACTTTGGGAGGCCAAGGCGGTTGGATCTCTTGAGGTCAGGAGTTCAAGATCAGCCTGTTCAACATGGTGAAACCCCCTCTCTGCTAAAAATAAAAAAAATTAGCTGGGCATGGTGGCGTGCACCTGTAATTCCAGCTACTCGGGAGGCTGAGGCATGAGAATCACTGGAACCTGGGAGACAGAGGTTGCAGTGAGCCCAGATGGTGTCACTGCAGTCCAGCCTGGGTGACAGAGCGAGACTCCATGTCAAAAAAATAAAATAAAATAAAATAAAATAAAATAAAATAAAATAAAATAAAACATTTAAAGTCCCAAGGTTACTGAGAATTATTTGTAAAGGTTTTGATGTTAGCAAAGGATAAAGATAACGTAGAATTACAGCAGTGATGTCCTATAGCTAAGAATGCGTGGCAATGAGGCTAGCGCAGTGGCTCACGCCTGTAATCCCAGCACTTTGGGAGGCCGAGGCAGGCAGATCATGAGGTCAGGAGTTCAAGACCAGCCTGACTGACATGGTGAAACCCCGTCTCTACTAAAAATACAATAATTAGCCAGGTGTGGTGGCACGCGCCTATAATCCCAGCTACTCAGGGGGCTGAGGCCAGAGAATTGCTTGAACCCTGGAGGCGAAGAAGGTTGCAGTGAGCCGAGATCATGCCACTGCACCCCAGCCTGGGCGACAGAGCGAGACTCCGTCTCAAAAAAAAAAAAAAAAAGGATAGTAATGGGATTATAGCTTCTGCCTGTGCTTGAGTTTTTAGGATCTTATTCTTGAGAGTCTAGTTTGTACTATGAAGGTTAGAACACATTTCCAGAAATGATCAATTTGAGCAATCTGAGTAAGAGTCGGAATAAGTTGGAGTATTTCATGTAGTGAATTTTGGTATTTGCTTTGTCTCCAGTTTTTCCTTCTTTTTTTTTTGGAGACGGAGTCTTGCTTTGTTGCCCAAGCTGGAGTGCAGTGGTGCCATCTTGGCTCACTGCAACCTCTGCCCCCACCCCTACCCTACTCTCTGCCACCATCCCCACGTTTAAGCGATTCTCATGTCTCAGCCTCCCAAGTAGCTGGGATTATAGGCATGCACCACCACGCCCAAATAATTTTTGTATTTTTAGTAGAGATGGGGGTTTCACAATATTGGCCAGGCTGGTCTCGAACTCCTGGCCTCAAGTGATCCACCTGCCTGGGCCTCCAAAAGTGCTGGGATTACAGGAGTGAGCCACCACGCCTTGTGGTGTGCAACCTTCATGGTTGGACTTTTTAATCTTTCAAGCGTTTGAGGATAGTTGGGAACTATACACTGTATTTTAAATTTATCAGGGGAACCCAATGTTCTGCAAGGATCATTCTGGCAGTGGTCTATTATTATCCAGGTGCTTTTTTTTACCCCCATTGGAATTAGTTGAGAGGGCCCTATGTTCTTTTACTTTTGGGGATGTAGAAAAACTGCATGTCTATAGCATATCCTTCTGGGTTACCAGATTCTAGCCTTGTTCCTTGTCTTTGCAATATGAGTTCTGACAAATGCATAATGTCATATATCCACTATTTCAGTATCATATATCATAGTTTCACTGTCCTAAAAAATGCCCTATTCTCCATGTATTCATCTCTTCCCTCTTTGCCTCCCTTCCCCCAAACTCTTGCAACTACTGATCTTTTACTGTCTCTATAGTTTTGCCTACTAGTGTTTTTTTCTCTCACACTTTTAAGTAAGTGCTATGCACACACAGCTTCAAGACAAGTTTCTTATCTCTGCCATCCAATCAGATTACCTCCTCTAACTCTTTTATATAATTTATCTTTTCCTAAGAACCTCCTGGAGGGTGGTGGAAGAGATCTGCCTACTATAAGCTGCAGTAGAGATAGCTTTTGTTCCCTAGTATCTATTCTTCTCTTCTTTCTTTTAATAATAAAACAATCCCACCCTGTCAAGGTTTGACTGAGCCCATGGCTAGATGCTACATTTTCTTCCTTCCTTGAATATAGATGTGACCTATGGGATATGAGCAGAAAGGATATATGCATGCAAGTAATAAGAACTGACAAAATTGAGAAAATAAGACATTTACCATGGAACTTTAAATTTGTATCCCTTTATAGGACCATACTATTGAAAGGATATTATGAATTATATTTTAAAATAAATCCTGTAATTATATTTTGAAAGACACATTTATACTGCTTTGTAATTTTTGGTAATAAAAGTGTTTATTGGTTAAAGGAAAATGACTTTGAATGTAATGCAGTTTGTATAACCCTGTTTTGAATTAAAAAAAATTTACATGAGTATCAGAAAACTAAAACAAAAAACAAAAAAGCTGAAGTTTCAAGTTTTAGAAGACTCTGTGTGAAACATGAGCATTAAAGTATAATGGACAAACAAAAGCCTAAAACAATGAGAAAAAAGAATGGCCGCATCTGTAATCCCATCTGTAATCCCAGCACTTTGGGAGGCTGAGGTGGGAGGATTGCTTGAGGCCAGGAATTCCAGGTTACAGTAAGTTATGACCAGGCCATTGCATTCCAGCCTGGGTGAAAGAGCGGGAGACTTTGTCTTTAAAAAAAAGAATGGCCACAGAGCTGGAAGGAGAATCAGGGGACTGGGTTTTACGTAAGTGAAAGGAAGCAAGACTTTTTAGAAGTGAGCAACATGTCCAAATGAAACAGAGAAATCTAATAAAATAAGTATTAAAAGAATTTAATAATTAAGATATTATAAAATGGGTATGTCATGAAGTTATGAGATTAACTATGTACATATAAATCTTCTGGAATATAATAGGCGTTCAATAAATTTTGTGATCAATTCCTTGTTTTATTCAAAGAATACTTACTACTAGTTAGGAATATTGGGACTAGAAAATAATACCCCACAATGAAACTCTCAGAAGCAGCCTCAGAAGCAAAAGTTTTTCTCTGACCTTCTCCTGCCTTCCTGTCTCTTGGTCCCATTCTCCCCTGACACTAGCCATAGAAACTAGGCAGGCCATAGAAACTAGAACCTCTTTTCCCCAAAGCCAGTCATAAATCCTGGAAATATTACTTTAATTTTCTCCCGCCTTTCTTTGTAAAAACTGGCCATAAAGAAATTATCTGATCTACCTTTTTTGACTGTAGGTCCTAAGACCCTCATTGCAGAGAGGGTCCCGCCCTACACCCAGAAGGAAGGAATGCATGCCCAGAGAGTCCAAGAAGAATCTAGACAGACAGGCCTTGCTGGGTTTCCCCACTCAGGCTATTAGCATTAGAGCATACCCTTTTGTCCAATCATATTTCTACATGGCTGTCCATACTTTGTTGGATGTACAAATGAACATTACAATTTCCCCTGTATCTTTGGGTCTTCATTCTGAAGGTTCTCATGTATATATGCTAAATAAACTTGCATGCATTTCCTCCAATTACTCTGTCCTTTGTGAGTAGATTTTTCGGTGAACCTCAGCGATCAGAGAGGAGAGCTACAGGAGCCCTGCTTGAACCTTGAAATGCTATGATGACAGACCGTAGCCTTAAAGCAGTTTATAGTGTTGTAGGGTAAACACATAAACAGGCCAATATCATTCTTTGCCATGAGGGATATGATGAGAGGAAGTACATGGAGGTTAACTGAGTTATTTCTTTTAGTTTCTTTGTTTTTGGCATGTGAATTATGAAACTTTAAAACACCTCCAGTGCAAAAAAAATTTTTTTTAAATTAACATGGTGGTTGGTGCACTGTGTTTCTAAAATATGGAGTACAATGTAAAGCAATGCATTCTTTTTTTAAAAATTTATTGTTATTTTGAAAAATTTTTGTAGAGATGAGGTCTCACTGCCTTGCCCATAGCTGGTCTTGAACTCCTGGGCTAAAGCGATCCTCCTACCTCGGGCTCCCAAAGTGCTGGGATTACAGGCGTGAGCCACTGCGCCCAGCCGCATTCTTGTTTTCATCTGTGAAATACGTTTTTAAGGTAAATACTTAAAGTTGATGGAGACACCTGGTCTACTTAAGCTCTCATTCAGAACACACTGCCTTGTGCTTTTAAAAAAATTAAATGGATAATCTAAATTGGCAGCTACCAATTAATTTATATCCATAGTTGCTAAAAAATGTTAGTGTAAGTTCATTTTTATTAGTCGCATCATTTTGAGTTTTAAACTATTTCACATGCAGTAAAATTTATACCTCTTATGGGTTTTGTCAAACAGTGGTTTAGTCACCAACACAATCACGGTATAGAAGCTCTCAAGCTCCTTTTCAGTCACCCCCTTCCTCCAGCCCTTTGCCCTGGTCGCCACTGATCAGTATTCTCTCCTTTTAAAAACACTTATTATTTGGAAATAATTATAGACACAGGAAATTGCAAAAATACTACAGCACCTAGAGTCCCGTGTACCTATCACCTAGTTTCCTCCAATGGTGACATCTTACACAACTGTAGTACAAGATCAAAAAACTATGTCATGTAGTTTGAAGGCAGGTTTTCCTTTCACTTCTTCGCCTGCATTTTCTCCTTTCATTTCCAACAAATTTAACTCTGTTGTTAGAAGGAGCAGATGCTAGTTTTCTTTCAGATGTCTGCTATTTCAGTTCGATTACCCCTGTTACTCCTACATTTTTTCTAGTCTTTATCCCCATCGTTTCGCCCCAATTTAATTTTGCTGCTAGTTTTTTTTTTTTCTCCTCTGGGATATGTGCCACAGATGGTACTATTGTCAATATTCGAATTCCTAACTTCTCCCTCCATCCGTAAGTTTTCAAGGGGTAGCCGTGCTTGTGCTTAATTGTGGTGTTTACAGGACTTTTTGTAGCGTAAGCATGCTGGCATGGTTCCCCAACCTCTTAGGGGGATGCTAGTAACCCGCTCCCCCGTCAACGAGCCGCCTTTGTGCTCCGCGGAGGGCACCGCCTGCGTTGGGTTGGAGGTGGGGGTTGGCGGGGGAGAGCTGCCCGCCAGGCGAGGGGCGGGGCCTTGGCGGGGGTGGTCGCGGGCGGCGGGGAGGTCTCGCTTCCCTCCTCTCCACCCGCTCCCAGTCCCGGCCTGGGTCTCAGCCCCGCCCTGCCCAGAGCGCGCGGCCGATCACGTCACCGGCCTGCGCTAGGCGGCCCCCACGGCGCGGGAAGGCGCAGTGCGCACGCTCCGACTCGGCCGTGGCGGACCTGACTGAAGGAGGCCGCGGACCTGACTGAAGGAGGCCACGGCCACTTCTGGTTGGCCTCGGGGCGCGCTGGCTCGGCTCTTCCTCCGCCCTCGAGGCCCCCGCAGTCCCATCATTCAGTTCCGTAGGGTCACCGGCGCGGCAGTGGCCTCGCAGGGCGCTGGGTCCCTCTCCCCAGCTCTCCTCCCCCTGGCCCCGTCGCCCCGCCCTCGCCGGGCTGGGCTGCGGGGTCAGGGGCCGAGCGGAGAGGGGTGAGTATTCCCCACAGCCCTTGCCGGTTGTCTCCTCCCGGCTCTGCTTCCCACACGGTCCTTGCCCCACTCCTAGGACAGGGAGGAAGGGCACGCGCGGGTAGGCGGGAAACAGCCCAGTCCTGAACAAAAGGCCGGGGAAGCGGGTCCCCGCCGGTAACTGCAGGCCTGTGCTGGCCGCCGCGAGCGGGGAAGGGCGAGGACACTCCCTCCTCGGGGACCCGGTCCCCGTCGCGCACACGGTGTCACCAGCACACCTGGCCCAGTACCCAAAGCACCCTCGAAGTGGGTAGTAACTACTTTGTGTTTAAAATCCACATACTGATAGCAAATCTTTGGTTGAAACAGTATTAAATTACTGGGGCTTCCAGTGGCTGAGTCCAACTTAATTTGAAGTTTCAGATTAAGTATCAGGAGGAATAACTTGATATTTAGAGCCAACAGGTCTTTCTTTTTTTTTTAAACCTCCCAAAAAACCTATAAAATCAAGAATTGGCGGGGAGGACCGGAGAATGATAAAGGAATAGTTGACTGATTTATAGAAACTTTTAGTGGCGGTAAAAATTACAAAAGTATTGGAAATAAGGCAAAAGGACAGCATGTTTTTTTCAGAGTCAAAATGGAGCCTAACAGGCCCACCTGAAGATGATTTAGATGTCTAGGGGACTATATTTTGTTTGGCATGATGATATTGATTAGGGCCTAGGCTTTGTAGTTAACATCTTTTTCATTAATGGAGATGCAAATTATTTCTGAGTGGGAGAGAAAAAAATACAGTACTCCTAAAGGTTGTAGTTTTAGTGCCTTGTAGGATATTAGCCATTTTTCTTTTCTTTTTTTTGAGACAGAGTCTTGCTCTGTCGCCCAGGCTGGAGTGCAGTGGCACGATCTCGGCTCACTGCAACCTCTGCCTCTCGGGTTAAAGCAATTCTCCTGCCTCAGCCTCCCGAGTTGCTGGGACTACAGGTGCCCGCCACCACGCTCAGCTAATTTTTGTAAGTTTAGTAGAGACGGGGTTTCACCATATTGGCCAGGCTGGTCCGGAACTCCTGATTTTGTGATCCGCCTGCCTCGGCCTCCCAAAGTACTGGGATCACAGGCGTCAGCCACCGCGCCCGGCCAATATTAACCATTTTTCTGTCTAACCTATCAAACTTACCATCCTTTCTTCAGTGTTTATGCTCAGTTCCTGAAATGCTTTTGAGCACACTAAGCCATTCAGCTTGTTCCATTGTGAGTTTAATAAATCTTTGTCACAGGTTCATTTTGAGTCATATTTATAACTTTTGTTATTGGACAATGGTCTCTATTCTTTAGTGGCAAAAACAAGTTTATGCTTCTCAGGATGGAAGGACATAGGCCCTGTGTGGTACTCAAATACATCTTAGGACTCCAAGTAGAATCCTTTCTCATTGCTTCAGAAAGGTTAAACAGTGACCAGAGGAAATGTTACAGAACTTTGACCAAAAAATAAATCCTGAGTATTGAGAAATTAAAATTAAAGTCTTGCAAATTGCAGAGTTTAAAAATTGTTATTGATATTTTAAATTGAAGAAATTAGTGGAAATAGTAGTTCTAAATTGCATACATTTGAATGTGGAGTGTTAAAAGATTATTTCCCTTGTCTCCTGTTTTATTTAGGATAAGGTTAACTGAGATTTTGGTACATGGTGGGCCATTCAAGTTATGTATAATGTTTTGTGACAAACTACATGTCGACAGTAGTTCCTGATGCCTAATACATTTCTGAGAAAGGTAAAGCAGCCCTTTAGGAAAAACAAGGAGAGTAAAGCTTACAGAAGATTTCTTAAGATGGGCTTGATTTGATTATCTTTGAAACCTAGAGATGTGTTTGGGACCCAGGAGGTTGTGTTTGAATCATAAATATAATCAGGGAACCTTAAGAAAAAAAAAGCCATGGAGATCATTTGGTGATTATCTATTGAAAACAAATGTTTTCAGGGGACAAGCAGCCTGAGTATAATAAAGCAATTAGAAAGTTGGGGAATGGAGAATAGGAGAATAAGCTGTACCTGAAGGAATCTTAATTAGGGAATGGTTGCTGAAAACTGCAGAGACAAGACTTCTCTAATGTGCTTACCTGATCACATAGTTTTATAGGATCCAGGAAGAGGGCTTAGTAATAGGAGTGTAGCTTTGAAGCTAGGGTTATTTCATATCACTGTCATGTAACATCTTTCTGAGAAAACCTTTTTATCATCTCTTCTGAGCTCAAGAACCTACACTGGTTTCCTATTGCCAATTGTTTTAAATGGAATCTCCTTTGGGTTTTTTGGTTTCTTCTTTTGGTTTTTTAAGAAGTGGGGTCTCTAAGTTGCCCAGGCTGGAGTGCAGTGGCTATTTAGAGGCACAATTAGAAGGCACTACACAGCCGTGACTCCTGGCTCAAGCAGCCCTCCTGCCTCAGCCTCCTGAGTAGTGAGGACTAAAGGCGAGAGCTATGTCTCCAAGCTTCCTTTGAGTTTTAAGACTGTAAACTTCCTGCACCCTGTCCCCAGATTCTCAATATCCCTCAATCTATACTCTCCATTCAGGTTCTTTACTGGTCTACCTCATTTCAATCTGTTCCAAGGTTCACTGCCACTGCCCCATCCCTTCTATTTCTTTCTTTCTATATCCTCCTATAATTCAAGGATTAACTGAAATCTAACTACTGTAGGGCCCAGGCTCTGGTTCCAGACTTCCTTAGGTCAAATTACTACACTTAACAGCTGTGTTACCTTGGACAAGTTACCCTCTCTGTCTCAATTTCCTTATCTATAAAATAAAGAAAATCCTAGTAATTTACCTCAAAAAGTTGCTCTGAGGATTTGTTACTAGTTCTTAATACATAGTAATATATGCAATTTTAATTATTTTAATCCATACTAATTCTTTAAACAGTGGTTGTACAATTTATCACTGTTTTTTGTTATCCATTATTCTCTGATGTTCTTTTCAATGTGAATCTTTACTTAAAAATTTGATTACTTTGAGAAGAATGTGTATTCTGAAAAATAAAAAAATATTTGGTTACAAACTATTGAAGGCAAAGACTGTATTATACTTCTTTTTGAAAGTCTCTTAAACCAAGGCTGGGTACAGTGGTTCATGCCTGTGATTCAGCACTTTGGGAGGCTGAGGCAGGCAAATTGCCTGAGCTGAGGAGTTTGAGACCAGCCTTGGCAACATTGCAAAACCCTGTCTCTACAAAAAATACAAAAAATTAGCTGTGCATGGTGGTGCACACATGTGGTCCCAGCTACTCAAGAGGCTGAGGCGGGAGGATTGCTTGAGCCTGGCAGGTGGAGGTTGCAGTCAGCTGAGATGGTATCACTGCCCTCCAACCTGGGTGACATAGTGAGACCCCCCTCTCAAAAAAAAAAAGTGTCTCAGACCTCTCAGGATGATTTGGGGGCTCAGTGTAATATTTTTTTCTTCCCATCTTACTATCTAGTTTTCTTTTTCTTTTTTGTTTTTTATTGTACTTTTGTAGCTTAGAGTTTTAAATTTAAACTCAATTTTGTTCCAAAAGTATTTGAGGTAGCTTAAACTATATAATATATAATAACATACAAAATAAAGAGAATCAAGATCATAAAAATATGAAGCTTGAATAGAAAGATGTGATTAGGGTGAGTTATACTGAAAATATACTGTGAATGTTGTAGAGTTATTTATTTATTTATTTATTTTATCTTTTTTTTTTTTTGAGATGGAGTCTCACTCTGTCGCCCAGGCTGGAGTGCAGTGGCGTGATCTCGGCTCACTGCAGGCTCCGGCCCCCGAGTTCACGCCATTCTCCTGCCTCAGCCTCCCGAGTAGCTGGGAGTACAGGCGCCCGCCACCTTGCCCGGCTAATTTTTTTTTTTTTTTGTATTTTTAGTAGAGACGGGGTTTCACCGTGTTAGCCAAGATGGTCTCGATCTCCTGACCTCGTGATCCGCCCGCCTCGGCCTCCCAAAGTGCTGGGATTACAGGCGTGAGCCACTGCGCCCGGCCTGTTGTACAGTTATTAAAGGTAGGCCACAAAGTTCCAAGCTTCATGGTGGTCAAAGGAAAGAAGGAAACATATTTATTGCCCAGCAAAAACAGCTTCCTGTGTTAAAATAATTAATTGGGAGGCCATTGCCTGAGGAAGCTCCAGTGCCCTGGGTTCCTACATAAACAGACTTACACCAAACTCAGTGTAAATGGTTGTATTCTAGGAAAATGAAACTTTAGCTTAACCAATCAGAAACCATCAACTAACCTCTAACCACTGACTTTTACTGGAATGATCCAAGTAAGGCTACTCCACTTTGACCAATCACAGATTTTCTTGGCCTTGCTTCTGCCGTTCACTCTTCAAAAGCCTTCTAACTGTGTCCTTTTGGTGCAGCCCCATATTGCTTGCATTCTGGAGCTGACCAATTCATTAATATGCCTAGTGTTCCATTATTGGAACGCTAAGCTTGTGGGAGTTATTTATATCCTGCTCATGGTCATCGCCAAGGTCTGATTTTTCACAAAAAAAATTTGCAACCTCCAGCATAAATGGGTTAACCATTGTCTGCTTAAATAAACATTTTCTTGTTTTTGTTTTTTGAGACAGTATCTTGTTGTGTCGCCCAGGCTGGAGGGCAGTAGTGCAGTTATGGCTCACTGCAGCCTCAATTTCCTGGGCTCCAGCTATCCTCCCACCTCAGCCTCCCAAGTAGCTGGGACTACAGGCATGCACCACTATGCCAGGCTAATTTTTGTATTTTTTTGTAGAGGCGGGATCTCACCATTTGCCCAGGCTGGTCTTGAATTCCTGAGCTCAGGCAATCCACCTGCCTTGTCCTCCCGAAGTGCTAGGATTACTTTGCCTGACCTCAAATAAATCCTTTAAAATTTTAATGTGCCTTGGTTTATCTTTTAGCACCTAGTAAATATTTAGTGAGTGAAATGGAGATTGTGATCACAGATTTTAAAGGATACGCTGAGGCCCTAGAGTTAAATTCTCTAGACTTTGTTAATTCCTTACCTACTTCCCAGTATTTCTCAAAGGGAGCTCTACTGGCATTTTTACAGACAACTCTTCACTGTGTGGGATTGTCCTGTACATTGTAGGATGTTTATTTTACCTGGTCCCTCAGCACTAAATGGCAATGGCAAACTCTAACTTCTTTTTAACAATCCAATATGATCCCATTTATTTCCAAGCAGCCCCTTGAAGAGCGGGTTCCCCATAAAGTTGGGAACCATTAGACCTTATTTGCCCATACTCTTCTCCACCCGAGCTATGCTCCATCCACTGACATTTGTTTTATTTTTAAACCTTGCATTCTTTTCAGACCCTGTCTTTGCAGGAGCTCCTCAATCTTTTTGGAGTGACTTTGTCTCCACCTGGTTGGCCCTTACTCAAATTTCAAAATTCATTTCTTCAAGAATTGAATTCATGTGTTCAGAACTCCAAGTTTTGGAGTCTTCCCCAGTTTTGCCAGGAAGTTTGACATTCTTTTCTAGGAGGACACTCACAGCAAGCACTAGGGTATTGTAGGTACTGAGTGAATGAATGAAAAACTTGTGGAAATAGAAGGCACATTAGTCTCATCTCTGAACAAAGACTTTTGCAAGAAGAAAAATTTAAAGGGAATGTGCCTTTCATTACAAAAATGTCCAACCATTTCCTTTTTTTATTTTCCAAAATAAAAATATGGCACTTGGTAGTATATTTTAAAGACACTTTGCTCTGTAATCTGTATTCAGACTGGCACTGATTCTGTAGCTTCTGATATTGTGTTGGTCTTTTTTTTTGAGGCGGAGTCTTGCTCTGTCGCCCAAGCTGGAGTGCAATGGCATGATCTCAGCTCATTGCAACCTCTGCCTCCCAGGTTCATGCAATTCTCCTGCCTCAGCCTCCCAAGTAGCTGGGATTACATGTGCCCGCCACCACGCCCAGCTAATTTTAGTATTTTTAGTAGAGATGGGGTTTCACCATGTTGGTCAGGCTGGTCTCAAACTCCTGACCTCAGGTGATCCATCCACCTTGGCCTCCCAAAATGCTGGGATTACAGGCATGAGCCACTGCTCCTTTCTGTCTCTTCTTATTTTTTGGATACTTTTGGCCAAGGATACCCCATTATCTCCTTATTTCCTAATTCTGGATACTTGGCATATGTGCTGACTAGAGTTTGTTGTACTAGTCCTACTACCCACTGTTCAAAGGCAGCAAGAGAGTTTGAGCTGTGGATCAGCTCAAATTGTCATCAGTGGTGGAACATTTTTTCTTATGTGCTTGCAGAGTTTTATTAAAAAATTATCTTTTGATAAAAGTAATGATACTGGTATCAGAAAGATTGGATGTCATATAGATCTGTGGTTTTTTTTGTTGTTGTTTGTTTGTTTTAGAGACAGGATCTTGCTGTCTCCCAGGCTAAAGGGCAGTGTCACGGTCATAGCTCACTGCAACCTTGAATTCCTAGCCTCAAGTGATCCTCCTACCTCGGCCTTGCAAAGTGTACATCAGTTTGTGTAAGAAAGGTCCAAGAAGTGAACAGGCCTGAAAGTTGAAGAAAGGTACTATAAATGAGAAGAGGTGTATAGAATAAGTCCATTCAAATTTTTGAATTTTTCTTTTTTTTTTTAAGATGGAGTCTCGCTTTGTCGCCCAGGCTGGAGTGCAGTGGCACAATCTTAGCTCACTGCAACTTTCGCCTCCTGGGTTTAAGTGATTCTCCTGCCTCAGCCTCTGGAGTAGCTGGGACTACAGGTGCACATCACTGCACCTGGCTAATTTTTGTATTTTTAGTAGAGAAGGGATTTTGCCATGTTTGCCAGGCTGGTCTTGAACTCCTGACCTCAGGTGATTCTCCTGTCTCAGCTTCCCAAAGTGCTGGGATTACAGGCGTGAGCCACGGTGCCTGGTCTGAATTTTTCTTTTATTCATTTACAACTTAAAAAAAAATGTTTACTGGCTGGGCACGGTGGCTCACACCTGTAATCCCAGCACTTCCAGAGGCCGAGATGGACGGATCACGAGGTCAGGAGATCGAGACCATCCTGGCTAACACGGTGAAACCCTGTCTCTACTAAAAAATACAAAAAATTAGCTGGGCGTGGTGGCGGGCCCCTGTAGTCCTAGCTACTCGGGAGGCTGAGGCAGGAGAATGGCGTGAACTCGGGAGGCGGAGCTTGCAGTGAGCCGAGATAGCACCGCTGCACTCCAGCCTGGGCAACAGAGCGACACTCCGTCTCAAAAAAAAAATGTTTACTGTTTGCCTATCTGTTATAGATGCTAAGATACGAAGTGTAAATCAAATCCCCAGACATTGCAGACATTGCTCTATCATCTGGCATTTGTTGCAGTGGGTGAAGATGGCAGAGGCTACCCTGATTTTTGCTAATTGTAGGTAAACCTTTTTTTTTTTTTTTTTGCCTGCATCTTTTTTTCTTTCTAGTCTTTAAATTAAGATATTCCTGTAGGCTATGTTTAGGCATAAGTTTCTTTCCAGCAGCTTTGTTTTTTTTAGAAACATGGTGAATTCTTTCAATTTATAGGTAAATATTTTAAATCTTTTTTTTTTTCCATCTTAGAACAGTTTTTCAGTTGTACATTTGCTTATGATTGTAGTTCAGAAATTCCAGTTATTTGTAGGTTGGACCTGTGTTCTTTGTCCTTCCATCAAACAATATGCATTATTTTCATCATGGTCTTTTTTCTTTTGTGTGTTTGGAGAGGATCTTATGTGCTTATACACTGAAACACGAATGTGATTTTTTTCCAGCTTCTATACATCTCTCTGTTGCCTTGAATGTAGAATTTTTATCTCTACTGTTACGTGTTTGAATTTCCTTCCAGTTTTTTCTTATCCAGTTTCCTTTTTCATCTCAGCTGTTTTTCCTTCCTCATCTCTTGCTTTTAGAGGTCTTTCCCTTTCTCTTTTTCTTTTTAAAATTGGGAACATAGAGTAGATAATTCCTCGGTTTGATTTCCATATTCCTAGTGTAAGTCCATTACAGGAGCAAGCTTTCCCTCTTCCTGTTTATGGTAGTTCCCCTCTTTTCTTATGCAAGAGCTTCTTAAAGGTCTTGTGTTGTTATTAATGTTTTTGGTTTACTTACCTTGACAAAAGAGGGGCATGTTGACTGGTCAGAGTGACCAAGTGTTCCTTCGTCTCTCTCACTACACTTGGAAGCTGGAGGAATCTTCCTCTTTATGTTAGCTTGGAAAGCAGATGAATGGGTACAACGAAATTTATGAAGGATAGATCATTTTCTATACTTAGGAGAGGTCTTCCTTTCCTAGTGTTGAATCTTTCGGTCCTGTAACTATAATGAGGGGAGTGTTTTTGTGTGATTTGAAATAATTTATAGTTTTTTTTTTTTTAGTTTTTTGGGGTGTTAGTGGTGAGACTGTACTATGCTGAGAGCTCATTCTGTTCCTGCAGCTACCTGTCGCTCGCTGCACAGTACTCAGTGCACCTCAGGGCTTTACCTTCCACATCTGGCCATGCACACTGCACTACTGGGAGAGAACTGCCTTGAAAGAGAATTACCAGTGGAGCTAGAAACCAGGAGGGGAGGGGCAACTCAGGATCTGTTTCTCTGAAGGGAATGGGAGAGAGTGAAATGACCCTCTTTCCCCTGACCTAGTGATAGAGAGGTCAGAGCAAGCCTCAGCTACCAACAGAGATTCCTCATTTCCAGCCAGGTACAGTGTTGCCTCTCATTTAAACTTTGATTTGGAATATGTATTCCAATGGGAAGGCAAGGAGGGAGAATTGAGCCTGCTGGTCATCTGTTGTTAGGACTGATACGACTTCTCTTCTGATGTGTCTCTGTGCTATTTTATTGGATTGCCCAGGGCCATGCCTTCTGTGTCCCACCCAGGCTGCCAAATGTCTTGAAATCCAGGTCTTTTACCAGCCCTGTCAAAGTGATTCATCTTTTGTCTAGGGATCATGCTAATCTTTTAGCATGATTCCCTTTGAAAGTATCCCAGGTGCTAATTAAAAGTAATTATTTTGGGTCTTCAGAATCAGGTTATTTTTCTGGCCAAGGCCTAGGATTCCACATTTGAATTTGCACTGTGGGTGCTTCTTTGCTGTCTAAAATTTGAGGACCACTGCCTAAGGACCTTGCTAGGTAAGTGATTAAATTAATCTGAATCAATTCAAGCCAAATTGCCATAAAAGTAGTGGGTTGATGTTTAACTCTCCTACCTGATAGTGCATGTTTTTTAAAAAAGAGTCTACACTTAGAGTTATAAATAATGTGGAATTGTTGCTAGGAGGGACAAGTATTCAGGAAATTGCCTACTTTATTAGTCAAAAATGATTTTTAATGTTTAAATGTATGCATCGCATGTTCTGTGGTAATCACATTTTTGTAAATGATCTTAAGTTCTGGGAAATTCAGTTATATTTCTTATAGTGTTTTAGTCCTATTATGACTTTGATGTACATTGATTTATAGATTCATCAAATCAACGTCTCCAACTAAAACAATAACAAAGAATTAGTTCTACACACATTAGATTAAAAATCACATTAAACAGTATGGAGAGTGGTAGTGAAAAAATTGTTTTCAATTAAAAAGGATCATTTAAACAATGATTATATACAGTGTTAGAATTCACTAAGGCTGCTTTTCTGGAAAGATATATTTGAACAGCAGCAGAATAAGCTTCTTCTATCCTTCTAGTCTAAGGGCTAACTTACAGTTTGGAAAGACTACCCTCACTTGGAAAAACAGAAAATTATTCTATTTTTCCAATCTTTAGTCTCTGCTAAAGCAGTTAGAAAAAGGTTTTGATTGAATGTCACAAAACAAAAACAAAAACAAAACAACACAACTCTTCAGCCAGAGTAAGACTCAAGCAAAATGGATGTATTAACAACTTATGCCAGGCGTGGTGGCTCACGCCTATAATCCTAGTACTTTGGGAGGCCGAGGTGGGGTGGTGGGTGGATTGCCTGAGCTCAGGAGTTCGCAACCAGCCTGGGCAACACAGTGAAACCCCATCTCTACTAAAATACAAAAATTCAGCCTGGTGTGGTGGTGTGTGCCTGTAGTCCCAGCTACTTGGGATGCTGAGTCAGGAGAATCGCTTGAACTCGGGAGGTGGAGGTTGTAGTGAACCGATATCATGCCACTGCCTGGGCGATTCCGTCTCCAAAAAACAAAACAAAACAAAACAACTTATACTTTATGACATGAGGAGCGCTGACTCATTTCTAACCTACTTACAACTAGAAATGAGAGATTCATTGTTTTTTTTTTTTCCCCTTTTATTTATTTATTTATTTTTATTGATCATTCTTGGGTGTTTCTCGCAGAGGGGGATTTGGCAGGGTCATAGGACAATAGTGGAGGGAAGGTCAGCAGATAAACAAGTGAACAAAGGTCTCTGGTTTTCCTAGGCAGAGGACCCTGCGGCCTTCCGCAGTGTTTGTGTCCCTGATTACTTGAGATTAGGGAGTGGTGATGACTCTTAATGAGCATGCTGCCCTCAAGCATCTGTTTAACAAAGCACATCTTGCACCGCCCTTAATCCATTTAACCCCGAGTGGACACAGCACATGTTTCAGAGAGCACAGGGTTGGGGGTAGGGTCACAGATCAACAGGATAAGAATTTTTCTTAGTACAGAACAAAATGAAAAGTCTCCCATGTCTACCTCTTTCTACACAGACACGGCAACCATCCCATTTCTCAGTCTTTTCCCCACCTTTCCCCCCTTTCTATTCCACAAAACCGCCATTGTCATCATGGCCCATTCTCAATGAGCTGTTGGGTACACCTCCCAGACGGGGTGGTGGCCAGGCAGAGGGGCTCCTCACTTCCCAGTAGGGGCGGCCGGACAGAGGTGCCCCTCACCTCCTGGACGGGGCGGCTGGCCGGGCGGGGGACTGATCCCCCCACCTCCCTCCCGGACGGGGCGACTGGCCGGGCTGGGGGCTGACCCCCCCCCCCACCTCCCTCCTGGACGGGGTGGCTGGCTGGGCGGGGGGCTGACCCCCCCACCTCCTTCCCGGACGGGGCAGCTGACTGGGCAGAGGGGCTCCTCACTTCCCAGTAGGGGCGGCCGGGCAGAGGTGCCCCTCACCTCCCGGACGGGGTGGCTGGCCAGGCGGGGGGCTGACTCCCCCACCTCCCTCCCGGACGGGGTGGCTGGCCGGGCGGGGGTCTGACCCCCCCCACCTCCCTCCCGGACGGGGCAGCTGGCCGGGCGGGGGGCTGACCCCCCCCACCTCCCTCCCGGATGGGGCCGCTGGCCGGGCAGAGGGGCTCCTCACTTCCCAGTAGGGGCGGCCGGGCAGAGGCGCCCCTCACCTCCCCGGACGGGGCGGCTGGCCGGGCGGGGGGGCTGACCCTCCCACCTCCCTCCCGGACGGGGTGGCTGCCGGGCGGAGACGCTCCTCACTTCCCAGATGGGGTGGCTGCCGGGCGTAGGGGCTTCTCACTTCTCAGACAGGGCGGCTGCTGGGCGGAGGGTCTCCTCACTTCTCAGATGGGGCGGCCAGGCAGAGACGCTCCTCACCTCCCAGACGGGGTCGTGGCCAGGCAGAGACGCTCCTCACATCCCAGACGGGGCAGCGGGGCAGAGGCGCTCCCCACATCTCAGACTATGGGCGGCCGGGCAGAGACACTCCTCACTTCCTAGATGGGATGGCGGCCGGGAAGAGGCGCTCCTCACTTCCTAGATGGGATGGCGGCCGGGCAGAGACGCTCCTCACTTTCCAGACGGGGTGGCAGCCAGGCAGAGGCTGCAATCTCGGCACTTTGGGAGGCCAAGGCAGGCGGCTGGGAGGTGGAGGCTGCAGCGAGCCGAGATCACGCCACTGCACTCCAGCCTGGGCACCATTGAGCACTGAATGAACCAGACTCCGTCTGCAATCCCGGCACCTCGGGAGGCCGAGGCTGGCGGATCACTCGCGGTTAGGAGCTGGAGACCAGCCCGGCCAACACAGCGAAACCCCGTCTCCACCAAAAAAATACGAAAACCAGTCAGGCCTGGCGGCGCGCGCCTGCAATCGCAGGCACTCCGCAGGCTGAGGCAGGAGAATCAGGCAGGGAGGTTGCAGTGAGCTGAGATGGCAGCAGTACAGTCCAGCTTCGGCTCAGCATCAGAGGGAGACCGTGGGGAGAGGGAGAGGGAGAGGGAGAGGGCGAGAGATTCATTGTTTAGGATCAGATGAGAATTGAAATTCATCTTTTTACTGAGAGTTCACTTGAGTGACTGTTGTCACCTGTAGTCTGAATTTAGTTTAAGATAGCTTAAGTCTGGAAGAATAGGCAGTTCACATATCTAAGATTTTTCATTTGCAAAATAAGGATTATTCTTGCCATTATTGCTCAATAAGCCACAGTTGTGGTTATTTCCATTTTTAGCCATATTTTCATCCATCTCATAGGAAGTTCTGAGATTCAGATTTCTGCCTCTACTAGTTTATGAATTTGGTAGAGGACCAGAAAGTATTACAACTTGAAAACTATGTATAAAAATGTTGATTGAATTATATTTACATTTTTGAGTTGAAATATTCTTGCTTGATCAAAAAAACAATAATTATTCCATGATATTTCATTATGGTACATTATGATGAATCCAGTTGAGATGGATATATTTTTAATATACCATACTTCCTAATTTTGTAATCAAGCCATAAGTGTTTGTATTATTGTATGTAGCATCCTTCAGCAAAGCCTAGTCCTTAGATAATTTTAAAAGTATTCAACCAAATATCAATTAGTGTTTTGATGTTCAGTCATCTTGCTTGTAGCACAGTGCTGTTAATTAGATAAACTATGGCTATTGAATGAAATTTTATGTTTAAGTATTTTCAATAGTTAAGTAAATCTCAAGTAACTGGAGGGCTTAGGCTACTTTGTTCAGTTTTGTTACTAAGTAAGAGTTTGTTGGAGTTTTAAAAATATTACTAAGTATATTAGTGTTCTTTATGAATGAAAGTTAATTTTTCTTTGATTTGGTATCTTTCAGTATATGTCAGGATCATCATACAGTTGGAAAAATTTCCTCTGGCTACACCATATTAGTCTTCTCTTGCTAGTCTAGTTTTGCATTCTCTCTGATTGATGAAATGGGTTCTGTTACCATCTATGTAACGTTGATATAGAATCGGTATTGCCAGCCCGGATTTCTCTTTCCTTCTGAGTTCAAGGCACACCTCAAAATGCCTGCTAGACCCCTTTACTTGGACATTCCACGGGCATTTGAAATTCAAACTCAATATGGCCAAATTAAACCCAACTCTCTTCCCAAACCTGCTCTTCCTCCAGAGACCTCTGTCTTACTCAATGCACCACCACCTAAAGGCAGAAAGCTTGGAATCTTTTCTCTCCCCTGTCCCTCACCAATCTTTTCAGTTGTATTGTCCATACCTAGTTCAACAGCAGTTTATTTTTCTTAGAGAGACTGACTTTTATCGAGTCTTTCCAAGGCATTTGCTTATAGAAATAACAGTTGTCTTTTTTACTTTTTTTCTGAGACGGAGTGTCGCTCTGTCGCCCAGGCTGTAGTGCAGTGGCGCGATCTCGGCTCACTGCAAGCTCCGCCTCCCGGGTTCCCGCCATTCTCCTGCCTCAGCCTCTCGAGTAGCTGGGACTACAGGCGCCCGCCACCACGCCTGGCTAATTTTTTGTATTTTTTAGTAGCGACGGGGTTTCACTGTGTTAGCCAGGTTGGTCTCCATCTCCTGACCTTGTGATCCGCCTGCCTCGGCCTCCCCAAAGTGCTGGGATTACAGGCGTGAGCCACCGCGCCTGGCCACGCCTGCCTAATTTTTTGTATTTTTAGTAGAGATGGGGTTTCACCGTGTTAGCCAGGATGGTCTGGATCTCCTGACCTCGTAATCCGCCCGCCTCAGCCTCCCAAAGTGCTGGGTGAGCCACCGCGCCCAGCCCTCTTTTTTACTTTGATGTTTGGTTTGTTTAACGTTTAATTACAGTATATATTTATGATAGGAGAATAAGGTTTGTGAACACACAGTTAACTGATGGGAGCAGAGGCGCTTCGTGATCAGCATGCTGTAGACATGAGTCAGTGTCGATTAATCTGGCAAGTTGGTTAGATGGAGGTTGGATAAGAGAGTTTCTACTGTAATTATTTGTGTTTTTTATCTCCCTTTGTTAGAATATGAGCTCTTACAAGGCAAGGACTATATATTTTTTCATTTTTGTATACCTAACCTTTACTTATGCACAGTGCCTGCTACTTAATAGATATTCACTATGTATTTGTTGGATGAATGAACAAACTCTTACATAGATTATACTGAATTTGAATAATCAGAAATGACACTGGTTTAGGAATTATCTAGTATAGACAGATCATTGGCCTTGAAGCCAAACAGGGGTTTAAAATCCTTGCAGTTTATATGATTTTAATTCAATTGAACAAAGGCATCTAGAGTGTTTACTATGCTAAGCACCAAAGATATAGAAACGGGAATAAAAAAACAAAAACAAGCTGGGCACTGTGGCTCATGCCTGTAATCTCAGCACTCTGGGAAGCTGAGGCTGGTGGATCGCTTGAGGTCAAGAGTTTAGGACCAGCCTGGCCAACATGGTGGAACCCTGTCTTTACTAAGAATACAAAAATTAGCCAGCGTGGTGGCTTGCAACTGTAATCCCCGCTCCTCGAGAGGCTGAGGTGGGACAATCACTTGAACCTGGAAGATGAAGATTGCAGTGAGCCGGGATCATGCCATTGCACTCCAGCCTGGATGACAGAGCGAGTCTTCATCTCAAAAACAACAATAACAACAACAACAAAAATAAAAACAACAAAAAAATGGGGATAGGTGAGAAAGATAGAAAAAACAAAAATACTTTTTTATTTTTTTTGAGATGGGGTATCACTCTGTCGCCCAGGCTGGAGTAGAGTGGCATGATCCTAGCTAACTGCAGTCTTGAACTCCTGGTCTCAAGTGATCCTCCTGCCTCAGCCTCCTGAGTAGATGAGACGACAGGTGCACACCACTATGCCTGGCTAACTGTATTTTAGTTTGTATATAGACAGAGTCTTGCTGTGTTGACCAGGCTGGTCTCGAACTCCTGGGTTCAAGCTGTCCTCCTGCTTTGGCCTCCCAAATTGCTGGGATTACAGATGTGAGCCACCACGCCTGGCCAAAACCATTTTTTAGTGGCCTTGAGGCCATTCTACATCCCAAATTTTGGTTTATTGACAGAAATAAATCAATTGGCAGAATTCCTTTCAATATAATTCTAAAGTTGATGCTAATACTTAGTTTTTGTATTGCAGTTATCATTTAACATGGAAGAAGATGAGTTCATTGGAGAAAAAACATTCCAACGTTATTGTGCAGAATTCATTAAACATTCACAACAGATAGGTGATAGTTGGGAATGGAGACCATCAAAGGTAAGAATGGAAATGTTTGTTTTCTGTCTCAAAAGAGGATTTTTTGTTTTGTTTTGTTTTGGTTTGTTGACAGGTAAAACCTCCATAATTGAAATTAAGGTATGAAAACTGGTTTGATTTAGTAAAAGTCTTAAATTGAAGAATGTCTTACAACAGATGTCCATTTTCTTACTTCAACTATATATATTGATTATTATCAGGCTAATGAAGTATTATTTTGAAAAGTCCTTACGTAACCTGCTTAATTTAATAGATAAAAATTAGCATATTAATTATCTGAATGTAAACAGATGTTTCTGTGGTGCTTCAAATCATCAATCCTAAGTTAATATTCTTAGGAAACTACTTTCGTCTGGAGAGTAAAAAGACAATCTTGAAACCAAACCATAAACAATCACAAATTCTGAAATATTGAGGACTGTATTAATTGGGAATTTCCTATTAATATAAACATATTTCAAAATATTTTTTCTTTTTTGAGATCATCTCACTCTGTCCCCCACGCTGGAGTGCAGTGGCATGATCTTGGCTCACTGCAACCTCTGCCTTTGGGGTTCAAGTGATTCTTGTGCCTCAGCCTCCCTAGTAGCTGGGACTACAGATGTGCACCACCACACCTGCCTAAATTTTTTGTATTTTTAGTAGAGATGGGGTTTTGCCATGTTGGCCAGGGTGGTCTCGAACTCCTGGCCTCAAGTGATCCACCCGCCTCAGCCTCCCAAAGTCCTGGGATTATAGGCGTGAGCCACCACACCCAGCCCCAAATTTTTTTGTCTTTTTGAGATGGATTCTAGTTCTGTTCTGGAGTACAGTGGCGCAATCTCGGCTCACTGCAATCTCCACCTCCTGGGTTCAAGCGATTCTTGTGCCTCAGCCTCCCGAGTAGCTGGGACTATAGGCACACACCACTGTACCCGGCTAATTTTTGTATTTTGAGTAGAGACGGGGTTTCACCATGTTGGCCTGGCTGGTCTTGAACTACTGACCTCAAGTGATCTGCCTGCCTCCACCTCCCAAAGTGCTGGGATTACAGGCGTGAACCACCACGCCTGGCCCAAAGTATTTTTTTCTCTTGGTTCGATTCAGTAATAATGTAAAAGGCCTATGTACTTATTTCCACACTTAGAGTTAGTTCTCTGTCAAAAACTGTTTTTTTGTTTTGTTTTGTTTTGAGACAGTCTTGCTTTGTCACCCAGGCTGGAGTGCAGTGGCATGATCTTGGCTCACTGCAGTCTCTGCCTCCTGGTTCAAGCAATTCTCATGCCTCAGCCTCCCAAGTAGTAGCTGGGATTTTAGGTGTCCACCACCATGCCTGGCTAATTTTTGTATTTTTAGTAGAGACAAGGTTTGGCCATGTTGGCCAGGCTGGTCTTGAACTCCTGACCTTAAGCCACCCTGCCTCAGCCTCCCAAAGAGCTGGGATTACAAGCATGAGCCACCACACTTGGCCTCTGTCAAAAGCTTTTTAGAGTTCCTTGAAATCCCTTCCTTAGAGAATAGGTAAATTTTCTCTACTTAACATTTTACCCGGTTCCCGAAAAGTGATGAATCCTGATTCTCTGCTGGTTGGATATGTTTCCTGTATGCACTCTGAGGAACGAACAGTTTGGGTTGGATTTCCTATGATTCAGAACTGGGCCTGGGAGGCGTAGGTTTTGATCAGGTCCAGAGTGTCACTGGGGAAACAAGCCATGATTTCCTCTTGGGTCATGTGCAGGCTGAACTTTGACAGGGTGGTTTATGCATAGTTCAGAGGGAGGGTCGATGTGTTGTGGTAGAGTCCAGTCCCACTCTCTAAATAGTGATTAGACAGTTGATCAGCCCTCAGGAAGTCTCCCTCTCCAGGATGATGTGACTGTGCTAGCAACTTTCATTGGTTTTGTTCTTGGGTATATTTTATAGTTTTGTTTGCTATTATGTTTCAATTTTTTTTTTTTTTGAGACGAGTCTCGCTCTGTCGCCCAGGCTGGAGTGCAGTGGCACGATCTCAGCTCACTGCAAGCTCCGCTTCCCGGGTTCAGCCATTCTCCTGCCTCAGCCTCTTCGAGTAGCTGGGACTACAGGCGCCCGCCACCAGGCCTGGCTAATTTTTTTTTAATATTTTTAGTAGAGACAGGATTTCACCATGGTCTCGATCTCCTGACCTTGTGATCTGCCTGCCTCGGCCTCCCAAAGTGCTGGGATCACAAGCGTGAGCCACTGTGCCAAGCCTGTTTCAATTTTTATTCATCTTATTTTTTCTATGATTATTGCTGAGTTGAAACAACTGTAATTTTGTATATTAATTTTGTAACCATTCAGTCACCTTATTGAATTTCCGTATTTGTTTTCATGGCTTTTCAGTGGTTTCTCTTGGGTCTTCTAGGAATGAGGTCATCTGCAAACTAAGAGGTTTATTTTTTATTGTTTTTTAAATTGACTTCTTTGTGATAGTTCTCTCTATTATTTTATGCATTGACTAGAAAAATGTTAGGTGATGATGATAAATCTTGCCTTGAACCTGATTTAATATTAATGCTTTTGTTATAAAATGATTAAATAAAATATTGGTTGTTTATTCATTGAATGAGTATAGGTTTCTGACCCCTTTTGACCTGTAATAATTTGTGTGATTATTCCTTGGGGACTTTGCCTTTTCACCAGTTTTTTTTCTTTAAGAAATTTTTCTTTATCTTAAGCTGGAGGCAAGATGATAAAAATTCCTGTTAACCATTCCATTACCTGGCAGAATGTGGGAGGGGAAGGCTAGGGAAGGAGCTGGGACTGTGTATGCATTTGTGTTTGAAGGGTGAGGAGGCTGGTGCTGAGAAGGATCTTTAGTAGGGAAATTCTGTCTGTCAGAAGCTTCTCCACTGAAGTTGTAAACTAATGCCCCAGAACCAGTTTTCAGGATTTGTTTCTATTATTGACCTTTCTCTAAAAAGGGATGTGTAAGTCTAGCCTTCTGTTGGCTGCCACTGGTTGCTTAGGTAGGAAAGTTCCTTACCCTTTGGAGTGGGAGTTACACCCACTGCAATGATGAGCACTGAGATGGTATTGAAACATTACAATAAATGGGTCAGGCTTCCAGGGACAGATCAATAGGAAGACTGAGTCTGGAAATCTGTGGCTGACCAGAGTGCATGGCCTATTGCTAGGCTGGAAACAGGAGTCCAAGTGTTACCAGATCTTTTGATATTTTGAGAAAGGTTAAGCATTCAGATTTGGGTGGAGAGATCTCTGGATTTTTAGATGTTGGCAACTAATTAAAAAAGATTATTTTTCCAACAGTGAGGACCAAACGAAACATGTCAGTGATGCCCAATGGGATGGTCATTTTATGACCTCTGGGATTGGGTGTCTGTCTGGTATGACTGTGGTTTCTCTTCCAGCCCTGCCTCAGCACATGCTATTGAACTGAATTAGTGAAAGGGGCTCTAGGCAAAGCAGATTCCTGTGTTCTCAATTTGGGCATATTAGTATTTTTGCCACCTAATTTCTGCAATCCTGTGCCATTTTTCTAAAGGGAATTGTGAATCAGTCGCTTGGTTATATCCTTAAACCTTTCATTGTATTATGTAGCATCTCAAATCTTTTTCTGGTACTGTTTGGAGACAGTATTCTTATACTATTGTTTTGCTTTTCAGGCCTCAGAAATTTATTTTTTTTTAAATTGTTGTATTGATGTATAATTGGCATACAATAAACTACATATATTTAAAGTGTGTAATTTATTAAGTTTTGACGTATCTATAGACCTGTGAACCTTTACTAAAATCAAGAGTGAACATATTCATCACCCAATAAAGTTTCCTCATACTCCTGCTTTCCAATGCCTCCCTCTGCCCCTTTTTGCTCCTGAAACTTATTCTTAAAAAAAGTCTTGTTTACTTTGGGAGGCCAAGGCAGGTTGATTACCTGAGGTCAGGAGTTCGAGATCAGCCTGGCCAACATGGTGAAACCCTTTCTCTACTAAAAATACAAAAAATTAGCCGAGTGTGGTGGTGCATGCCTAAAATCCCAGCTACTTGGGAGGCTAGGGCAGGAGAGTCGCTTGAACCTGGGAGACGGAGGTTGCAGTGAGCCAAGATCATACTATTGCACTCCAGCCTGGCCAACAAGAGTGAAACTCCGTCTCAAAAAAAAAAAAAACTTATCTATACCTATGTATAGGGCTCCTTTATTTTATTTCATGTTTTTAGAGACAGGGTCTCTGCCACCCAGGTTGGTGTGATCATAGGTCACTGTAGCCTCAACCACTACAGCTCAGGTAATCCTCCCACCTCAGCCTCCTGAGTAGCTGGGACCACAAATGTGCATCACCATGCCTGGCTAATTTTTTTTTTAAATCGAGACAGGGTCTCGCTCTGTTGTCCAGACTGGGGTGCAATGGCATGATCATGGCTCACTGCAGCCTTGATCTCCTGGGCTTAAGTGATCCTTTCACCTCAGCTCTCTAAGTAGCTGGGCCACAGACACATGCTGCCACACCCAGCTAATTTTTTAATTTTTGTAGAGATGGGGGTCTCACTATGTTGCCCAGGCTGGTCTTGAACTCCTGGGCTCAAGCTGTCCTCCTACCTTGGCCTCTGAAAGTGTTGGGATTACAGGTGTGAGCCACCATGCCTGACCAAGGCTCCTTTAGAGTGTATATTGTCCCTCATACCTTCAGGTTTTATGGTCACTCATACAATCACTTTGGCACCATCCATTTTATTTTTATTTTATTTATTTATTTTTAAAATTAAATTAAATTTTTTTTTTTTGAGACGAAGTCTCTGTCACCCACGCTGGAGTGCAGTGGTGCGTTCCTGGCTCGCCACAACCTCTGCCTCCCAGGTTCAAGCAATTCTCCTGCCTCAGCCTCCTGAGTAGTTGGGGTTACAGGCATGCGCCACCAGGCCCAGCTAATTCTGTTTTATTTTTAGTAGAGACAGAGTTTCACCATGTTGGCCAGGCTGGTCTTGAACACCTGACCTTAAGTGATCTACCCGCCTTGGCCTCCCAAAGTGCCGGGATTACAGGTGTGAGCCACCGAGCCTGGCCCATTTTATTTTTTTTGAATTTGAACAGAATCCTGACAATATTTAGAGAACTGCTATAATTTAACTTTATAGAAAGGTGTAAAACATTACTTTTCAGGCAAAGTTGATGAGAAAAGCAGTGCGAATTAATGAAACATAAATTATTAAAAAGCTTAAAGTAGGCAAAATATTTTTAATATTTTTAATTTTTATATCTGGAGCTATACAGAATAAGAATACTTTAAATCAATATTTTTCAGTGAGGGTGGAATGCTCTTGACATCTAGGCAGGATAATTCTTGTTCCCCTACCTCTAACCTTTCCAAAATCCTCAGGAAGGTGGTACACTTGTTACACCCATTGTTTACCATGATGGTCTGTCAGATATTAAAGATAGTGGTTAAGAGCATGGTCTTCACAGTCAGACAGATCCAGGTTCAAATACCTTCTTTACCATTTACTAACTGGATTTTGGACATACTACTTAATGTCTCCAAACTCTATTTTCTTTATCTGTAAAGTAGGAATAACAATAATACTTACTTTATATGGTTGTTGTATAGATTAAATGTTATTTTGCATTCAAAGAGTTTAGCCTGATTTCTTTCCTTCTTTCTTTCCTTTCTTTCCTTTCTTTCTTTCTTTCCTTCCTTCCTTCTTTCTTTCTTTCTTTCTTTCCTTCTTTTCTTTTCTTTTCTTTTCTTTTCTTTTTTTTTCTTTTCTTTTCTTTTCTTTTCTTTTCTTTCCTTCTTTCTTTCTTTTTTTGAGGCAGAGTCTCGCCCTGTTGCCCAGGCTGGAGTGCAATGGTGTGATCTTGGCTCACTGCAACCTGTGCCTCCCGGGTTCCAGTGATTCTCCTACCTCAGCCTCTGAGTAGCTGGGTTTACAGGTGCGCACCACCAGTCCTGGCTAATTTTTGTATTTTTAGTAGAGATGGGGTTTCACGATGTTGGTCAGGCTGGTCTCAAACTCCTGACCTCGTGATCCGCCTGCCTTGGCTTCCCAAAGTACTGGGATTACAGACGTGAGCCACCGTGCCCAGCCTTAGCCTGGTTTCTGACACATAGAAAGCTGTGTCAGAATTTTTAGTTAGTTGTTTGAAAATTTCAGTGTCTTTTATTATAGAAATAATGCTATAAATGAAGTTGTAGTTTGGTTTTCAGAAAACTCTGTAAAAGTGTATTTAGCACCAAATACACTGTACTGGTTGATAGTATATTGTCTGAGTTTCTCTAGGATTATAAGGGGGAGCCAAAGAAGGAGAATTCTCTCTTCCTTTTTCAAGAGGAGCCTTGCCAAAATGTTTACCATCTTTTCTTTGGCAGCCCATAATCTCAGTGTTTCATATCGGCTGCCTCTACACTAATTCAGGACCATATAGCTTCTCACCTGAACCATTTCAATGGCCTGACAACTCTTCTCCAATTCATTCAACACATTTCTGTCATGGTTAATCCTTTAAGAAGTATCTTTGTAGAAGTCCCATTTTCTATATGATTTTTTTTCTTTGTTTCAGTTTGGGCTCTCTCTTGTCACAGAATAATATAGAAACTCCATCACAGAGTATTCCAGGCCCCGCATTGTGGCTTCCTGCTACCTTTCTAGCTTCATTGTCTACTCTAATTCATTTCCTTTCACGCTGTCTCCAGAGTCCTAAAAATGAAGGAAAAGCTATTTTGAAGAATAAGTAAGTAAACTTTTATCAGCACTAGAAAACAAAAAAATGTATCATCAAGGGATTATAAAGCTTGATGAATTTCTGAAAGGTAGAAAGAAGGAAAAATTGGACTGAAGAAAGAAACCAGATCCCAAAGCAGGGTTTAGAGAGGACTGTGGTGAAAAAGTGGAGGGTAGGGGAGCAGAAGGGAGGGCTCCAAGTGCAGAGATTGTGGATCCAAATGCAATTCTGAGTTCCTTACTCTCTGCTTATATAAGTTGTTTAGAAGTAAGCATATTAAGCTAATAAGCTTTAATTAAAGCCTCTTTTTTACTTAATTTTGGGTAATCAGTTTTACCCTTGATATCTTTATAGTCACTGCAGTTTTTAAGATTCTGTCTTACTCTAGCCTTCTTAGTTTGCAGAGGTGGTTCTTTTTATATTAGGAAAAATGTCAGGAGCAAATATGTGAATTATTAATGTTCTCCTAGAGTCACACTATAATCACATGGTCAGTGCATGTTTGTCATGGTGAATCATAAAAATACATCTAGAAGCCAAGGTGTTAGAGTTGTTTTAGTTCATCAAGACTGACATTGCATAAATGAGTCCCTAACATTCTTTGGACAGAAAGAATCCCAGGTGGTTCTCCTGCTTTTGTGCCTTCATGGATTCCTAGATCTGCTTTCTGTTCTAGAGAGCTGAAAAACATTGTATAATCTCGAATTTCACCTTGTTTTTGAGATGCAACCTTTGAGGATATTTTTCAGAAATTTCATGTGTGTGTATGTGTGTGTGTGTGTGTGTTTTGAGACAGAGTCTCACTCTGTCACCTAGGCTGGAGTACAGTGGCACGATCTCGACTCACTGCAACCTCCGGCTCCCAGGTTCAAGTGATTCTCATGCCTCAGCCTCCCCGGTAGCTGGGACTACAGGCATGCACCACCATGCCTGGCTAACTTTTGCATTATTATTATTTTTTTTGGTAGAGAGGGGGTGTCGCCATGTTGGCCAGGCTGGTCTCGAACTCCTGACCTCAAGCGATCCGCCCATCTCAGCCTCCCAAAGTGTTGGGATTACAGGCGTGAGCCACCATGCCCAGCCTGAGTTTTTAATGTTCTTTACCTACACAACTGAAAACAGTAGAGAACTTTAAGTCTAATATATCAATCGAGGCAAAAGATTTGCCTGTTTTGTGCTACCTTATGATTTCTCACTTTGTATTCCCTTTGAGCCCTATACTTCTTAAGTGTCATCACTTTCATTTCCTGTTTTCTACTCATTAAAAAAAGGGGGAAAATGTGCTAAAGTATTCACATAATTATATAAACACTAAAGTACAGACAAAAATGGTGGCTGAGGTGAAAATGATCTGCTGGCAGGCAATGCCACCCTGTAGAAGCTCAGAATGTCCTGTCATCAGCTGATGAAGAAATGTCCTAAATTGGCAAAGATAGCAATTTAAGTATCTTAATGTAACAATTCATAAATGTGTAGGTTATTTAAAAGTCCAGTGTATAAAACTTGAGAATTGCTTGCATGGATTTTATTTCTGGAGATAATTTGTGTTGTGGAGAAATTATATAGACCCAGAGAGGTGTAATTACAGAAGTTGTTTTCATAAATGGAGATTTTGATGCAGATCTAGATAACTAGTTGCGATTCTGCTGCGATTGCTAAATATTTGATTTTTACTTAAATTTAATTATTCACTTTAAATTTATTTTACTAAATCAATTTAGTTTAATTTACTTCACTACTTAATTTTTGCTTAACTTTTATTCTTCTTCCACTAATTTACCTTTAAAATGTTTACATCTACTTATGTTTTTAAAGTCTTCACAAGACCCACTTTACCAGTTTAGTTCTCAGTTTCTTTGTTTGTGATATGATGGTGCAGTTACTAAATTGTTAATGGTGCTAAGGTCAGTGCTTAGGTGCTGGAGTGCAGTGCAGTGGAGTGATCATGGCTCACTGCAGCCTTGACTTCCTGGGCTGAAGGGATCTTCCTGTCTCAGCCTCCCCGAGTAGTTGGGACTACAGGTATGTACCACCACACCTGGCTATTTTTAAATTTTTTTTGTAGAGATGGGGTCACACTATGTTGCCCAGGCTGGTCTCGAACTCCTGGCCTCAAGCGATCCTCCCACCTTGGCTTCCCAAAGTGCTGGGATTACAGGTGTGAGCTACTGTGCCTGGCTATGCCTAGTTGTCATTAATTGCCAGGCCATGCTCTAGACTCCAGGGCCCATGGCCTCTAGTGGTTGCTTTTCAAAGAAGCACATCAAAAGGACTATGCATCAATAGCAAATGGCAATCATATGCTGAAGGTAGGTTAAGTTTGCAACTGAAAGTAAAATTTGTAGACGGAATATCATAGTGGTTAAGACCTTGGCCTTTGGAACTGTTTAGAACTGGGTTAAATCCTAGATATGACTTGTATCCTCATGCAAGTTATTTTTTCTTTCACATCCTTAGTTTTTACATCTAGCAAATGTGAATAATAACAGTTACCATGTACATGATTATAAGGATAATGAGAAAACAAATATGAAAGTACTTAGCAGAGTACCTGATATACAGGAAGCATTCAATATATCTTAACCTATAAAAAGTAATAAGAAGTGAATGTGCACATGAAGGCTGCCAGTCTCGTGTCTGCCAGCATCCCTCTGACACCAGTGCTGGTGCACACACACACATGGATGCCAGTGACCCTACCCCCTCACCCTGTGCCACCATTGTGAACATTCACATGGAGGCCATCAGCCCTGCACCCTCCAGTCCCCAGCCACATCTAACAAGTATGCACCCTGCCACACTGCTGTTGCTACTAGTACGTGCAAATGAACACAGATCCCACTGCCACCGCCCAACGAAGGACTTTGGTTGGCATCACCCATTGGAGTGTTGTGGCCAGTGGTCTGGGAACACCTTGGCTCCTCCAGTGCAGCAGGTTCATAACCTTGTGGGGCCAGAGAACAAAGCTGAGGGCCCAATACCCAACCCCTCAGAATTAGAGCACACAGCTCAGGAGGGCTGAGGTGAGCCTTGGCCCCCTAAAATCTTCCAGATTGAAGGAACATCAGGCCACACAGGTGAGAAAGAACTAGTGTAAGAACTATGGCAACTCAAAAAGCCAGAGTTGTCTTCTTACCTCCAAACAACTGCACTAGTTCCCCAGCAATGGTTCTTAACTAGGCTTAAATGACAGAAATATAATTCAGAATACGGATAGGAATGACGATCATTGAGATTCAGAAGGAAATTGAAACCCAATTTAAGGATTCTTAGAAACACAATAAAATAATACAGGAGGTGATAGAAGAAATGGCCATTTTTAAGAAAGAACCAAACTGATCTGATAGAGCTAAAGAACTCACCTCAAGGATTTCAGAATACAATTGTAAGTATTAACAGCAGAATCGACCAAGCTGAGGAAAGAATCTAAGAGCTTGAAGACTGGTTCTTCAAAATAACTCAATTAGATAAACAAAACAAAACAAAAATAAAGAAGAATGTACAAAACCTTTGAAAAATATAGAGTTATGTAAAGAGATCACCCCTGTGACTCATTGGTATCCCTGAAAGAGAGGGAGAGAAAGCAAACAACTTGGAAAACGTATTTCAGGATATCGTCCATGCAAATTTCTCCAACCTTGCTGGAGAGACCAACACTGTATTTCAGGAAATGCAGAGAACCCCTGCAAAATACTACACAAGAACACCATCCCCAACACATAGTAATCAGATTCCCCAAGGTTGAAATGAAAGACAATATTTTAAAGGCAGCTAGAGAGAAGGGGCAGATCACCTAAAAAGGGAACCCCATCAGGTTAACAGCAGACCTTTCAGCAGAAACCCTACAAGCCAGAGGAGTTTGAGGGCCTATATTCAGCATTTTTGAAGAAAAGAATTTATAATCAAGAATTTCTTATTCAGCCAAACTAAGTTTCATAAGTGAAGGAGAAATAAGATCCTTTCCAGACAAGCAAATGCTAAGGGAATTCATTACCACCAAACCTGCATTACAAGAGGTGCTGAGGAAGGGCTAAATATGGAAAGGAAAGACTGTTACTGGCCACTATAAAAACACACTTAAGTACATAGACCAGTGACACTATAAAGCAACCACACAAACAAGTCTGCATAATAACCAGCTAACAACATGATAACATTGATCAAATCCACATATATCAATATGAACCATGAATGTAGACAGGCTAAATGCCCCAATTAAAAGGCACAGAGTGGCAAGTTGGGTAAAGAAGCAAGACCCAACTGTGTGCTGTCTTCAAGAGACCCATCTCACATGCAGTGACATCCATAGGCTCAAAGTAAAGGGATGAAGAAAAATCTACCGAGAAAATGGAAAACAGAAAAAAGCAGGGGTTGCTATTCTAATTTCAGACAAAACTGACTTTAAACCAACAAAGATAAAAAATGACAAAGAAGGATATTACATAATGGTAAAGGGCACAGTTCAACAAGAGGACCTAAATATCCAAAATATGTAAGTACCCACACAGGAGCACCCAGATTCATAAAGCAAGTTCTTAAAGACCTACAAAGAGACTTAGATAACCACACAATAATAGCAGGAGACTTTAACACCCCATTGACAGTATTAGATTGTTGAGGCAGAAAACTACCAAATATTTGGGACCTGAACTCAACACTTGACAAAGCAGACCAAAAGACATCTACAGAATGCTGTACCCAGAAACAACAGACTATACATTCTTCTGCATATGGCATATACTCTGAAATTCACCACACACTCAGACATAAAAAAATCCTCAGCCAAAAAAAAAAAAAAAAGCAGAAACCCACAAAATCATACCAACCACACTCTTAGACTACAGCATAATAAAAATAGAAATCAATGCCAAGAATATCACTAAAAAACATACAATTAATGGAAATTAACCTGCTCCTGAATGACTGGGTAAATAATGAAATTAAGGCAGAAATCAAGACATTCTTTGAAACTATTGAGAACAAAGATATAACATACCAGAATATCTGGGACACAGCTAAAGCAGTGATAAGAGGGAAGTTTACAGCCCTAAATGCCCACATCAAAAAGTTAGAAAGATCTCAAATAAACAACCTAACATCCCAACTAGAGGAACTAGAGAAACAAGAGAAGACCAACCCCAAAGCTAGCAGAAGATAGAAATAACCAAAATCAGAGCTGAACTGAAGGAAATTGAGATGCAAAAAAAGCCATACAAAAGATCAGCAAATCTAAGAATTGGTTTTTTGAAGGAATTAATAAGATAGGTAGACTGCTAGCTAGACTAATAAAGAAAAAAGAGAGAAGATCCAAATAAACAGAGTCAGAAATGACAAAGGGGACATTACCATTGACCACACAGAAATACAAAAAAAAAATCCCGCAGACACTACTACAAACACCTCTGCACACAAGCTAGAAACCCTGCAAGAAATGGATAAATTCCTGGAAACATACGACTTCCCAAGACTGAACCAGGAAGAAATTGAACAGATCAATAATGAGTTCTGAAATTGAATCAGTAATAAAAAGTTTACCAACCAGTAAAAGCCCAGGACCAGATGGATTCACAGCTGAATTCTAGATGTGTAAAGAAGAACTGGTACTATTCCTCTTGAAATTATTCCAAAAACTTGAGGAGAAGAGAACAACAAAAAAATAAAACTTCCAGGCCAATATCCTTGATGAACATTGATGTAAAAATCCTCAACAAAATACTGGCAAACCACATCCAGCAGCACATCAAAAAGCTAATCTGCCATGATTAGGTAGGTTTTATCCCTAGGATGCAAGGTTGGTTCAGCATATGCAAATCAATAAATGTGATTTGACACACAAACAAACTAAAAAAACCCAAAACCACATGATTATCTCAATAGATGCAGAAGACCTTTTGATACAATTCAACATTTCTTCATATTAAAAACCCTCAACAAACTAGGCACTGAAGGAACATACTTCAAAATAATGAGAGCCATCTACGACAAACCCACAGCCAACATCATACTAAATAGGCACAAGCTGAAAGCTTCCCCTTAAAAACCAGAACAAGGGAAGGATGCCCTCTCTCATCACTCCTATTGAACATAGTACTGGAAGTCCTGGCCAGAGCAATCAGGTAAGAAAAAGAAAGAAAGAGCATCCAGATAGGAAGAGAGGAAGTTGAACTATTGCTGTTTGTAGATAATATGATTCTATACCAAGAAAACCCTATGGTCTCTGCCCAAAAGCTCCTAGATCTAATAAACAACTTCACCAAAGTTTCAGGATACAAAATCAATGTACAAAAATCAGTAGCATTTCTTTTTTTTGTTTGTTTTTGAGATGGAGTCTCTGTCGCCCAGGCTGGAGTGCAGTGGCACAATCTCGGCTCACTGCAACCCCGTCCTCCCAGGTTCAAGTGATTCTCCTGCCTCAGCCTCCTGCATAGCTGGGATTACAGGCACCTGCCATCATGCCCAGCTAATTTTTGTATTTTCAGTAGAGATGGGGTTTCACCATGTTGGCTACCCTGGTCTTGAACTCGTGACCACAGGTGATCTGCTCGCCTTGGCCTCCCAAAATGCTGGAATTACAGGTGTGAGCCACTGCACCCGGCCAAAAATCAGTAGCATTTCTATGCACCAACAATATCCAAGCTGAGAGCCAAATCAAGAATGCAGTCCCATTCACAGGAGCCACAAAAAAGAGTAAAATACCTAGGAATACAGCTAACTAGGGAGGTAAATGAGCTCTACCATGAGAATTAGAAAACACTGTTCAAATAAATCAGAAATTACACAAACAAATGGAAAAATATTCCATGCTCATGGATAGGAAGAAATAACATTGTTAAAATGGCCATACTGCCCAAAGCAATGTACAGATTCAATACTATTCCTGTCAGTCTACTATCTTCCTATCAATCTACAATGACATTCTTCAGAGAATTAGAAAAAACAGTTTTAAAATTCATATGGAACCAAAAAGAGCCCAAATAGCTAAGGCAATACTAAGCAAAAAGAACAAAGCTGGAGGCATCCCATTACCCAACTTCAAACTATACTATGAGGCTACAGTAACCAAAATAGCATGGTACTGGTACAAAAGCAGACACAAAGACCAATGAAACAGAATGGAGAACCCAGAAACAAGGCCACACATATACAACCATCTGATCTTCAAGAAAGTTGACAAAAACAAGCAATAGGGAAAGGACTCCCTATTCAATAAATGATGTGGGATAACTGGCCTGCCATATGCAGAGAATTGAAACAGGACCCCTTACACCATATAAAAAATCGACTCAAGATCGATTAAAGACTTAAAAGCAAAAACTATAAAAACTCTGGATGATAGCCTAGGAAATATTATTTTGGACGTAGAACTGGGCAAAGATTTTATGATGAAGATGCCAAAAGCAATTGCAACAAAAACAAAAATTGACAAATGGGAACTAATTAAACAAGAGTTTCTGTACAGCAAAAGAAACTATCAACAGAGTAAACAGACAATCTACAGAATGGGAGAAAATGTTTGCAAACTATGCATCTGACAAAGGTCTAATATCCGGAGTCTATAAGGAATTTAAACAAATTAACAAGCAAAAAACCCAATCCCATTAAAAAGTAGGCAAAGGACATGAACAGACACTTCTCAAAAGAAGAAGACATGCACATCGCCAAGAAGCATATGAGGAAACACTCAACATCACTAATCATTAGAGAAATGTAAATCAAAACCACAATGAGATACCATCTCCCACCAGTCAGAATGGCTATTATTAAAAAGTCAAAAAATAACAGATGCTGGTGAGGTTGAAGAGAAAAGGGAATACTTATACACTGCTGGTGGGAATGTAAATTAGTTCAGCCATTGTGGAAAGCAGTTTGGCAATTTTCCAAAGAACTCAAAGCAGAATTACCATTTGACGCAGCAATCCCAATATCAGGATTCCAAATATATTCCAAAGGAATATAAATCATTCTGCCATAAACACATGAATGCATATGTTCATGGCAGCACTTTTCACAATAACAGAGACATAGAATCCTAAATGCCCATCAACAGTAGACTGGATAAAGAAAGCATGATACACATACACTATGGAATACTTATGTAGCCATAAAAAAAGAAAAAGATCATGTCTTTTGCAGCAACATGGATGGAACTAGAGGGCATTATCCTAAGTGAAGTAACACAGGAACAGAAAACCAAATACTACATGTTCTCACTTATAAGTAGGGGCTAAACATTGAGTACATATGGACACAAAGAGGGCAACAACAGACACTGGGTTCTATGTGAAGGTGGAGGGAGAGAGGAGGGTGAGGATCCGGAAACCACTCATTGGGTACTGTGCTTATAACCTGGGTGATGAAATAATCTGTGTACCAAACCCCTGTGACATGCTATTTACTTATATAAAAAAACCTACACAGGTACCCCTGAACCTAAAGTAAAAGTATTTTTAAAAAAGTAAAACTACCTATCGGATACTATGCTTATCACTTTGGTGGCAAAATAATGTGTACACCAGACCCCTGTGACATGCAGTTTACCTATACAACAAACCTGCTCTTGTACCCCGAACCTAAAATAAAAGTTCAAAAAAACGAGAAAAAAATTATTTCACGTGACCTAAGAACACAGTATTTTGACTATCCTTAATGGGATTTAATTGAAGGATAAATAGTGCTATAAAGAAATTGTAAGCTTTAAAAAATAACCTGGTTGTTAATAGTACTCTCAATATCTTATGCTTTTGTGATTGTTTTATACCTATTTTACAAAAATGCAAATAAGTACTTATGTATTTATGTTAAGGTCATCAGGAGCCAAGATTTACAATGTAAGATAAAAGTGATTAGTAGAAAATCAAAGAAATTAAAGTACCGTAATATTAATCTGCACTGGAAATATCAGTAGGAATGCAAACTACATATTTTCTAGCTTTGTCTACTGAAGTGCCCAGATTGTGATCTATAAATACCATTTCCCACAAAAAGGAGGCAGAATTTCTTGCAGGAATGGCTGACTCCAGGTCTGAGGGAAGAAGTGTACAAACTCCAGGTCTGAGGGAAGAAGTGTACAAACTGAGCCTGGGTTTTCTTATTGACTAACCAGAATGCAAAGAAATCAAAGACAAGTTAGCTAGTGTGGTCTTGTTAAAAGGACCTAAGAATTAACATTAAGAGGCTTCCATTGGTCAAAGATAAGACAATTTGAGTACCATAAATAACAATGGATGTAATTGTTTGAAACACATGTATCTTAAAAAACCATGTATTCATAATGTTAGAGAGAAAAAGAGCAGAATAGCCTTCCAATCCAACCCATTGAACATCATTGGAAGTTTATAGGACATCAACTCCTTGGTATGAACATTGGTAATCAAATGGAAAGAAATAAGTATTACCTTTTTCTTACATGACCTATTTCATGGTAACCAAATAGCCTGATTTGATGAGGGAAAGTCCTTCTCCCACAATTTTATCTAATAAATATAAAAGGATAGTAGAGGCTGGGAATGGTGGCTCATGCCTGTAATCGCAGCACTTTGGGAGGCCAAGGCAGGCGGATCACTTGAGGTCAGGAGTTTGAGACTAGCCTGACCAATATGGTGAAATCCCATCTCTACTCAAAATACAAAAAGTAGCTGGTCATTGTAGTGGGGGCACCTGTAATCCCAGCTACTGAGACAGGAGAATCACTTGAAGCCGGGAGGTGGAGGTTGCAGTGAGCCGAGATTGTGCTACTGCATTCCAGCCTGCTCTGTCGCCCAGAACAAGACTCCGTCTCAAAAAAAAAAAAGTATGGTAAAATTAAAAAATTATCACTTTAAGCCCCTAATGAAATGAATTAGGCAACAATAATTGGTGGATGAAACAGTTAGATGAAAGGTTGAGGGGGAATTTACAAAGGAGAGATTGAGCTATTACTACCTGAGCCTAGTGATCAGTCTTTGCATTACTAAAAATGGGGGAACCAGATATGATACACTTTCTGAAGTTTTATAACATGAATCACAGAGTACCCTGTATGAAGTATTTGCGTCCCCGAAGTTGAATCTGAATAGAATCAGTTATAGGAAATCAGGAGATGGAGAACCAAGGTAATTGACACTATGGGAAGCAAACACAACAATCCATGAATCTAAAGGACACCTGACCCTATTTCTTCAAAAAGTCAATGTTAGGATAAAGAAGTGAGGAGAAGGACTGTGTCTCAAATTTCTAGGATTAAACACTGGGTTTTTTGTTTTTGTTGTTTGTTTGTTTTTTAATATCCTATCCAGGCAGCAACCAGTAAGTGGTCCTAGGGTGCATGACGAGTATGCAGTTCAGGTCACGTGTGACTCACGGTGAGTCTGACGACTGCCAGCTGGTTCAGTGAGATGAGTCCACTCATCATGCACTTGGATGTCTTGACAGTGTCAACTTGCTATGAACGTTTCTAAGTGCTCACTTTCCTTTTCTGTATTTATCTTGTTGACCCGTAACAAAGAGTTGAGGACCAGTAAACAGTTTTTGGACTGGTAACAATTAATTCTCAAAATGGCACCAATTGAAAAATCACACTTGAGTAGCACTACCCTAGATTAAAAGAAATTCAAGAGATATACCCTAATGTAATATTTGAACTTATCTGGACCCTGACTCAAACAAATCAACTGTAAAAGGACTTTTTTTGAGTTGATTAGTGATATTTGATTATGGACTCATGTATAAAATGATACCAAGGAGTATAGCTAAATAAAACAAAAACAACCAAATAAATAGGGATAGATGAAGCAAATGTGGCAAAATCTTCAAATGTGTTGAATATGGATGATGTGTTTATGGGTTTGATTTTGGTACTATTCTCTTTACTTTTTTTGTATGTTACATATATGCTTCCTTTTGTCTCACAACAATTTACTCATGTTTTCTAAACTTAATTTATAATTATTCTTGTTTTCTTTTGTTTTGTTTTTTGAGATAGAGTCTCACTCTTTCGCCGAGGCTGGAGTGCAGTGGCACTGTGTCGGCTCACTGCAACCTCTGTCTCCTAGGTTCAGGCAATTCTCCTGCCTCAGCCTCCCGAGTAGCTGGGATTACAGGCATCCACCACCACGCCCAGCTAGTTTTTATATTTTTAATAGAGACGGGGTTTCACCATGTTGGCCAGGCTAGTCTTGAACTCCTGACCTCGGGTGATCCGCCTGCCTGTGCCTCCCAAAGTGCTGGGATTACAGGCGTGAGCCACCGCACATTTATAATTATTCTTTTTGGGATTTGTGCAACATTGAAACTCTACCTTGCTTTCTAGAAATTTTGTTTTGTTTGATTTTTGTGTTTCAGTTTAGGATCTCAGTTTTCAGTTCTGTGATTCCACCTTTCATAAGTGATTGATAAAATAATTTCCTATAGATTTTCAGCTTCCTTCTCTCACTTTTGTATAGCAGAAACAGGAAGAGAGAACGTTCAGATTGAAAACAAAATATCCTACTTTCTTGAGATTATATTTTATACAATTAATACTAGATCATTTTGTGTGTTAGTCTTTCAGAAGAATTAAAGAGCCTCTTCTCTCTGTTAATCCCTTGTCTCTTCTAAACATACTTGATTATAATTTGAAGTATACGTGGCAACATACCAGAAATATTTTATCTCCATTACAGTTTAGGAACCGCTTATTGAAAGGGCTTGTTTGCTAATTTATATATAGTAAAAATTTTAAATTTCATTTTATTCTGAGTATAAATTTAAACTGATTTTTATGATTTCTTCTTTTCAGTAGCTTTTCTCTTTCATATTACTTTCCTTAAAACCCTTTGCCATTATGCTAATACATTAAATTCATATTTTTAAAATGGATTCTAAAAATCTCCATATTTTACTGTATTTCATCTCTGAGTACAAAGCCCACCATGGACCTTCCCATCATTTTTGTTGTCCTGCTGAATTTCTTACTTTGTTTATTTGCACAGCAGATCTTTATTTTTAAATGTCTTATTATGAAACATTTCAAGCATACAAAAGTAAAGAGAATAGTATAATGAATTCCCGCATACCCATCACCTAGCTTCCACAATTATCGACTCACAGCCAGAGATGGTGTTTCAAAGCATCTGTGGCATATATGAAGTGATGTAATATATTTCAACCTAATTAACTTAGCTTTCTTTATTTTCCCCATATGTATTCAAATTATAGGCTGTTCATGTGTGCTCTGTACGTTTATAATTATATATTAAAATTAATGAATGAATTCAAGAAAAGACTCTAAAGCCATGAAATATTGTTTCTATAAATTTTTATATAGTTTTAAAAATTGTGGTAAAATGCACATAATGTAAATTTACCATCTTAACCACTTTAAGTATACAGTACGGTAGTGTTAAGTGCATTCATATTGTTGTGCAACCAAACTCCAGAATCCCCACAGCCCCTGGCAACTCCCCTTCTACTTTCTATCTTTATGAATTTGATTACTCTAGTTATCTCAGGTAAGTAGAATCATACAGTATTTGTATTTATTTTATTTTATTTTTTGAGACAGAGTCTCGCTCTGTCACCAGGCTGGAATGCGGTGGCATGATCTCGGCTCACTGCAACCTCTGCCTCCTAGGTTCAAGTGATTCTCCTGCCTCAGCCTCCCGAGTAGCTGGGGCTACAGGTGCGTGCCACCATGCCCAGCTAATTTTTGTATTTTTAGTAGAGATGGGGTTTTACCATGTTGGCCAAGGTGGTCTTGATCTCTTGACCTCGTGATCTGCCCACCTCAGCCTCCCACAGTATTTGTCTTTTAATGACTGGCTTATTTCATTTAGCATAATGTCCTCAAGGTTCATTCATTATTTCTACAAATTTTGATTTACAATTTTATGAAGGAAACAGCTAAAGAGAGAATTTGGAGTGAATTTCTATTAGATGATGACTTCTTGAATTACATAGCCTCGTTCTATTAGGAGATTACATTTTTATTTCTGAAATACATTATTAAACAGTATTAAAAATGCTTTCCATGTGTATTTGACAAGAGTAGTTTTCACCATGTCTCACATTTGCTAATATAAACCCAACTGAATATTTCTATCAGAATATAATCAAATTAGAGAGTAAGTAATAGAATTCATATTTTATTTTATTTGAGACAGGGCCTTGCTCTGTCACCCAGGCTGGAGTGCAACAGTGCAATTTCGGTTCACTGCAGTCTCCGCCTACTGGGCTCAAGTGATCTTCCCACCTCAGCCGCCTGTGTAGCTGGGACTATAGGTGTATACCACCACAGTTGGCTAATTTTGTAATTTTTTTGTAGAGATGAGGTCTCACTGTATTGCCCATGCTGGTATCAAACTCCTGGGCTCAAGTGATCCTCCTGCCTGGGCCTCCCAAAGTGTTAACGATTACAGCCATGAACCACTGTGACAGGCTGGAATTCATATTTTTAAATACAATTACTTTACTTTGCCTACCCATTTACTTTTGTGTCATATATATATATGCACACACATATATATATTTGTTGGAAATAATTATTTATTTTTACTTCAAAGGTGAAATATTAAGTATCCACTTAAAATTTTAATCTTTATAAAGACAATATGCTTATATAGATTCTTTCCTAAAATTTAGTTACAATTTTAAGGTTCACTAAAAGAAATAGATATTTCTCACAGGTTTTTTAAGAATAATATTGCTTTATTTGAGTGACAAATAAATACATTTGTTGTTGTGAAATACTTTTTGACTAACATTTATTCTTCCAGTTTACCTTATAGATCTTTCCATATCTCCTTATTAATCCTTTTTAGGGGGGTCATGAGCATGTTACTGCTGTGGTTTTAGTGTAATACTGTATTTGTTTAAGTCATCTGCTGTGAGTTAATGAAATATCATTTCTAGCTCCAGATGTCACTAGATAAAGATTAAATATATTGCATTCATATAATCTCTTGATGAAGCTAGAGTAGATTTTTTTTTCTTTACCTTAGGAGATTAGGAGAAAAATGCACTTGGAGCAGTAGGCTGTGTTTTTGTAATAAACACTAAATCCTAGTCAGTTATACTAGATTTTTCCATTCATAATTTATTGAGTGTTATGATTTGTCACTTAAGCATATGCAAATCTTAAGCAATAATTTCAAGAAGAACAGGTTGTATCACTTGTGAATTAAATACCTTTGAATACTATTTTTAAAGATTATCAAAACTATCTGAGAAGGAAAGCTATAATACTTCACAAATTTATAAATGAAAAATTTTAAAATGATAGTAATTGTGCAAGTTTAACAAATAAGAGCACATGCCTGGTTAACAGTGATGTTTTAGTTCAGCTGTATTTCAAAAAGCCTTGTAGGAAGTTATCTTTACACTGGTGAGTTTATCAAGCCCAGGATCTGACCCTCAGCTTTTTGGGTTCAGATGGAATGGAATGGAGCTGTCTCCCAAAAACAGACTCACATTAAACAGTGTCAAAGGACAGATTATGTCTATATCTAATCTGACTTATATATACTAGACATATATATTTTATTTGTTTATTACATTTATATATGATTGGATGTATATCAGAATCAAATGTATTAATTTATAATAAGTAGAATTGTCAAATGAACTGAAATCACCATCTCAGCATGATAGCTCATTTTTGTTTTGTAGGTGAACAAAACCATAATCGTATGAACCTAGAATGAGTTCAAATTTTTTCTCATAGTTGCATAAATGGAATATTTAATGGCATAATCTAAACGTGGCATTAGTACATCTTGCTCCACAGTATGGGTAGTCTTACCATTGAGGCCAAATTGTTTAAAGGGTGTACGGTTAAAAGACTCTTTCTCCTGAACAGTGTAGTGGACACTGCTGATGTTTGTTTCACTGATCTAATTTTTTAAAGTATTAATTACTGATTAATTGCTCTTTTGGTTGCCATTGAGTTCCAGTTAAATCTTGCAGGCTAGGGAACCATTTTTTTTCTCGTTAAGGTAATTTGCCTATATCCTCTGATCTATGATGAGTTAATTTCATCTTTAACTCAGAAAGAGTTTTCTTATATATATATATTTTTTGTTATTTAGTTTTTATTTCATAATCATAAACTTAACTCTGCAATCCAGCTAGGCATGGGAGGGAACAAGGAAAACATGGAACCCAAAGGGAACTGCAGCGAGAGCACAAAGATTCTAGGATACTGCGAGCAAATGGGATGGAGGGGTGCTCTCCTGAGCTACAGAAGGAATGGTCTGGTGGTTAAGATAAAACACAAGTCAAACTTATTCGAGTTGTCCACAGTCAGCAATGGTGATCTTCTTGCTGGTCTTGCCATTCCTGGACCCAAAGCACTCCATGACCTCCACAATATTCATGCCTTCTTTCACTTTGCCACAGATCACATGCATGCCATCCAACCACTCAGTCTTGGCAGTGCAGATGAAAAACTGGGAGCCATTTGTGTTGGGTCCAGCATTTGCCATGGACAAGATGCCAGGACCTGTATGCTTTAGGATGAAGTTCTCATCTTCAAATTTCTCCCCATAGATGGACTTGCCACTAGTGCCATTATGGCGTGTGAAGTCACCACCCTGACACATAAACCCTGGAATAATTCTGTGAAAGCAGGAACCCTTATAACCAAATCCTTTCTCTCCAGTGCTCAGAGCATGAAAATTTTCTGCTGTCTTTGGGACCTTGTCAGCTAACAGCTCAAAGGAGACGCGGCCCAAGGGCTCGCCATCGACGGCAATGTCGAAGAACACGGTGGGGTTGACCATGGCTAATAGTACACAGTTTTCCTCGGCGGCGTCATCTGCAAAGCCGCTTTCTTATATTTCTTGTCCTCAAGGTCTTGGAGAATGTTTCCAAGTACAGACAAAATTCTGATTATGAATATCTGTAAAAATGGAGGGGAAAAATAACCAATTATTTCACTTCCTTAATACAATTGTGATTATTTTGGCTAATTCCCCTCATATGTGGGGAATTTCGTTTTGGTACCTGTACTCTTAATTAGATAAATAAGTGTTGCTATGTTTTCCAATTGGGATTTTGATGGCTGTCCTTTTAAATTTATAAATTTGGAGTGAAATTATGTATCTATAATGTTGTCTTCCCTTTTAGGAACATGCTAGGTGTTCACTTTTTAAAGTCTTCAGTGAAGTTTGAAATTCACGGTTTGAATGGGGCTTTAATTAATTAATTAACTAATTTCTTTAAGTCGATCCATGATAGGATAAAATAGCGATAGATTTAGCTTTATTTAGAGAGACTGGGTTTTCCCCATTTTAAGGTCTAAGGTTATTGCTGATATGCAGGTAAGATATTGATTTTACTAGGTATATTTTGTAACTGGTTACCTTACTGAACTAACACTAGGTCTAATAGTATAAAAAGTAATTCTTTGGTGCTTTCCATGTCATCTGATATAATGAAAATATGGTTTCTTTTCCAATATTTATGGCTTCATTTTGGTCATATTGTATTAAAGCTTCCAGAACAAGTTGTGCACTATAGCAGCAATTGCTTGTGTTCTAGTTTTACAGCATTCTTTTTATGCACACAGTGTTCCTGTGAGTGTATAGGACAGTCTTATTTTCTTTATTTTACATAAAGATAGTTTAAGTAAATAAATAAACTTAGCACCAAGGTAACAATTGACTTGTCCAACTTGGAGCTAAAACTGAAATAGAAACCCAGGTCTTTGGACCACTGCGTTCCCATATTTCTGTATGCTACTTATCGTTTTCTAAGTAATAAATTTTATACAAAGTTTAATTATGTAAGCAGTCTCATGGATTAAAGTTCTATAAATCTCAAACTCAACATGATTAAAACTGAGCTGATCATTTTTTGCCCTCAATATCCACTGCTCCTTCTGAATTCTTTTTTTTTCTAGATGGCTCCACCAACCTCCGACTCAGGCCATGACCCTGAAGGTTTTACATTCCTCTGCCTCAATACATATACTGAATGGATCATTACATCAATTTATTCCATCTTTAAAAATCTCTCAAGTTGGCTTACCTCTGCCCTCCTTGCCCATCACCATTCTTTTTGTTCAGGCTATCATTATTTCTGCTCTTTGTCTCTAATCTTGCCCTCTGCCAACCTGCCTCTAAGCCTGCCAAGGTGATCTTATAAAATGCAATTCCACTCCATTACTCTCTGGTTAAAATCCTTTAGTGATTCTTCATTATTCAGGATATAGTTCAGTCTCCTTAGCTAAGCACGCAAAACTCTTGCTTAAAAAAGATTATTCTTTTGAGCCTGGCTTCGTTCTCTCAACGTTACATTTGTGCATAGCTTAATTGCTGATGATTGGTCAGAGGTTATGCTCAAACACCTGGAGCCAGTAGGCTTCTCCACTTCCTGATGGTTCTGTGTGGGTTGGGGAGCACATTCGAAGTTTAGGCAGTGTTCAAGTCTGCCCTGTCTTTTAGTTTCAACCATGTCCTCTGCGTCTACACAAAGCCTCCTCATCAGCCAGGATGTGTGGACAGCTTGGGTCCCCTTAGCTTCCCCTACACATGTGAGTGGAAGGCTGCCAGGGTTGTGTGTAGTTTCTCAAGCTTCTCTGTAATCCTTCATTTCCAGAATCTCCCTATTACTATTCCTATTATGGTGCTGGTTGGTTGGTTGCTTGTGCCAACTGGGATGACTACTACCTCAGGCTTGCTACAGAGATTGCTACTTTTACTGATGATGCTGCTGGATGGCATATTTTCATTTTCAGCTTCAGATCAGTTGAGCCTCTCTGGCAGTAAGGCTGCTGGTTTCACAGCCTGTGGTCCTGGTAGAACCACCATACTGACCCTCTGGGAGGGATGGGAGCAACCTCAGGGAGGAATGCCACAGACTCCCACTGTTCTTGCCTGAATTTCAACAGTTTTTCATGAATAAGTGCTTCTTAATATGTTATTTGCCTTTGGTTGATTCCCAGTTCCCTGAAATGGTTGTTTTTAACAATTTTGTTCAGTTTCAAAGTTGTTTTTTGAAGGGGATTTGTAGTCCTGCCTCCCGAGGCCACATGGTTTTAATTTGCATTTTCTAAAAACTAGCTCATTTGAGCATCTTTTCATATGTTTATTAGTTATTTGGTACTTTCTTTTGTGATTTTTATGGCTGTCTTTTGCCCATAATAACTACATATTTTTTTAGATTGAATCTATGCATCACTTAACTTCACATAGGCAACCCTGACCTCCCAAGTTTGGCTTAGATCCACTCCTCTGTGTTTCCATACAATTGGTGTACAATTCTGTATGGTGGTCATCTATATACTTGGCTAATTCCCCATAGTAGTCTGAGAGCTCCTTGACAGCAAGCACTATGTTTTTGTTTTTACTGTTTTTTTTTGAGACAGGGTCTCACTGTGTCATCCAGGCTGGATGCAGTAGTGCAGTCTCGGTTCATTGCAACCTCCACCTCCGAGGTTAAAGTGATTCTCCCACCTCAGCCTCTCGAGTAGCTAGAATTACAGTCATGTGCCACCATGCCTGGTTAATTTTTGTATTCTTTAATTAGAGACAGGGTTTCACCATGATGGCCAAGCTGGTCTTGAACTCCTGACCTCAAGCGATCCGCCTTCCGTGGCTTCCCATAGTGTTAGGATTACAGGGGTGATCCATTGTATCATTCTTTCATTCTTTTTTTTTTTTTTTTGAGATGGAGTCTCGCCCTGTTGCCAGGCTGGAGTGCAGTGGCACAATCTTGGCTCACTGCAACCTGCACCTCCCGGGTTCCAGTGATTCTCCTGCCTCAGCCTCCCGAGTAGTTGGGACTACAGGCACACACCACCACGCCCGGCCAATTTTTGTGTTTTTTAGTAAAGACGGGTTTTCACCATATTGGCCAGGCTGGTCTTGGGTGTGATCTGCCCGCCTTGGCCTCCCAAAGTGCTGGGAGTACATGGGTGAGCCACCGCATCCGGCCCATTGTATCATTCTTATGCCTTTGACTCCTCATACCTTAGCTCCCACTTGTGAGTGAGAACATACGATGTTTGGTTTTGCATTTCTGAGTTACTTCACTTATAATAATGGTCTCCAATTCCACCCAGCTTGCTGCAAATGCCATTATTTTGTTCCTTTTTATGACTGAGTAGTATTTGGGCTGGTTTCATATTTTTGCAATTGCAAATTGTGCTGCTTTGAGGGTGTGTGCGAGTATCTTTTTCATAGAATGACTTCTTTTCCTCTGAGTAGATACCCAGGTTGCTGCATCAAATGGTAGATCTACTTTTAGTTCTTTAAGGAATCCCCACACGTTTTCCATAGTGGTTGTACTATCTTAAATTCCCATCAACAGTGTAAAAGTGTTCCCTTTTCACCACATCCACACCAACATCTATTTTTTTTTGATTTTTTGATTATGGCCATTTTGCAGGAGTGAGGTGGTATTGCATTGTGGTTTTGATTTACATTTCCCTGATAACTAGTGATGTAGAGCATTTTTTCATATGTTTGTTGGCCATTTGTATATCTTCTTTTGAGAATTGTCTATTCATGTCCTTAGCCCACTTTTTGATGGGATTGTTTTTTTTTCTTGCTGATTTGTTTGAGTTCCTTGTAGATTCTGGATATTAGTCATTTGTCATATTTACAGATTGTGAATTTTAGATCTATCCTGCTTTCTCTTGCGGGCATTTAGTGCTATAAATTTCTCTCTACACACTGCTTTAAATGTGTCCCAGAGATTCTGGTATGTTGTGTCTTTGTTCTTGTTGGTTTCAAAGAACATCTTTATTTCTGCCTTCATTTAGTTATGTACCCAGTAGTCATTCAGGAGCAGGTTGTTCAGTTTCCATGTAGTTGAGCAGTTTTGAGTGAGTTTCTTAATCCTGAGTTCTAGTTTGATTGCACTGTGGTCTGAGAGACAGTTTGTTATAATTTGTGTTCTTTTACATTTGCTGAGGAGTGCTTTACTTCCAACTATGTGGTCAATTTTGGAATAAGTGCGATGTGGTGCTGAGAAGAATGTATATTCTGTTGATTTGGGGTGGAGAGTTCTGTAGATGTCTATTAGGTCCACTTGGTGCAGAGCTGAGTTCAATTCCTGGGTATCCTTGTTAACTTTCTGTCTCGTTGATCTGTCTAATGTTGACAGTGGAGTGTTAAAGTCTCCCATTATTATTGTGTGGGAGTCTAAGTCTCTTTGTAGGTCTCTAAGGACTTGCTTTATGAATCTGGGTGCTCCTGTATTGGGTGCCTATATATTTAGGATAGATAGCTCTTCTTGTTGAATTGATCCCTTTACCATTATGTAATGTCCTTCTTTGTCTCTTTTGATCTTTGTTGGTTTAAAGTCTGTTTTATCCGAGACTAGGATTGCAATCCCTGCCTGTTTTTGTTTTCCATTTTCTTGGTAGATCTTCCTCCATCCCTTTATTTTGAGCCTATGTGTGTCTCTGCACGTGAGATGGGTCTCCTGAATACAGCACACTGATGGGCCTTGACTCTATCCAATTTGCCAGTCTGTGTCTTTTAATTGGAGCATTTAGCCCATTTACATTTAAGGTTAATACTGTTATGTGTGAATTTGATCCTGTCATTATGATGTTAGCTGGTGATTTTGCTCGTTAGTTGATGCAGTTTCTTCCTAGCCTTGACGGTCTTTACAATTTGGCAAGTTTTTGCAGCAGCTGGTACCGGTTGTTCCTTTCCATGTTTAGTGCTTCCTTCAGGAGCTCTTTTAGGGCAGGCCTGGTGGTGACAAAATCTCTCAGCATTTGCTTGTCTGTAAAGTATTTATTTCTCCTTCACTTATGAAGCTTAGTTTGGCTGGATATGTGATTCTGGGTTGGAAATTCTCTTCTTTAAGAATGTTGAATATTGGCCTCCACTCTCTCCTGGCTTGTAGAGTTTCTGCTGAGAGATCCACTGTTAGTCTGATGGGCTTCCCTTTGTGGGTAACCCGACCTTTCTGTCTGGCTGCCCTTAATATTTTTTCCTTCATTTCAACTTTGGTGAATCTGACAATGATGTGTTGTGGAGTTGCTCTTCTCGAGGAGTATCTTTGTGGCATTCTCTGTATTTCCTGAATTTGAATATTGGCCTGCCTTGCTAGGTTGGGGAAGTTCTCCTGGATAATATCCTGAAGAGTGTTTTCCAGCTTGGTTCCATTCTCCCCGTCACTTTCAGGTACACCTATCAGACGTAGATTTGGTCTTTTCACATAGTCCCATATTTCTTGGAGGCTTTGTTCGTGTCTTTTTATTCTTTTTTCTCTAAACTTCTCTTCTCGCTTCAATTCATTCATTTGATCTTCCATCACTGATACCCTTTCTTCCAGTTGATCGAATCAGCTACTGAAGCTTGTGCATTCATCATATAGTTCTCATGCCATGGTTTTCAGCTCCATTAGGCCATTTAAGTACTTCTCTACATTGGTTATTCCAGTTAGCCATTCATCTAATCTGTTTTCAAGGTTTTTAGCTTCTTTGTGATGGGTTCGAACTTCCTCCTTTAGCTCAGAGAAGTTTGATCATCTGAAGACTTCTTCTCTCAACTTGTCAAAGTCATTCTCCGTCTAGCTTTGTTCCATTGCTGGTGAGGAGCTGCGTTCCTTTGGAGGAGAGGCACTCTGATTTTCAGAATTTTCAGTTTTTCTGTGCTGTTTTTTCCCCATCTTCATGGTTTTATCTACCTTTGGTCTTTGATGATGGTGACGTACAGATGGGGTTTTGGATAGATTGTGAAGATTTTCTCCCAGTCTGTGGGTTGTCTGTTTACTCTGCTGATTATTTCTTTTGCTGTGCATAAGCTTTTTAAATTGTCTCGTCTATTTATCTTTGTTTTTGATGCATTTTCTTTTGGGTTCTTGGTCATTAAATCTTTGTCTAAGGCATTGTCTAGAAGGGTTTTTCCAATGTTCTGGAATTTTTTATGGTTTCAGGTCTTGAATTTAAGTCTTTGATCCATCTTTAGTTGATTTTTGTATAAGGTGAGAGAGAGGCGAGGATCCACTTTGATTCTTTTACATGTGGCTTGCCGATTATCCCAGCACCATTTGTTGAATAGGGTGTCCTTTCCCCACTTTATTTTGTTTGCTTTGTTGGAGATCAGTTGACTCTAAGTATTTGGCTTTATTTCTGGGTTCTCTGTGCTGTTCTGTTGGTCTATAGGCTTATTTTTTACGAGTTCCATGCTGTTTTGGTGACTATGGCTTTATAGTATAGTTTGAAGTCAAGAAATGTAATGCCTCCAGATTTGTTCTTTCTGTTTAGTCTTGCTTTAGCTATGTAGGCTCTTTTTTGGTTCCATATGAATTTTAGGATTGTTATTTTCCAGTTCTGTAAAGAATGATGGTGGTATTTTGATGGGAATTGCACTGAATTTGTAGATTGCTTTTGGCAGTGTGGTCATTTTCTTTCTTTCTTTTTTTTTTTTTGAGATGGAGTCTTGCTCTGTTGCCCAGGCTGGAGTGCAGTGGCATGATCTCAGCTCACCGCAAGCTCTGCCTCCCAGGTTCACACCATTCTCCTGCCTCAGCCTCCCAAGTAGCTGGGACTGTAGGCGCCTGCCACCACGCCTGGCTAATTTTTTGTATTTTTTTAGTAGAGACAGGGTTTCACCGTGTTAGCCAGGATGGTCTCGAGCTCCTGACCTCGTGATCCGCGCACCTTAGCCTCCCACAGTGCCTGGATTACAGGCGTGAGCCACTGCGCCCAGCCCCAGCAGTTTGGTCATTTTTATAATATCAATTCAACCCCTCCAAGAGCGTGGGATGTGTTTCTACTTGTTTGTGTTGTCTATGATTTATCTCAGCAGTGTTTTATAGTTTTCCTTGTAGAGATCTTTCACCTCCTTGGTTAAGCATATTCCTAAGTATTTTATCTCTTTTTTTTTTTTTGCGGCTATTGTAAAAGGGGTTGAGTTCTTGATTTGATTCTCAGCTTGGCTGCTGTTGGTGTATAGCAGGGCTGTTGATTTGCGTATGTTGATTTTGTATCCTGAAACTTTGCTGAATTCATTTACCAGTTCTAGGAGCTTTTTGGATGAGTCTTTAGGGTATACGATAATGTCCTTAGCAAACAGTGACAGTTTGATGTCCTCTTTACTGATTTGGATGCCCTTTATTTCTTTCTCTTGTCTGATTGCTCTGACTAGGACTTTCAGTACTATGTTAAATAGAAGTGATGAAAGTGGGCATCCTTGTCTTGTTCCAATTCTCAGGGGGAATGCTTTCAACTTTTCCTTATTCAGTATAATGTTGGCTGTGGGTTTGTCATAGATGGCTTTTTTACCTTAAGATATGTCCCTTCTATGCTGGTTTTGCTGAGGGTTTTAATCATAAAGGGATGCTGGATTCTGTCAAATGCTTAACAAAAACTATTTGTTTTAGAAGAATTTAAGTAGTAAAATTTCTTTTCTTATGGAATGATCCATTGGGTCCAATATTATTATTAATGTTACCAGTGATATCTAGGCTGCTAAACTCACAGGTAAATTATTTGATCTTCTAGCATCACTTGACAGGATTGATCATTCTTTCCTCCTTGATATACTTTCTTCAATTGGTGTCCTTACTCTCTTAGTTCACCTTCTATATTACTCTTTATTCCTTTTCAGTCTCCTTTGCTGTTTCTTTATTTTTTCCCCACAGTCTCATAATATTAGTGCCCATGAGCAGTCCTATGTCTTATTCTCATCTCTAGCTAGTCTCATGACCATGGAGGTCTCATCATTTAAATTCCATCCAAATGCTAATTACTCCTAAATGTATATCCTCTGCCCAGATGTCTCTCCCTTAAGGCCAACTTCTTGACACTTCTACTTTGATGGATTCACTTAGATCCCGAAGCTAACATGTCCAGAATTAAACTCCTAGTCTCCCCGCTCCCAAACTTGTTCACCTACTACCACCCAAACCAGCCCTCTTTGAATTGATGACAACTCCATCCTTCCAGTTGCTCAAGCTACTGGAACTATCTTTAACTCCTTTATTTTTTTTACACCCCACATCTAATCCATTAGGAAATCCTGCTTGTTCCCTTTTCATAATATCCAGAATCATACCATCTGTCATCATCTTCCCTGCTACCACCCTGGTATAAACTATCGTCAACTCTTACTAGGATTACCTTCCTAATGATCTGACTGTTTTCACTCTTGCCTTCCTATGACATAACTCTTAAAATACAAGTCAGATTGTGTCACTTCTCAACTCAGATTAAAAGCCAAAATATTTACAATACACCATAAACTGTGCAGTTTGCTTCCTTCTCCACTTTCTTACTCCCCTGATTTCACCTCCTATTTTTCTTTCTTTCATCACAACTGTCCAGGCACGCTGACCTTGCTGTTCTTTAAACACTCCAGACAAACACTGCCACCCTGGGGCCTCTGAACTGACTGGCCCCTCTGTCTAGAACACTCTTCTTCCAGATATAGCTAAGTCATCCAGGTCCTTTGTGTGGTTGCTCACATGCCACCTCCTTAATGAGGCCTCCCTGCCTGCCCTGTGCAACATTTCAAACCATCTGCTAGCCACTGGCTTGCCTATCTGACAGCCTCACTCTGGCACTCCTGCTTCCCTTTTCCTACTCTGCTTTTTTTCATACTGCTATTTTCGTCTTCTTACATACTATTTAATGTACTTATTTATTATGTTTATTGTTTAATATCTCTCTTTCTTTGCCCAGTCTGTGAAGGTAGGAATCTTTGTTTAATTTGTTGATATGCCCAAAGCAACTAGAATATCTCTGAGTATATAGTAAGCACAAAAACAAAGTTTTGTTAAATGAGTGAGTGAGTATCTGATTTTCCAGAAAAAAATAAAATTCACAATTTGTCTGAAGAATTTTATTAGACAAAAGTTTTATTTGAAAAATTTTGAGAAATTAAAAAACAAGTCAGTATTCCTTTTTTATCCCTTAATTGATGAATTAGGATCCATGAAAACACCATAACATTTACATAAAAAGTTAATAAATATAATTCAAATAACCTCTTCAGGGCAGTCTTTTTAATAAAACCAGCATTTCAGTAAAAATGGATTTTTTTCTATAATGATATGCAGCATAGTAGAATTTAATGCATATTTTAGATTTAAAAATAACCATGTAACAGTGTGTTGAGTGGGACCTTTTTATCTTGTTCCAGAATTGCAGCTAAAGCCTCAAGCTGAAGACAAAAGACTCTAAGTAACTAATTTTCTATATTTGGATTGCTATGAATAATCTACTAGCCACTGGGGCCAGAAATCTGCCTACAGAGACTGCCCTGGGGAACCATTCCTGAAGAACTGAGAACCTCCACCCCGATATGAGAATGAGTTTCGGCAAAGGGGGAGTGCAGTGTTCTTAATGAAAAACCACTCTCTCCTCTCCCAGTGCCTCTCTTCCCTCTTCAAATAACCACTTGTAATGAGTTTGGGGTACCTACAGATGGGGAGGGAGGGAGGAGTGGTCATTTCATTGCTTAGTTGGGTGTTTGCTTAGCTGCTGATTTGCTCATCTGCTCTTTTCTGCCTGAGCAGAGGTACAGGGAGTTGAGAACAATAGTGGGGCTATGGAGGGGTTAGTGTTCAACCTGTTTAATATGATCACTTCAAAGAGTAGCCAGGCTTGACCTATTTTATCTCTTGTCCTGTTCTAGAAGGCTGATAGTCAGGTAAAGGGACCTCAGCAGTTGTAGAAGGGGGATGGTGACTGCCTGGATTAGGGAAGTGTGCCAGGGGTTGGTCTCCCTGCAGGCGCCTCTGAAGCGCCCATGCAGTCACCCCATGGGGGAGTTAGCAGCTGTGTGTCTGCCACGTGGAGAGATATTGACAACCAGGGAGTGTCACAGAAGCAACAGCAAACAAGAAGAGGACTGTGACTGCATCCAGTTAAACCAGTCGATGTCCCTCCTTCCAGTTTTTAAGCCATGGGCTCCTAGAAGTAGTGAGGGGCAGGAGGCTTTTCTGAGTAAGAGCATGCTTCATTTTGAGAAGCTTATTCAAGCTGCTGAGGTTATGGGTTGAACTACAGGGAGAAAAGGGCTTCAAATTGATTTTGAGACAAGTCTTCAGAGTAACAAAACTAATAGTAGGATTGAGTCTTAATTATCTGGAGAAGGATAGAGTTCTAATAATTGGAAGCATCTAAAAAGTTACGGACTGGGACCAAGTTGTTTTTAAGCATCCCTAATATATCGGTGAGATATTGCTACATAATAAACCATTCCAAACGTAGTGACTTAAAACAACCATTTATTATTTCTCGGAAGTCTGCAAATTGACTGGACAGTTTTGCTGATCTGTGACAAGTTCAGCTGATGTGCACAGGGCTTGCTTATGCATGTGCTGTCAACTGAGGGTTGGCTGGGGGCTGGCCTAGGATGGCCTCAGTTGGGATGATTCTGCTTGGTTCCATGTTCTGGCAGGCCAGCCTGAGCTTGTTCTCATGGTGGTGGTAAGGGTCTGAAGAGAGAAAGTAGAAATACTCAAGTACTTTTTTAGACCTCTACTTGAGCTTTTCAAAGAGGCCACATTCAGAGTTATTGCGAGAAGGCAATACCAAAGGACATGGATATAGGGAGAGAAAAATTGAGGTCATTAATGAAATCAGTCTGCCACAATTACCAGGTACAAAAGGGGATTCCACATAGGAATGTTAAGGACAATTACTGGAAAAAATAAAACCATTTCATGTTTGTACTCTGAGGAGTAGAGGTCCCTTATAAACACCTTACAATTGATTTGTATCACTTAGGTTCCTAAAACAGAGATTACTTCTTTTATAGATGTATTCTTTCCAATGTATGAGTTTAACAGAAGTCATTTTTTTTAATAACCCTGGTTTTAAAATTCAGGGGTCATGCTGAATTCAAATATATATAATCTCCACAATAACTCAGTAGGTAATGTGTAAATTTGTTGTATCAGAAAAAAGATATAGATAAAATGTATGGAATTTGGTATTGAATAGTAGAAGAAACAAGGAAGGTTGCAAGTGGTTGCATCTGGATAGGCTGACCAGGGTATGTGGAGGGGTGAAAGAGGGGCTGCTGACTTTTATTATATAGTCATCCCTCAGTATCCCTGGGGGGATTGGATCCAGGACTACCTTCCCATACCAAAATCTGCAGATACTAAAGTCCCTGATATAAAATGGTTTAGTAGTTGCATATAACCCATGCACATCCTCCTGTATACTTTAAATCATCTCTAGATTACTTACAATACCTGATACAGTGTAAATGCTATGTAAATAATTGTTATACTGTATTGTTTAGGGAATAATGACAAGAAAAAAAGTCTGTACATGTTCAAAGCAGATGTAGTTTAAAAATATTTTATCAGCCGGGCGTGGTGGCTCAAACCTGTAATCCCAGCACTTTGGGAAGCTGGGGCGGGTGGATCATGAGGTCAGGAGTTTGAGACCAGCCTGGCCAACATGGTGAAACCCTGTCTCTACTAAAAATACAAAATTAGCTGGGCGTGGCTGGGCACAGTGGCTCACGCCTGTAATCCCAGCACTTTGGGAGGCCGAGGCGGGCGGATCACAAGGTCAAGAGATTGAGACCATCCTGGCCAACATGTTGAGACCCAGTCTCTATTAAAAATATAAAAATTAGCCAGGCGTGGTGGCGGGCACCTGTAGTCCCAGCTACTCAGGAGGCTGAGGCAGGAGAATCGCTTGAACTCAGGAGGCAGAGGTTGCAGTGAACCGAGATCACGCCATTACACTCCAGCCTGGGCGACAGAGTGAGACGCTGTCTCAAAAAAAAAAAAAAAAATTAGCTGGGCGTGGTGGCGCATGCCTGTAATCCCAGCTGCTCGGGAGGCTGAGGCAGGAGAATTACTTGAACCTGGGAGGTGGAGGTTGCAGTGAGCCGAGATTGCGCCACTGCACTCCAGCCTGGGTGACAGAGCAATACTCCGTCTCAAAAAAAAAAAAATTTTATCTGAGGTTGGTTGAATCCGTGGATGCAGAGCTTGCTGATACAGAAGACTGGATGTATATACGTATTTTAATGCATGTTTAGTTTTTAAAATATGTGGTGTATTACTTTGATTAAAATGAGTACTTTTTTTTTTTTTTTTGAGACGGAGTCTCGCTCTGTCACCCAGGCTAGAGTGCAGTGGCATGATTTCAGCTCACTGCAGCCTCCACCTCCCAGGTTCAAGCAATTCTCCTGCCTCAGCCTCCCGAGTAGCTGGGATTACAGGTACCCACAATGCCCGTCTAGTTTTTGTATTTTGAGTAGAGATGAAGTTTCACCATGTTGCCCAGGCTGGTCAGCTCCTGACATGAGGTGATCCTCCTGCCTCAGCATCCCAAAGTGCTGGGATTACAGGTGTGAATCACCATGCCCAGCCAGTACTCTTTTTTTTTTTTTTTTTTAAAGAGGAAAGTCCATTTTCAAAGCACCATTAACTGTGCTGTTATTTACATATATCTCATTTAATTTAACCCCACAATATCTCTGTGAGTTAGCCATTATTATTTCTACTTTAGACAGGCATATAGGCTTAGAGAAAGTAAATGATTTGTCCAGGTTACATAGTATTTATGTTCGAGGCAGGGTCAAGACTGGAACCAAGGTGTGTCTGCCTCCAAAGATTATTGTCTTAACTCCTAACCTATAGTTTAATATTTGAATATTCATTAACTAAGTTAGAAGCTGAAGTTTTATCTATTCCATACCACCATTATGTAGCCAACACAATGGATCTGGAATATGTATATATACACACACATAAAATATATATATATATATGTATGTATATATATTTATTTTTCTTCTCAATGCTCCCCCCCTGCCCCAGCAAACTTTAGTTGCCTCTTATCAATGTGTAGAATTGAAACAAGAAAGTAGCAATTGGGCAGATTCTTCCAGTGGGAATATGATGACTATCCAGCATGACTAAATTTGTTCTAAGGAAAAAAGAATACTTTTATTTAATACTTTGTGTATTATATTAGGCGCTTAGATTTGAGATACTAGATTATAGTAGCACATATATTTAGATTTTTTTAAGTTTGCTTGTATTTTTTAAAAACACATGTAATCATGAGTGTTTCAAGTTATCAATATCCAGCTGCATTATCCTACTTTAGGTGTTAAATTTGATACAGATTTATATAGTAATTGTCTTTAACAGATGCTGTAGATATTTATTGCAAAATGTCATTGAAAAGACAGATTTAATATATTAGTTTAGTACACATGGTGATTTAAAGTTTAGAATACATTAAATAAACTGTGTCAGAAATTATAAATAAACTAAAATGAGTAAAATTATTCTTAAATTGCTAGACAAGTCTTCACATTTAATGTTACATTAATGAGTTTTGTACAGAGACTGTTTGGAATAAAATCCTTTTTCATCAGATGTTGCACATATGCTTTCACTGTTTGTTTTTCTTCAAAGTAAAACTTAATGAAACAGCTAATAAAACCCAGTTTTGCTCCTGATTCTTGAAAGAAACAAGCCCTTGAAGTGCACCCGCTGTTTATTCTTTTGCACTGGTTTTTGCTACTTTTCAGCATGTAAATTTTCCAGTAATGGAAAACAGTCAAAGCCGTAAACCTTTTCTTCCAAGTCTTATAAACCCAGTGTTTATTTCTTATTTGTAGAGCGATTGCACAATGGAGACATGCTTTGCACACATACAGAGAAGTTTGGTCTCAGATCTTCATGTGCACCTCCTGCTGACTTCACCAGGGTGTAGTGCATGTGCATTTAAATGGCTGTTTATTATGTAAATGACCAAGAACCAGAATAGGGGTTTTAACTAACCTAAAAAACTGAGAGGTTTCAAAGTAAAAGACATATATGAGACTGCAGCCCTATTACTCTCATAAACCTCAAAGTGTGTTAGACTGGTGAGTAGTTTATGAAAAAGGATCAGCTTCTATGCATTAGAAGTGTATAGATGGCAGATGTGTATGTATCCCAAGTGGCTCTTTCACTAACCATAGAGTATACTATTCTGTCTTCCAGCTTCTTTCCGAGATGGATTGTTCGACTCTCTTGACAGGGTAGAGGTAGATATTTGGGTTGGGATGAGAGACTGTATTCTAAGGCAGCATTACTCAAAGCGTGGCCTACACTGGTAACAGTGCAAGGACATCAGTACAGAAATGGAAAATTAGTGACTAAAAACTTTTAAGCAGTTTGACAGAGTAATTTCTATGTCTGTTTAATAAAAGAATTGAGGCTTGTAATTTGTATGTTTTGGATTTTTTAATTTCATTTTTTTCTAGTAATTCAGTTTTAGTGTTTTTCACAAAAATATGTCTATGACAGATTGGAAATAAAATCCTGATCTTTCACCACAGATGGTTTGAAAAGCATTTGGTCTAGGATAAGATTTTCAAATGTTGATTTTTGTCCCTTTGCCCTATAACATAACATTATGTATTGAAGTTTGACTAAAGAAAAAAGGCCATGATTTATAATTCCAGTACCCTGAGAAAACAGCCTGATGACCCTGAATGGTTAATAAGCTAAGGGCTGGGTGGCAGAACCTCAAGTAGAGATATTCTGTGTTTTCTGTTAAGGGCAGGTCCATATGCTGTAGTGACCACTGAGTGGAGTTGGTGTTGACATTCTCGTATGAAAATTAGCAAGTCTAAGCAGGATTTATGTCTGAAGGAGGTGAGCTGTTGCCAAATTGAGATTTTAAAAACTGGGACAGGTTTTTAGGTGGAGGAAAGGAAAGAACAGAGAAAATTGAGTTGTGTACTTTTTGAAAGGTAATGTAAGATAGTCAGGAACTTTGGACTGCCATGGGGCATTATGTGGGTCTTGACAAAAAGTGAAGATAGGAATGGGAAAGCATGAATGACAAGTTTCATTTACTTCTCAGTTTTACCTCGGATAGCTTAGTGCTACTAAAAATCATGAGGCATGCCTTTTTGCTATGTATTTTATTCATTGCTGATACCCGGACAAGCAATCATAATATAAAGCTGAGATTAATGTGTTATATAACATAGGGTCATAAAAATGTACATAAGTCATAGAAATAGAGGTTTAGAGTTAGAAGGTCATATAATTCACCTTGTTCCAGATATTGCTTCTGTTAAGGCTGCTTATGATGCATTAGCTTTTTTGTAGCTACTCTATGGGTTCTGCTTATGAGGGTGGGGTGTGCTAGAAGGGAAATGTCCTTCAGTATAGCATTCAAGAAACAGAGGTCCCAATCCATGGTTGAACTAGGATGAGATTTACCCAGATGATTGTCTAAGAATGTGCTGAGCCTGGGGGAGATAGGAGGCTGATAAGGGAGAAAGCTGAAAGTTGGGGATGAGATCAGAGCTTCTTAATTACTGTGCCGTGACATGTTACTGTGCCACAAATAGGCTATAGGTGGACTCAGTATGCCGGTAGTCATAATTAACAGTGTTTTGTACAGAAACTTATAGCAGTTGAAATATTTGAGTAGTATTTGAAGGACTTCCTATGTAAACACCCTAGATTCACTAATTATTTTGGACTAAAAAGCTTTAGGTGTAGCACCTGTGCCCTGAAAATTCTCTGTAGTAGCAGTACCAGGTATTACCTGCCCCTGACCTTGAACTTTGAATCATCCCAGTACATTTGATTACACATTTCTGATAAACTTGTCATCATCAGTAATTTTATTTTTTAAGATTATGGTAAAATATATATAACTTAAAACTCACCATTGTAACCACTTAAAATTTAAAGAAAAATTTTAATTTTGGTAAAAAACATGACAACTCACTGTCTTAACAATTTTTAAATGTATACAGCTCAGTGGCATTAAGTACATTCACATTGCTATGTAACCATCAGCACCATCCTTTTCCAGAACTTTCCATTTTCCCCACTGAAACTTTGTACCTATGAAACAACTACTCCTCATTCCCATTTCCTCCAGCCCCTGGCAACCACCATTCTACTTTATGTCTCTGTGAATTTGACTACTTTCGGTAACTCATATAAATGGATTCATATATTTGTCCTTTTGTGACTGGCTTGTTTCACTTAGCATAATGCCTTCAGGGTTCATTCATGTTGCAGCGTGTATCAGAATTTCCTTCTTTTTTAAGATCGAATAATATTGTATATACGTGCCGCATTTTGTTTATCCATTCTTCTGTTAATGGATATTGGGGTTGCTTTCATCTTTTAAAATTTTGTTTTTTAATGCATGTACAATATTTGTATTTTATTTCTATTTTGTTTCCTATTATTATTTTATAGTTTTGCTGACTTAGAACATATGTATAATTATTTTTATTGCTTTTATTACCACTTTCTGATACTAGGTGTTGCTAAGTAAAACATTGATTTTGTTACTTCTTGACTGACTTAGTTTTTGCCTTTGGTGTTAATAATTAGCCAAAGTTACATTCTTGATAGAATTTCATAATGGTTTATTATTTGTTTTTGGGAATTAAAAAATACTTTTATTTCTAAAAATCATGTAATAATTCAATGAAATTTAATTAAGCTGATTCATTAAAAGGCCTTTTACGTTAGAAAATAAATTTACTGGTGCTGGGTGCGGTAGCTCACGCCTGTAGTCCCAGCACTTTGGGAGGCCAAGGTGGGTGGATCATGAGGTCAGGAGTTCGAGACCACCCTGGCCAAGATGGTGAAACCCTGTCCCTACTAAAAATACAAAAATTAGCCGAGCATGGTGGTGGGTACCTGTAATTCCAGCTACTCGAGAGGCTGAGGCAGGAGAATCGCTTGAACCCAGGAGGCGGAGTTTGCAGTGAGCCGAGATCACACCACTGCACTCTAGCCTGGGCAACAGAGCAAGACTCCATCTCAGAAAAATGAATAAATAAAATAAATAAATAAATAAATAAATAAATAAATAAATTTATTGGCAGGGCATGGTGGTTCATGCATGTAATCCCAGCACTGTGGGAGGTCAAGGTGGGAGGATCACTTGAGCCCAGGAATTTCAGACCAGCCTGGGCAACGTAGTGTGACCTCTTCTCTACAAAAAAATTAAAAATTACCTGAGCATGGTGGTGCATGCCTGTAGCCCTAGTTACTCAAAAGGCTGAGGTGGGAGGATGGCTTGAGCTTAGGATGTTGAGGCTGTGGTAAGCTATGATTGCGCCGCTGCACTCTAGCTGGGGTGACAGAGTGAGACCCTGTCTCAAAAAAAAGAGAAAATCAATTAATCAAAATATTTTAAATCACACATGAGTATATGTATTGTACATATTTTTGAATATTTCAAAGTTTTAATTTTTGAAGTAAACAGATATAAATGATTACTTTTATGAATTTTGATGAAGTTTGTTTTAAAAACATTTTAATGAATGCAGAAAGTTCCCTAACTCTATAAATAGATTTTATGTAGTTGAAAAAGCCTATAGTCCCCATTAGTTCCTTACACTTAAAAAATACTTATTTTTTTACAGATATTGTTCTTACTTTTCAATCTTATTGAATAACTTTTCATTAAAGCTACAAAGCCAGCATATTCACAAAACAAACACAGTATCAAAAAAGTTAGTCACTAGTTAGGTAATGAAATGACAATCGTCTCAAATTTGGATGTATGTGCTCAGTAGCTCTTTTTTTTTCCTCAGCCTAAATGCCTTACTGGCAAGGAAAAGTTACGAGTTGAAGACAAGGTGCCAAGCAAACTGCACTGGCACCTCACTACAAAAACTCAGCAGGAAAAGATTTGAACATTTTAAGGTTCTGCAAAGCAACAAGAAAAACCAAAGCTCTTTTTGAGATTGGTTCCAACAATGTTAGATTAAGCTAAATAAACCAGTTACAAGGTCACACCATTAAAAGCTAAAGCCAAACTGTCTCAAACAAGGATAGAAGCCCTCATTTTACCACCTAGTGTGAAAATTGTTTGAGGCCAATAAAGAAAAGGAAGAAGTGGTACTCTCAATACTAGTGAATGTATTGACGTTATATTGGATGGGATAAAGATAGCATTAATCCAGATTATTATCAAATGAGTCAGGTTTTATTTCAGATTGATGAATCTATACACATTAGAAAATGCTGAATTGCTGTATGAGTTATGATTCCTAAAGAGAAATTCTTGGAAAAATATCAGTTCTTTGTAAAGAAGTACCAAAACAAATTACTGGGGATGAAATATTGAAGGTGGTAAATTCATACTTTGAAACAAATAAAGTATGGAACCAGGCTTGAGTTTGTACACTGATGGGTGACTGCAAAAAAAGGCATAATGGCTTCACATCAAGGGTATTGTGAAGACATTGAATAGGATTCAAATAATTCAATGTTTTATTGACAGAGAAACTCTTGTGTAATATACTTTTCCTGTGTAAGAGTTCCACACTCTGATGTGTCTAAATGGAGAATCTACTGCAACTGAGGCTGCTTCACTTATGTCTGTTTTCAGTTTTATGTATACAACTTTGCACTGTTTCATACTAAAGTGCAGTAGATGTCCGAGGAAAAGTTTTGTCAAAAGTTTGGGAACTAGAAGGAGAACTGGAACTTTTTTGGTAGACAGTTCTTACTTTGAGTATTTGTTGAAAGGTAGTTCTTGGCTTGAAAATTAGTTTAATTAGATGAATAAATAAACCTAATAGAAAATCACCAGGACCTTTCAATAATATATTCATATGTATTGATAAAGTTTATGGATTCAGAAATTAAGGCAAACATTTGATCTTGGAAATGTGAGGTTAAAAATGATACAATTGTGGTTAGGCTGTGTCACTGAATAGAAAAGAATAATTATTAAGACAAGTAGAGCAACATTTGTATACGTAAGGAAGAGATACATTATTGGTTTGAAATGTATGATTTCAATTGTATTCACAATTTATTCATATTGTCATAAGAAATTTTCAAATCACATTTGTCCATGAAAATAAAGGAAGATCTATTTGATTTACTGAATGATGGCACTTGTAGAGTACAATTTAAGTTTGAATTATCCAAATTCTGGTTAATGATGAGAAAGGCATTTCCATCATTTGGAGAAAAGTGATAAATATTCTCTACAGAGACAGAAAGTAGATTAGTGGTTGCCTAGAGCTGAGATAGGAATGGGGATTGAATGTAATAATTATACAATATAAAGAAAATGTATTTAAGGTTTTATACAAAGTTTCATATAAACACCACAAAATCCCCTCCAGTTTACCCTATTATTCAAATATGAATTTCTATGTATGTCATGATGGGAAAAGGGTTAGAAAACATTGGACTGAATCATATGACAACCAGAAGGCTGAGTCAAGAATGTCAATTATGACAGGTCCCAAATTCAGCAGCTTAAGAAAATTCAGAGAATGGAATAAAAAACAAGGACTGGGAGAGTATAACTTGTCTGTGTCTTATGACTTACTGATGTGGGGGATAAGGGTCAGCAGTAGTGGCATGATGGGTAGATGTTGCAGCATGACGAACCAGACTAAGCTGGACTAAGCCAATAGCTGTTCAGATGGCTTCTGAATTATGTGGAAGAATAAAGGCCTGGAAGGAGAAATAAATTATACTAACATTTTATATCTCACTCATGGGTATAGATCAAAGTAAGTTAACTCTTGGAACCTATTTTTTGTGAAAAAATACTCACTAGCAATTACTTTGTACTAGGATCTATTTGCCTATATTCTCTGAGCTTATCTTCACCTTGGTTAGTAATAGTACCAATTATAATTCACATTGGTTAGTAATAGTACCAATTTATAGATGAGGAAACTAAGGTCACATGTATTGGTGGCAGAGTTGGATATCAACTCAGGCAGTTTGTCCTTAGAGTCTGTGAAGTCTGTAGTGACACTAACCACCAGTCTCCTTCTAAATTCCCACCACTGGTCTCAAGGCAGGCTGTTCTTATGGCCTGAGGCTTCTTCTGTGTAGGATGTGGCCTACAATGGATGCTACATACAGTAGGGCCTCTTCACGGACTGTGACTTGGGTGTTTCTGGGCTTCATCGCAGTTGTTTGTGGGAAAGCTGAAGAATATGGTCTGATCTTAAAATGTTCTGGGAGAATATTTAGTCTGCAGCAGCCCATCATCTATGTAGCTGTGCTTAAGAATATGGTAGCCACTAGCCACATGTGGTTATTCAAACTGAAATTTAAATTAAGTAAAATAAAATAAAATAAAAAATTTTGCTCCCTAGTTGGATTAGCCACATTTCAAGTGGCTACTACCTACATTTTGGACAGCACAAAGAACAGTTCTATCATTGCAAATGATTTTATTGAACAATAACATTCTTACTTGTCCGCTTCTCCATGTCTGCCACATCAAAAGTGGGAACTCATTTCCTAGTAACTTCTTACTCCTCAGTTTTGCTAACTTCTCATTGGCCCCACTGATTCTGTCTTTCCTCATATGGCAAAAGATAGTGATACCAGAAAATAATATATTATTTTGGTGATCATTAGTTGCTGGTTCATACAAGATTTCCTTTCTTAAAACAGTTCTGCAGTACTATTGACCTTGCTCTCCTTACCTTTTCCTGCAAGTATAACAATTACCAACTAAATTCTATATAATCCCTACGTGACAGCCTGTCACATTTGGGCTCTTGTTGAACTTGATAGCATCTGTAGCTCTTGTGTCTTAAAATTGTGTGTTACTGTTAAGCAAGAGCTCCTGTTTTTGTGTAGTTGGATATTTTTTAGCCTACATTTAGGTTTTTATTTTTATTCATGATAGGTATCATCTCATTTTTGCTTGTGACTTTTTAAAAAATTAAATCTTAAATTGTTTACCTCACAATCATTATTATTATTATTATCATCATCGTTTTATACCCAGCTTTGATAAACAACATTCCTTTGTAGGTTGGTCAAAACTAACTTCTTATTTTATTTTTATTTTTTGAGAGAATTACCAGATGGGCAGCATGCTATAGAAGTGGTGAGTTTGATCTCAACCAAATCATTTAGAATGCTTTCAGAGGTGGGCAGTCATGTGAGTAAGGACTCCAGAAATCATATCAAATTTGAAGAACCTGACAATATTGAATGTGGAGAAAAATAGACTATTTTAGATATTCGAAGGACTGTGTTGAATGAGCAGTGTTGATCAGAAGGAAAATTTATTATATTGGGAGCAAATTTATCAAGGTTAATTATAAAAAAAAATGTGTTGCTAGTGTATCCAGAGCAACACACATAGGTTATCAAGACCTTGGAGCAACACCAGATAAGAAGGGTAACTGTAGGATGTTTCCATTCTTGGGGCCACAGAGGTGAAGTGAGCCAAAAAAACACAGTGGGAATTAAACAAAGTAGGGTTAAGTTTTCATTAAAGGCTGTGCCTGCATTCACCACTCCTGGTTGCCCTGGCAACGGGGCTCCCTTGCATGCTAATGACATTATAATGTGAAAAAACACATGCAAATGCAGTAAATAGTAATTAGAGTCAGAGGCATACATGGAGTAGTGAGCTCCACCTTGGGAAGGTCTGCGAAGAGCTGGTGATGGATTTGTACTGAAGACAAAGAAAGAGGTGGTAAAAGAAGGGCTTTGAGTTACACATAAAAGGGTTAAGTTGAGTCTGCATAAAGCACACTCTTGCATTTGTGTCCTGCTGATGATACCTGTTGTTTCTCCAGCAGAATGTAGTCAGTCAGAAGTCATGCTACTTGTACCTCCAAATTGTGCTAACTATTCTACCTGTTGGCAACACTGTATGGAAAGAATCTGAGCTGTATTTTGGCTTAGATTTGGAGCAACTATAGCAGCCTGCTGCTTGGAATGCTCTCTTTGCCTACGCTGGCAGGGCTGGGCCTGCCCAGACAAGGTAGTGGGACCAGAGTATGTAGCCAAAAGTCTGTCTTGGTGAAGAAAGAGAAGACTTAATTCTATGTTGCTTCAGATGAGACAAGTAGGACCAATGAGAGACTCTGGTTAGTATAAGGTGTAACTGACAAATATATGCTGTTTGCCCCTGGAAACGTGTAAGGAGATGATGGTTGACTGCCTGTCTCAGGTGTGATAGATATGGTTTTTGATTTGCCTGAATGGTTAGACTCAGAGTTTATATATCTGTGCTCAGTTTCATTCTTCCCTTTCTTTCATTTTATTCAGGCTCTTTTCTGTCTTTTCTATTTTTATTGTTATATATCTGTGTGTTTTTCTTGAAATTGCTAGAAAATGTTATATTGCCTGCTTCACAATATTCCAATTCTTTGATTGATCTTTTTGGTGTCAGTTGAACTATAGGTCATTGACTAAAAATTGCCATGAATAGCCATTCAAATCCATAAACTTTTACTGTTCTTTTTCCTCTCTCAATTAAAAAAAGGTTAAAAATTTCATAAGGAAAGCACATATGCTTTTACAAAAATTTGCATTCATATATTATTAAAAATTCAAGCAATATAGAAATATATATGATAAACTGTTTAAGTATCTTTCTGTCACCTTTCACCCTGTCTGCTAACTCCCAATCTCAAACTCCTCCTCAGAGATTACCAGTGTTAACAGTTTGGGATTTGACTTCAAAACTTCTTCCTATGCCTTTATATATATTGTTATTATATATTATAATATATACTATTAAGACATTATTAATGGCTAATACTTATTTAGTGATTGCTATGTGCCAGACATTGTTCACACCTTTTTAATATATTAATTCATCTAATCCCTTTGAGGGATTTTGAGAAAGGAAGGCCAAGAGGAGTTTAGAAACTTGTCCAAAGTGGCACGCGAAATTTATATGCCAGGAAATCTGTTTGGGATGGAGCTCATGCATTTTCTAACCATACTATCCTGCCTGCTTTAGTGGTAACATATACATATAGAATGATCATTCTTCAAGTAGCCTTTTTTCATTTAATATTTAAGAAGTCATTCTATATCAGCAACTTTCTTCTACCAGCTTTTTAAAATTGTTGTATTTTATTCTCTTGTTCAGATGCACCATAATATAAACATTCCCTTATTGATGGGCATTTAATTTGCTATTACAAAAGATAATTTAATAAATATCAATGCAATACAATTTTTATATGTACATATATATTTCTAGGGGAGTAGACGGTTCAAAATAGAATTGCTGAATGATAGTTTACATTTTGATAGATAATGCAAAATTGGCACAATTATTGCTCCTTTCTTCTTCTTCTTTTTTTTTTTTTTTGAGTCAGAGTTTTGCTCTTATTGCCCAAGCTGGAGTGCAGTGGCACGATCTCGGTTCACTGCAACCTCCACCTTCTGGGTTCAAGTGATTCTCCTGCCTCAGCCTCCTGAGTAGCTGGGATTACAGGTGCACACCACCACACCTGGCTATATTGCTCCCTTCTTGAAGCACCCTTCGCTTGGCATCTGGGATGCTGCCCTCTTGGTTTTCCGCCTGCCCCAGTGACTGTCCCTTTTTGGCTTCCTCTGCTGGTTCTCTTCATCTTCCAACAACTAGACATTGGAGTGCATCACTGCTCAATTTTTGAACTTCTCTTCTCCAATTAGACTCACCTTGTAGATCTTATTCAGTTACTTGGCTGTAAATACTATACAAACACACACACACACACACACACACACACACATATGTGTGTATATATACGTGTATGTTTGTACTATATGTGTATAGATACACATATGTATATATCTGTACTATATGTATATCTATACATAGGTATAGATGTACTATATATGTGTATCTATAAACATATTTATAGATGTATATATGTACTATGTATATATACTATATGTGTATATGTATGTGTACTATGTATATGTATATATACATATATAGTATATATACATACATGTATATAGTATATATGTATATATGTACTATATATATACATATATAAAATATACACTATATATATTGTGTGTATATATGTGTATATTGTATGTGTATATATATATCATATCATGATAGGCACTGGCATTTTAGTGCCTATCATGAACTTCAGGCTTTTGTATCCAACAACCAAATTGACATTCCATTTGAATGTCTGCCAGTCATCACAAATTTAACTCATTTTTACTACCCAGCCCCCAACCTGTATCTTCCACATACTTCCCTATGTCAGTAATCATTAGCTTCCAATTGCTCAAGACAAAAACCCAGTGTTACCCTGGACCACTCTTTTTCTCTTACATTCCATGTTTGATCCATTAGCAAATCCTAATAACTCTATCTTCCACATATATTCATACTCGACCACTTTTAACACCTTCATTGTACCACCTTAGCGCAGGCTGTCATCTTTTTTCACCTGGCTTCCTAATTAATGCCCTCTTAGAATCTGGTCTCTAAACAATAGCTAGAGTTATCCTTTTAAAATGTGAGTTCAGTCATATAACTCTTTTACTAAAAACCTTCCGGTGACTTCCTATTTAGTCTGAGTGAAAATCAAAGCTTTAACCATGGCTTCCAAGGCCTTCAGTGGTTCCTCTCGTCTTTCTTCTCTAATCTTTGTCTTCTATCATTCTCCCACTCCTTTATTCTGCTCCAGCCATCCTAATATCCCTGCTGTTTCTGTGGCGCCTCGGCCCTTCCTGTTCCCACTATCTGTTGTGTTCTTCCCCTAGATAGCTTTATGACTTGCCCCCTTACTTTCTTCATATCTGTGCTCAAATGGCACCTTATCAGTGAGATCACACCTGCCCACCCTACGTAAAATAGCATCTTCTCAACACTATCATTTTTAATCTTTCTTACTCGGATTTATTCATTTATTTGTTTATCTATTATTATTATTTTTTTATCTGAGATGGAGTCTCTCTCTGTCACTTAGGCTGGAGTGCAATGGTGTGACCTCGGCTCACTCAGCCTCCCAGGTTCAAGCGATACCCCTGCTTCAGCCTCCTGAGTAGCTGAGATTACAGGCATCTGCCACCATGCCTGACCAATTTTTGCATTTTTAGTAGAGACAGGGTTTCACCATGTTGGCCAGGGTGGTCTCAAACTCCTGACCTCAGGTAATCCGCCTGCCTCAGCCTCCCAAAGCGCTGGGATTACAGGCATGAGCTGCTGCACCTGGCCAATTTATTTAGTTTTATTGCACTTAAAACCACTTGTTCTACATATTTAGTTGTTTGTTGTTTATCTTCTTCATCCTGCACTCTACCCTGCCCTCCAGAATGTAAGCTCCATGAAGGCAAGAACTTGTCTGTTTTGTTCACTGCTGTATTCTTAGGACCTAGCACAGCACATTGCATGAAGTAAGTGCTCAATAATATTTATTGAATGAGTGAATGAACGAGTGAGAAATTGGAGAGCATTTCCCTCCAAACAGACTGTACTAATTTATACTCCTATCAAAAATAAATGAATATGCTCATTTTTCTCATATGCTCTATAAAATTGGATATTGCTGATTTCTAAATTTTTTTATTCTAAAAGATGAAAAGTTACATATTTTTAGATTTGCATTTTCCTTATTAATACTAATGTTGAGCATATTTTTATATGCGTATTGGTCATTGGTATTTCTTTTAGGCATTTATTGTTTATGTCCTTTGTTTTATTGTGAGTTTATTTTTAAATATTGATTTGTAAAAATAACATATATGATTATATATTATATAATAATATAAAAATATATAATCCTATATAATAATATATAAAAGAGTAAAATATATTATTATAGTATTCTTCATTTTCTATAGGTATTGCAAATATTTTCCCCAGTCTGTCACTTTTCTTTTAACATTGTTAACAGTATCATTTGTCATATAGAAGTTTTTAAGTTTTAATAAATCTTCCAGTCTTTTGCTCAGTGGCTTTGGGTTGGTGTTTTGCTCAGGAAATCTTTTACAACTTCAAAATTGGAAAATATTCTTTTGTATTTTCCCCTACACCTTTATAATTTTAATTTTTGTATTTAGGGTTTCAACCCACTTGGAACTTATTTTGGGGGGTTTTGTGATGTGGTAGTGTAGCTTATTTATTTTATTTAATGGTGAGCCAAATGACTTCATACTGATTACTGACCCATCTGTTTGTTCATCTCTGACCCCAAATCCCCAATTTATCATATATTAACTTCTAACATATATGGCCCTGTTTTCTAGAGTCTGTTTTCTAATTTCCTGATCTGTTTTCTTCTCTGTCACAATAACATGTTTTAATTTTTATGAATGAGTCAGGCACAGTGGCGCATGCATGTAATCCTAGAACTTTGGGAGGCTGAGGCGGGCAGATCACCTGATGTCAGGAGTTCGAGATTAGCCTGGCCAACATGATGAAACCCCATCTCTACTAAAAATACAAAAATTAGCCGGGCATAGTGGCAGGCACCTGTAATCCCAGCTACTCGGGAGGCTGAGGCAGGAGAATTGCTTGAACCCAGGAGGCGGAGGTTGCAGTGAGCTGAGATTGTGCCATTGCACTCTGGCCTGGGTGACAAGAGTCAGACTCCATTTCAAAAAAGAAATTTTTTTTTACAAATGCACTTTAGTTGATTTTTATATCTGTTAATTCTACATTTTTAAATTGTCTTTACTCCTGTGCATTTTCTTTTTCAGATACATTTTAGAATTACTTTACAAGTTTTATAAAAAACTTGTTGGGATTTTTTCCGTATTCTACAGTAAAGTTGTGCAGTTTTCTTGATATTAGGTATTTTCCTGGATATTTGACATATAACTCTCTTAATTATTCTATTAATTTTTCAATTGAAGGCCAGGTGTGGTGGCTCACATCTGTAATCCCAGCACTATGGAAGGCAGAGGCCGGCACATCACACGGTCAAGAGATCGAGACCATCCTGGCCAACATGGTGAAACCCCGTCTGTACTAAAAATACAAAAATTAGCTGGGCGTGGTGGTGTGTGCCTGTAATTCCAGCTGCTTGGGAGGCTGAGGCGGGAGAATCACTTGAACCAGGGAGTCGGAGGTTCCAGTGAGCCGAGATCATGTCACTGCACTCCAGCCTGGCAACAGAATGAGACTCTGTCTCAAAAAAAAAAAAAAAAAAAAAAAAAATTCAGTTGAGTCCCTTAGATTATTTAGGTGAATAAATCATCTGCAGTTTTATCACTTTTTGTAATAAGATCTCATTTACTTTTTTTTTTTTTTTTTTTTTTTTTTTTTTTGAGACGGAGTCTCGCTCTGTCGCCCAGGCTGGAGTGCAGTGGCGGGATCTCGGCTCACTGCAAGCTCCGCCTCCCGGGTTCACGCCATTCTCCTGCCTCAGCCTCCCAAGTAGCTGGGACTACAGGCGCCCGCCACTACGCCCGGCTAATTTTTTGTATTTTTAGTAGAGACGGGGTTTCACCGTTTTAGCCGGGATGGTCTCGATCTCCTGACCTCGTGATCCGCCCGCCTCGGCCTCCCAAAGTGCTGGGATTACAGGCGTGAGCCACCGCGCCCGGCCCCATTTACTTTTTATGTCTAATGTTGAACTGTAGTCATGATAGTGAGCATTCTTCTATTTTTCTTTGCTTTAATGGAAATGTTTATAATATTTAATCATTAAGTATGTATTTTTATTAGATTCTTTTCATCAGATTAAGAGAAATGTCTTATAGGTTTTTTCAGAGCTTCAAAAATTTGAGATTGAGTGTTGAATTCTATTCAAAGTTTTAACATCTATCAGTGTAATTATATGGACTTTTTCTTTTAATTCATTAATGTAGTGATTACATTGACAGATTTTCTAATGTTGAACCATCCTTGCATTTCTATTGTAACTCTTTCTTGATAATGAATGCATTATTCATTTGTGGATTCAACTTGATATTATCTCATTTAAGATTTTTTCTGCTACATTTCTCTTATTTTTAAATATAGTTTTTATTTTTCTTTCTTTTTAGTCTTTATTTAGTAAGATTGCTTTTGATTGCCAAAGCAATAGATTCTGGCTAACCTAAGTAACAACAGTGATGTATTTTCAAGATAAAGATTGTCTTAGCCTGAGTTTCCTCTAGAGCCTGAGATAAAGGTTAGTGTGATGATATTTATTTTGGAAAATAATTTCATGAGCCAAGAATACAAGACAGGGAGAGTAAAGCAGAGGAGGAAGAGTCACTTATAAATATGTGTTATTGAGTCCCTACTGGTGCCTGGTTCTTAATTCTTCTAGAATCTTCTGAGGAGACTCATGAAATAAGGCAGTCCATTCATGAGATGAAAGGGAGAGAGCATTTATCCATTGGTTTCCTTTGCTTATAGATCAAAGGTGGCCCCATAGTGTTTACTACCTGCAGTTCCAGATTATGCACATGTACTGTATGAGTGCGGAGTTAAGTGTGGAATTCCACAGCCAGAATGGCAGGGTCACAGTGTGAGGGTTGACCAGTTGCACATGTGTGAAGCTGGTTAAAGCCTCCATGGAATGGTAGTGGGAGCTGTGGCTAGAGTAAAAGGTAGAATTGAAAGGTTTTGGAATGGTGCTCAAGAGGTGTCCAATACACTGGGATTCTTCACACTCTTGATATGCGCTCCCCTGGCCAGTTCTCTCTTTCTAAGCTCTTCCGAGCAGAAGCTATATTCTAACATTGTAGCAAGCTTTTGTTGTTGCTCCCATACTGTCTCTCAAAGTTGTGAGAGCCTAGGTCCTTCACAAAAAGCTTTCTAATGTCTTAAGTAGAGCCTAATGTCATGTTAAAATATGTTTGACTGGATTTTTAGCTTTTTATTTCAATTATGATGTACTCTCTTCCTATATAAGTGATATTGTTTAATTAATTAATTTAGACTGAATCTTGCTCTGTCGCCCAGGCTGGAGTGCTGTGGCATGATCATAGCTCACTGTAACCTCAGACTCTTGGGCTTAAGTGATCCTCCTACCTCAGCCTCGTGAGTAGCTGGGACTATGGCATGTGCCACTATGCCTGGCTGATTTTTAAATTTTTTGTAGAGATGGAGTCTCACTATTTGCCCAGGCTTGTCTTGAACTCCTGGCCTCAAGCAGTCCTCCCACCTTGGCCTCCCAAAGTGCTAGGATTACAGGCATGAGCCACCGTGCCTGGCCCCCTTTTAGTTCCCAGGAAACAAACACCCTTCAAGCTTTGGGAAAAAGTTAGTCATACTCAGAAAAGGGGACATTTATTTCTTTGTATTTAGGGATAGAATGTTACATAGATTAGCAATATCATTCATTCCATGAGTCACTTTATTTCTGCTTTGTCATAAAAATAGGAGAGAAGCAGGGAATTAAGAAGAGAGAAGTTGGAAATATTGATAAGATTTTTTTTCTCTGATAAACTATAAGCAAAATTCATTCAAAATGGATTAAAGTTTAATCCATTTATACAGATTTATTATACATTTCAGAAATACTATAAGAAAATAGAAATGAATATTATTGTCTTTGAAGAAGATTTTCTTAAACTTTGAAATGAAATGGTAAAAATCACTTAAAATGTAGCATACAATTACGGTTGTAATCAAACTGTAATAAAAATTAAAGGGGAAATACGCATTAGGAAATACTTGTTAAAAAGTATGCAAGATAAAGATTAGTGTCTTGATTCTATAGAAACTTAAATATATTAGTAAAAAACATTAACACCCAAGTGTATTGCAAAGCAGATAATTCACAGAAGAAAGTATGCAATTCATGTTTCAGCTATGTCTTGCTTTGTAACAAACTATCCCAAAACTAGCCTCATGAAACAACAATTAAATTAGTTATATCTCATGATTTTTTTGGTCAGGACTTCAGCCAGGGCTTTGCTGGGCAATTCTTCTGCTTTATGTAGTGTTACCTGGGATCACTTGGTAGTGTTCACTTGGCAGCTGGGCTGGTTTGGAGGGCCTAAGATGGCTTCACTAACATGCCTGGTGCTTGACAGGACAACTGTTAAGGGTATACTGGGATCTTATGGGGTCGTGGGGCCTGTTTATGTGGTCTCTTCAGCAGGAGAGTTGGACTTCCTACATAGCTTCTCAGGGCTCCAAACACGAATCCAGAAACATCTGGTCCTCTTTAAGGCTAGGCCTGGAACTGGCAGAGGGTCATTCCCCTGGGATTAGCTGAAGTAGTCACAGGCTAGCCCATTTTCAGGGGGAGGGGAAATAAAACCCTCTCCTCTTGATGGGAGGAGTGTCACAGAACTTGTTGCCATCTTTAATTTGCTACAGTTATTAATAACAGAAATACAAAATAAAGGCAACATTGAAATACAGCTTTTGATACATCAAATTAGCAAAGAATAAAAACAAACTGTATAGATTTATAAAACAACCAGAATGATAAAAACCAGTCCTGGCATAGGTGCAGTGAAACAGGCATTCTCATGCATTACTGGTGGCATTGAAAGGCAGATTTTGAAAAGATCTTGGCACTATAAATCATAAATGTTAAAAATATCAATATTTGACTAAAAATTGTACTGTTTGAATTCTCAGGGGAAAAACTATTGGCAAGGATACACATTATTTGTGAAAAACTTATTTTAAAAAAATAGATTACAAAGTTGTATTTATAGTATGACTTAAACAATTCCTAAGAATTAAAAATGCACTAGAGGAAAATACATTACAGTTTAATCAGGCTTCTCTTTGTGTGATTAAATTACAGATTTTTTTCCACTGTGATTTTACTTGTTGAAGAAAAAAGCAATAAGTGTTTTATGACCTAGTATTCTAATTTAGAATAATTTCAGCATAAATCATTACAATCAAATGGATAGAAATATAAACCCCTTGTCATGGCCAACAAGTCCCTAGATGATCTGGCTCTATTGGCTTTTTTGTTCTTCATGTACACCAAACTCATTCCTGCCACAGGACCTTTGCAAAGTTATTTTCTGTCCAGAATTCCTTTCTCTTAGATCGTGGTGTTGCTTGCATTTTTACTTTATTTAGATGCCTTTGTTTTATTCAAATGTCAAGACTTATGAGAGGGTTTTTCAGGTTATTTATATGAAAAGACTGCTTTCTATACCTTTCCAGTAGCTATTCTATTTTAATCTTCAGTGCACTTATCACTATGACATAATATTATATAACTTCAACTTTACTTATTATCTATCTTCCTTCATTCCTCTCATGTTTTATGAGGGCAGAGACTATGTTCTGTTCGTGTTGTTTTCATTGTAAAAGTTACTATAGTTTAAATATGTTTTATTGTTTATGTATTTATTTGCTGTTTCCCATATCAGAATATAATCTTGCCAGGGCAGAGATTTTATGTATCTTGCTCACTAGTGGTTTCACTAGTACATAAAACATAATAAGCATTCAATAAGTATTTTTGGATAAATGAATGGGTTTAGGATTCATATAAAATAACTAGGTTTTTGAGATATTTGTGACATATTTACCTCTTGTCAAAACAGTGATACCTGAAAATTGGGAACAAACTTTGGTATATTTCAAGTATAAAAGACCTTAGAGTACTTAGGTAATAAGAGCGTTAAATGCTCAAAATTAAGAAAATAGAAAAAGGCTCCTAAAAAGATACAGAAATAGATCTAAACATATAGTATGTAAAACACATTTATTTTTATGAATACTTATTACAAATATGAAAATACAGCTGAATTGCTTCAGGTAAATGAGCTCTAGAAATCTTTGATGTGCTTAAAGTTTGATAAAATAAGAAATGATACTTAGAACTCCAATTACATGTTTTTTTAGGCCACTTATGTCTCACAGCTCACTATGCTCTATTGATTTTTTCAGTTTTTTTTTTGGTCTGTTTCATTTCGGATAGTTTCTATTGCTGAATTCACTAAGTTTACCTTCTGCAGTCCCTAATCTCCTGTTAATTATATCCAGTATATTTTTCAGTTTAGATATTGTATTTTTTTTTATCTTTAGAAGTTTGATTAGGGTCTTTTTAATATCTTCTATTTTTCTGCTCATTATTCTCATGCTTTCTTCTACTTTCTGGAACATGTAAGAGTATATTTATGATAGCTATTTTCATGTCCTGGTCTGTATTAGTCCATTCATCACACTGCTGTAAAGAACTACCTGAGACTGGGTAATTTATAAAGAAAAGAGGTTTAATTGACTCACAGTTCTGCAGGCTTATCAAGAAGCATGACTGGGAGGCCTCAGGAAACTGACAGTCATGGCAGAAGGTGAGGGGGAAGCATGCACATCTTCACAATAGTGCAGCAGGAGAGAGAGAGAGAGCAAGAGTAAAGGGGGAACTGCCACACACTTTTAAACCATCAGATTTTGTGAGAATTCACTCACTATCACAAGAAAAGCAATGGAGAGATCTGCCCTCATGATCTAATCACCTCTTACCAGGCCCCTCCTACAATTCGACATGAGATTTGGGCGGGGATACAAATCTAAACCGTATCATTCCACCTTGGCCCCTCTCAAATCTCATGTCCTTCTCACATTGCAAAATACCATTATCTCTTTTCAACAGTCCCCAAGTCTTAATTCATTTCAACATTAATTCAAAAGTCCAGAGTCCAAAGTCTCATCTGAGACAAGGTAAGTCCCTTCTGCCTATGAGCTTGTAAAATAAAAAACTAATTACTTCTAAGATGCAATGGGTATACAGGCATTGGGTAAATGCTCCCATTCTAAATGGGAGACATTGGCCAAAACAAAGGGGCTACAGTCCCCATGCAAGTCTGAAACCCAGCAGGGCAGTCATTAAATCTTAAAGCTCCAAAATAATCTCCTTTGACTCCATGTCTCATATCCTGGGCATGCTGATGCAAGGGGTGGGCTCCCATGGGTTTGGGCAGCTCCGCCTCTGTGGCTCTGCAGGATACAGCTCCCATGGCTGCTTTCCCCGGCTGGTTTTGAGTGCCTACAGCTTTTCCAGGTGCATGGTGCAAGCTCTTGGTGGATCTACCTTTCTGATGTATGGAGGACAGTGGCCCTTTTCTCACAGGTCCACTTGACAGTGCTCCAGTGGGGACTCTGTGTAGGGGCTCCAACCCCACATTTTCCCTCTGCACTGCCCTAGTAGAGGCTCTCCATGAGGGCTCCACCCCTGCAGCAGACTTCTGCCTGGACATATAGGCATTTCCATACATCCTCTGAAATCTAGGTGTAGGTTCCCAAACCTCAATTCTTGCCTTCTGCACACCTGCAGGCCCAATACCACATGGAAGCTGCCAAGGCTTGGGATTTGCACCCTCTGAAGCCGTGGCCCTAGCTGTACCATGGCCCCTTTTAGCCACAGCTGGAGCAGCTGGGACACAGGGTGCCATGTCCTGAGGCTGGACAGAGCAGTGGGGCCCTGGGCCTGGCCCACAGAACCATTTTTCCTTCCTAGGGCTCCAGGGCTGTCATGGGACGGGCTGCCCTGAAGATCTCTAAAATACCCTGGAGACATTTTTCCCCATTGTCTTGGTTATTAACATTCAGCTTCTCATTACTTATGCAAATTTCTGCAGCTGGCTTGAATTCTTCCGTGGAAAATGGGTTTTTCTTTTCTACTGCAATGGTTGGGCTGCAAATTTTCCAAATTTTTATGCTCTGCTTCCCTTTTAAATATAAGTTTTAATTTCAGACCATCTCTTCCTTCATGCATATGAGCATAGAATTTTAGAAACAGCCAAGTTACCTCTTGAATACTTTGCTGCTTAGAAACTTCTCTTGCCAGATACCCTAAATAATCTCTAGGGCACGGGCAAAATGCTGCCAGTCTCTTTGCTAAAGCATAGCAAGAGTGATCTTTACTCTGGTTCCCAGTAAGTACCTCATCTCCAGCTGAGAACACCTCAGCCTGGACTTCATTGTCCATATCACCATCACCATTTTATTCAAAAACCATTCAACAAGTCTCTAGGAAGTTCCAAACTTTCTCACATCTTCCTATCTTCTTCTGAGCCCTCCAAACTGTTCCAACTTCTGCTTGTTATTCAGTTCCAAAGTTGCTTCCTCATTTTCAGATATCTTTATAGCAGTGCCCCACTCTCCTGGTACCAATTTTCTATATTAGTCTGTTCTCACACTGCTATAAAGAACTACCTGAGACTGGGTAATTTATAAAGAAATGAGGCTTAATTGACTCACAGTTTGCAGGCTTACCAGGAAGCATGACTGGAAGGCCTGAGGAAACTTACAGTCATGGGGGAAGGTGAAAGGGAAGCAGGCACATCTTCACAATGACAGAGCAGGAGAGAGAGCGAGCAAAGGGGGAAGTGCCACACACTTCTAAACCATCACATCTTATGAGAACTCACTCACTATTATGAGAACAGCAAGGGGAAAATCCAACCCCATGATCCGTTTACCTCCCACCAGGCCCCTCCTCTAATTCAACATGAGATTTGGGTGGAGACACAAATCCAAACTATATCATGGTCTCTAATTCTATCACCTGCATATTTATGGGTCCAATTCTATTGGCTGATTTTTCCTTCCTGTTTCAGTCATATTTACCTATTTCTTCTCATGCTTGGTAATTTTTTAATTGAAAGCCAGACATTGTGAGTGCTGGATTTTTTTTTTCATTTAGATATTTTCAGACTTTTTCTGGAATGCAATTAAGATCCTTGGAATTGGTTTGATTCTTTCAAGGGTTGAATTGCGACGGCAAGTCCTGAACAGCGTTTAGACTAGGTCTGATTTGGACCACAGCTAAGGCATTTACTTTCTGAGGATACTACTCATTGCTGTGCATGTTAGGATGGTTTTCTATTCTCACTGGTGGGAATATGAACTATTCCTAGCCCTATGTGCATTCTGAGGATTGTGCTGCATACTTATTTTTACTGTTTCTTGCTAGGTATCAGTAGTTTCTTCACGTCCATGTGCAGTTTACTACTTAGTGAAAGACTCACAAAAGGCTCCTCTGAGGATCTTGAGAATTATTTCTTTCAGTGCCTCCCTTGTACTCTGCTGCACAGATTCTTGTCAATCTGTTTCTCCAAAGTCTGAACTCTGTCTCCCCAAGTTAGTAATACTCAGGGCTCTGTTTGGATATCCTATCCCTGTAGTGTGGCCTAGAAACTTTCTCTAGCGGGGATACTTATCAGGCTCACCTTGTTTATTTCTCTTCTCTCAGAGATCACTGTTCTGCGCTGCCTGTGTTCAGTGTTTGAAAACTCCAATTTTATATTTTATGTTTGGTTTTCTAGTTGTTTAATGTGGGAGGGTATGTCTATTTTGTTATTCTATTATGGTTAGTTGGCCAAAGAAACACTTAATACAGAAGTATTTGAAGGATACCCCATTTATGTGATGTGTAAAATCAACAAATACAATTTTAGGTTAAGACATTATATATGTGATCATATATATATATGATCATCAGTTTAAGGTCGCCAGTTTTCAACCTTAAAATTAGGAACACAGCAGTGGGAGAACATGATCAACTCATGGAACTGAAGGAGAGGAGATATTTAAGGAAGATTCCCTAAGGTGTGTATGCCTTTGGGGTGGAGTGAGGTGATGTGCTTCTCCTCCTTCTGCTGTTCTGTTGTATGCTTCTGTCTTGATGCAGAGGCAACAGCTTTTCTCCTTTTTCTGAGACATTAATGCCAAGCTATGGGAAGCAGGAGTTCTGATAGATGACACAGAGAAGGAGGGAATTCAGTATAAGAGCTTTAAACCTTCACAGACTTGGAGTGGAAAGGACTAGGAGGGCAGAGATTGTGACTCATTCTGGGAAATATGTCAAGAAACTTTTGTTACATTAATAAAAAAGGCTGAGTGGATTCTATCCTCCCTCTTTCCTTCCTTGTCTTCCCTTCTTGTCCCTCCTCTCTGCTAACTATGTGAGTTTGCCGTGTGTCTGGTACTGATCCAAGAAGTGAATATTGAATATTCTTTTTGGCAAGCAGAATGACCTCAGTAAAGTTTTCAATCTCACCATATCCAGGCTCCATGGATAAAAAGCAGTGATTGTACTACCGTGCAGCCTTCTCTCAAAGCTGTTAGTACCCTCTGCCTCATTCTTGGGTAAAGCCCTTTTGGCTTCCAGCAGTAGCCCTGAGAATCTGGCCTATTGTCCCCAGGTTGGAACAGCTTCTAAATCACTGGCCATCAGCTCTGTCCTACCTCAGCTGTTCTCCTGTGTGAGCTGTCTTCAGGTTAGATGAGACAGCTGTGGGGCTGCGTTTCTCCTACCTCTTCCTGCTTCTCCAACTGTATTGAGTTGAATAATGTCTCCCCAAATTCATGTCCACCTGGAACCTGTGAATGCAACCTTATTTGGAAATGGGATCTTTGCAGATGTAGTCAAATTAAGATGAAGTCATGCTGGATTAGGGTGAGTCCTAAATCCAATACGACTGGTATCTTTATAAGAAGAGGGAAATTTGGCCACAGAGACCCAGACACACAGGGGAGAAGGCTGTGTAAAGACAGAAGCAGAGACTGGAGTAATAAGTTTCCAAGTTGGCAACAACCAGAATCTAGGAGGAGGCAACAGCCTAAAGAGAGAGCACGGCTCTGCCAACTCCTTGATTTCCAATTTCTAGCCTCCAGAGCTGTGAGAAAGCAAATGTTTGTTGTTTTAAGCCACCAGTTTGTGGTACTTTGTACAGCCCATCCCAGGGAGGCCTTTGTCACTTCCCCTGTTCTCTTGACCCTACAGCAGGATCCTTTTCTGAGGAGTTAAACTGCTTAAGCTCAGGTATCCTTCATTTCACTAAAAACTGGGAAAGTTAATTAATTATTTGTACTGCTTTGCAAGGATAGTGCTTTGAAATCAAAGTGACAACTTGCTACCCTGATAATTTTTCTACCATCAGTACTATCAAATTTCTTTCCATTTAATAAAATATAAAATTACTTTAATCTCTTAATTCTCTTGAGTAATTTTCATAAAATAGCCAATGGTTCAAAAAGCAATAATTTATGAAAGGAATAAGATTGGGAGTAACTTTAAATCCAGAAATCAAGATGAAGAAGGCCAACATTTAGGTCATCTGTGTTTTTTTTTTTTTTTAAATTTTATCTACAGTATTGGAAAAGCAAAACTAAGCCTTTAAGAATAATTCAGTGAGCAAACAAACATAATATGGCAAAATGTCTCCAAACTTAAATTGGAAGCAGGAACAAAGAGAGAAAAAAAATAACTTTCGATAGCAGGCCCCCCATGTCCCCTCCGATCAGTTATAATATCCGTTGGCCATTCCCCTGGCACAAATAAGCAGGAGCATTCTCAGAGCCAAAACCAAATTGTTTAATAAAAAGTATGAGGGCACATATGAAGGTCTCACGTCTATGAACTGAAAATTGAGAACTCAAAATGGGCAAGTTGGAAAACCCGACAACAAACTATTATTAAAAAATGAAAGAGGGAAAAGAAAATGCTTAATAGTGAAACCTAACATTGTGGAGATAACTGTTAAAAGTAATTAATAAGGAAAACGGAACTAGTGTGTTTAAACTTACTTTTGATGCTTTGGCTCTAAGAAGGGGAAGAGACTTAGCATTATTTAAACTGTAATAATTCTTTAAAAACTTGCGTTTGATAAACAGGCTGTGGAAGAATATATAAACACATATGCATGTGTGCTTCTCCCCACATCAGGTCACCAAATTCCCACCTGTAACCTTTTCTAGCCTGACAAGTGGCTAATTTTTTCTGCCACTTATTCCTCGGGGCCTCTGTCCTTGCTGTGCTCTGACCTGCATTACAGGGATGGGGAAGCAGTGTTATACTACTCATAGGAAGTCAGGAAGGTGCTGGAGGTGAAAAGAAGGGGGACTTGGTAGGTTCGAGAGCTTCCAGGAAAAGGGAGTAGGAATATTGTAAGAAAACTAACTTCTTTTCTTCTAGGGTTTTTATGGTTTTAGGTCTAACGTTAAAGTCTTTAATCCACCTTGAATTGATTTTTGTGTAAGGTGTAAGGAAGAGATCCAGTTTCAGCTTTCTACATATGGCTAGCCAGTTTTCCCAGCACCGTTTATTAAATAGGGAATCCTTTCCCCATTGCTTGTTTTTCTCAGGTTTGTCAAAGATCAGATAGTTGTAGATATGCGGCATTATTTCTGAGGGCTCTGTTCTGTTCCATTGATCTATATCTCTGTTTTGGTACCAGTACCATGCTGTTTTGGTTACTGTAGCCTTGTAGTATAGTTTGAAGTCAGGTAGTGTGATGCCTCCAGCTTTGTTCTTTTGGCTTAGGATTGACTTGGCGATGCGGGCTCTTTTTTGGTTCCATATGAACTTTAAAGTAGTTTTTTCCAATTCTGTGAAGAAAGTCATTGGTAGCTTGATGGGGATGGTATTGAATCTGTAAATTACCTTGGGCAGTATGGCCATTTTCACGATATTGATTCTTCCTACCCATGAGCATGGAATGTTCTTCCATTTGTTTGTATCCTCTTTTATTTCCTTGAGCAGTGGTTTGTAGTTCTCCTTGAAGAGGTCCTTCACATCCCTTGTAAGTTGGATTCCTAGGTATTTTTACCATTCAGGACATAGGCATGGGCAAGGACTTCAGGTCTAAAACACCAAAAGCAATGGCAACAAAAGCCAAAATTGACAAATGGGATCTAATTCAACTAAAGAGCTTCTGCACAGCAAAAGAAACTACCATTAGAGTGAACAGGCAACCTACAAAATGGGAGAAAATTTTCACAACCTACTCATCTGACAGAGGGCTAATATCCAGAATCTACAATGGACTCAAACAAATTTACAAGAAAAAAACAAACAACCCCATCAAAAAGTGGGCGAAGGACATGAACAGACACTTCTCAGAAGAAGACATTTATGCAGCCAAAAGCACATGAAACAATGCTCACCATCACTGGCCATCAGAGAAATGCAAATCAAAACCACAGTGAGATACCATCTCACACCAGTTAGAATGGCAATCATTAAAAAGTCAGGAGACAACAGGTGCTGGAGAGGATGTGGAGAAATAGGAACACTTTTACACTGTTGGTGGGACTGTAAACTAGTTCAACCATTGTGGAAGTCAGTGTGGCGATTCCTCAGGGATCTAGAACTAGAAATACCATTTGACCCAGCCATCCCATTACTGGGTATATACCCAAAGGACTATAAATCATGCTGCTATAAAGACACATGCACACGTATGTTTCTTGCGGCATTATTCACAATAGCAAAGACTTGGAACCAACCCAAATGTCCAACAATGATAGACTGGATTAAGAAAATGTGGCACATATACACCATGGAATACTATGCAGCCATAAAAAATGATGAGTTCATGTCCTTTGTAGGGACGCGGATGAAATTGGAAATCATCATTCTCAGTAAACCATCGCAAGAACAAAAAACCAAACACTGCATATTCTCACTCATAGGTGGGAATTGAACAATGAGAACACATGGACACAGGAAGGGGAACATCACACTCTGGGGACTGTTGTGGGGGTGGGGGGAGGGGGGGAGGGAAAGCACTGGGAGATATACGTAATGCTAGATGACGAGTTAGTGGGTGCAGCGCACCAGCATGGCACATGTATGCATATGTAACCAACCTGCACATTGTGCACATGTACCCTAAAACTTAAAGTATAATAATAATAAATAAAAAAAAAAAGAAAACTAACTTCTTATACAAGTGAGCACAGTTGTGGCATTATTGAATGGCATTGAAAATTGAAAGCCCTAAGTGACATCAAAAAATGTTTACTTGAAAAACAGAGTGAAGGTATGGTGTAATTAGGTAGTAACCTAAGAAAGAAGTATTGGCCCCATTTTGGGTTAGTAACTAGAGAGTGAGTTCAAAAAGGTAAGAAAATAAAAACAAAAATTAGTTTAACACTTCATGGTTCTTAGAATCATATTTATCACAGAGTGAAAGGAAAGTTTTAATGAAGTTTTCTTACTCCTGATTTAGATCTCAGTCTCCCTAGTGAACTGTTACTTTTTCTTTCATGGATTGGGTTTTTATTTTATTTCTACAAGAAAAAATAACACATGATTTCATTTAAAAATGTTTAATAATACATAGAGATATAAAGTAAAGATGAAAATCTTTCCCTCCTTCTCCTCTGACCCAATTTTGTAATTTGTTTTCTATGCACATATAAATATATTTATACACATTTATATATGGGTTTATATAAATGGCATTGTTGTTCTATAACTTACTTTTCCACCTAACATATCAGTGACATCTTTCTTTGTAAGCATATACAGAATTACCTTATTATTTATAATAGCTATGTAGTATTCCATTGTATGGATGATTTTAATTTGCTTAATGGAACCCCTATTGATGATGAATAATCCCTTAGTTATTCTCATGGTTACCCCTGTAACTTTAAGTAATATATTTCTCCTTCCTGATTTCTCATCTTTGGACAATAACTATTGATTCCTGCTATAATAGATGAAGAATTTAGTTTATTACTTCTACCTCCCACATTCCTTCCTATTCTTCTTTCTGATTTTTGATTATATTATTATTTTTACATCATCAAGATTCATAATATTTAGATTCTATTCAGTAACTATAATTTAGTCCTCTGTGCTTTGTTTATAGGTTGATTCGAAATTTGAACCTAATAAAAGTATATAATGAGTCTGTTTAAATAAACAGATTCATTGCAGAAGTAAGTAGTATAATAGGGGGTATAATTCTCTGTACTATAATAGATGATATAATCCTTTGAAGGTGGTATAATCCTCTGTCACACTGCTGATTGATAGAGACTATTTCAAGTCAAAATCCTACAAATTCTTGGCTGGGTGTGGTGGCTTACACCTGTAATCCCAACACTTTGGGAAGTTGAGGCAGGAGGATTGTTTGAGGCCAGGAGTTTGAGACCAGCCTAGGCAACATAGCAAGACCCCATCTCTACCAAAAAAAAAAAAAAAAAAAAAAAAAAAAAATCAGCCAGATGTGGCAGTGTAGTCCTAGTTACTTAAGAGACTGAGGCAGGAGGATGGCCTGGGCCCAGGAATTAGAAGCTGCAATGAGCTGTGATCATGCCACTGCTCTCTAACCTGGGTGACAGAGTAAGACCCTATCTGTTAAAAAAACAATTCTACGAACTCTCTTTTAGTTTCATACCATGACCGCATTAAAAAAGCTCTTTTAAACTGTGCACGGGCAGAAAACCACCAATCAAGGATCAAGTGTCACAGTGTTTTTCTGTGGTTTAATTCCCAGCTAGAGAACAAATGTGTTCAGTAGGGATTCACAAATTAGGTCACAGAAATGAAAGCAATAATTGTGGATTATACCATGGAGATGGTGAATCGAGGGGGTGCTAGCCTCTATTGGGCTGAATGCATCCAGAAGGCTTAATTCTTTCCCAGAAGGACAGGCTCAGCTTCCTTAAGTGGAATTTAGTATCTGAGATGTAACTCCAGCCCTTTCCCCCAAGAAGTTCTGAGGTATGGGTGGACTATTTAATTAATGAGGTGTCATGTTTAATAAATCCCAAAATACTGCAGGACCAAGGGAAAATTAAAGACGTGCAAATTTCTTTATCAAAGATGAAATGTATTATCTCCTTATTTTCTTTCATTCTTGAGTTTTTGTCTAAATGAGCCAGAGGCTAGCAGTACTGATGAATCACTTTGACTAGAGCTGGTCACTCTTTATACAAAGTTACCTTTGTATATAACATAACCAGAGGCATCAGAGTTCACCCTGGCCAGGATCCTCTCATGCATCTGGAAGGTGTAACACTATGAGAAATTGAAGTCAGTGTTACTGGGATTGGGTGGATATTTGGGGTATGGGGAGGAGTCGTATTAACACATTCAGCATTGTGTTCTGGAGGATCTTCTACATCCATAACAGTTCCTTGCCTACATTACTTACCTTTAACTTTAAAAAATGGATGGATATTGGTTTAATGTCCGACCTACCTAGTATAAACTTTTCTACTTAGCAGTAGTTTCTAGTTTCTTCTTTTTACCCCAAGGTTAATCAGTTTTGAACAGCTACTGATAGTATTGGTTTGATCTTCTACAGCAGCAAAGAACAGTCACTTGAGATCTGTGGCCTAGGTTTGACCTATTCCTCAGGGCTCCACTGACCTTGAAGGCCTTGTTTGATCAGTGCTGGCATTGACCTAGAAACTTCAGTTGTCTTCCTCCTTTATGGACTTGTCAAGCCCTTCCTGCAGTTGATCATTCTGGGCAGTTAACTTGAGTTGAAGTCGTATATAAAATGCCTTATTCTGAAGTAGAGCTTAGACCCTTAGATAACCACCCATTTTCTTTTAGATGTGTCTAGAGAAGATCTTGTTAAACTCAGCAACAAAAGCCCTATAATTATTTTGTTAGCTGGATTCCAGCAGGCATAACATAGCTTGCTGGGTGGCATAGCCCTATGACAGCTTGTACTAAAACAGACCCAAACGTGTTCTATCAGGAAATCCTTAGATCTCCATCCAAAATGCAATCGGCACTACACTAGAAAACTTGCTTGTCTCTCTTGGATTCTATAAGACCTATAGGACATTTTCTCCTTAGAAGTTTAAGATTGGAATCTACTCTGGCAATGTGGTGGCCTGGAGGCATATGTGCAAAGGGCAATTAATTATTTGTTTAAAATGAAGTGCCATGTATTTATAGGCACAAAAGAGGTTTTACATTAAAAAGTTAAGTCTCCTTTCTAACCCTTCTACTTTCCTTACTCAAACCTTTAGAGGTTGCCAGTGATACCATGGTCTTGGGTATCTTTCCGGATATATTCAGTGTACACATAGCCTGTACAGTTACATTTAAACATATGGTAGCATGCATATATTCATACTGTTCTGCGCTTTAAAAAATAACTTAATGGTCAGCCTTGGTCATTACTCAATATTTACAGAACTCATTCATTATTTTTGTGGTTACATACTATCCCATTATTTGGACATAAAATAATTTATTTAGCCAATCTTCACTGATGGAAATTTAGGTTGTTTCCAACCTTATACTATTAAAATAATATGTTAATAATCATTTGTATGAATTTTATTTACTACATATGTGACTATATCCATAAGGTAAATTATTAGAAGTAACATTTCTGGATCCAAGGTGTGTGCATTTTAAATTTTGATAGTTTTTGCCAACCTGCTCTTCAGGGATCTTATGCTAATTTTAACTCCCCTGCCCCAGCAATGTATGAGAGTGCCTGCTTGTTTTATCCATGTCTTTGTCTATACATTCCCTTTCATACTTTTTGATCTTTGCCAATCTGATAGGTAAAAAATGTTATCACAGTTTTTAATTTGCATTTTTCTTATGGCTAACATTGAACATATTTTTATCTACATGTATTTCCTCTTTAGTAAACTATCTGTGTATCCTTTGCTCATTTTCTTATTGGGCTATTGGACCCCTTCCTGTTGATTTGGTGGAACTATTTATATTTTGAGGAAATTAAAGCTATTTTATATTGAAAAAATTAGTTCTTTTCTATGATATGAGCTACAAATGCTTTTTCACATTTTGATATGTCTTTTGACTTTATGGTGTTAAGAATTCGTTGCATGCCGTAGAATTTACCAGTCTTTTATGACTTCTGGGTTTTTATCATATTAAAAAATATGTGTTCTCCTATATTTTCATCTAGCATATTTGGGGTTTTTTTCTCATTTAAATATTTCTTATTTTGGTCTTAGGTGAAGGGCATTCTATTTAGATAACTGGAAGAGTTTTGGCTGTGAGGAAGTATTCTCTTTATAATGAAAGTTGTTTGGGTTATAACAGCTGGACATTTCTTATTAATTATTCTTCTACAGTGACAGAGTGAAGCATCATGCTTTGTGGTGAATGGACAGCAAGGAGACCTAATAGCTGAAGTGTAGTTGGACTTGGAGCAATTTTAAGTTACAAGACTACTGGCAGTTTCAGAGGGCCAGGTCAAGACTGGCCAAGTTGCCAGAAATTAGTTTTTCGGGCAGTAGTAAAGACCACTTCAAAGGCAGTCTCAGCATGGTCAAAGCTCCAAGAAGAGAGCATTAACAGAGGTGATTTTAGCATTTGGAGAACTCCAGATGAGCTATGGTGTTCATGAAGATCTTGAGTTGTTTGTGGACTTCTCTCCTGAGGTAGCTGCAGATTACCTGATTGACTCTGTTCATTGAGTTCAAAAGAGGGTCTCCAAGGAATTGAGTGCAGTGGTTCTCAACTCTGGCTGCTGTGCTGGAATCTGCTAGGTAGATTCTGACTTAATTGGTCTGAGGTGAGACACCAGCAACAGTTTGAAAACTCCACAGGTGGTTCTAATGTGCAGCTTGGATTGAGAACCATTGTTAATGTAGTCAGTTTGCTGTCTCTTTGAGTCAGGGATTGCAGTACATGCCTCAGTGCTTCCAAAATGTGCATACATATCACCTGGGGATTATGTTTTAAATGCAGAATCAGGAGGTCTGGGGTGAGGCTTGAGATTCTGCCTGTCTGTCTTAATGAGCTCGCAGCTTATGCTGTGGCTGGTCCCCAGACCACACTTGAGTGGCTTGAGTTTGTTACTTGAAGTGCAAAGCACTGGCCCACACCAGTCCACGAGAGTCAATAAGCCATGGTCCTGCTCTCTTGCAGAATTTGCTTAGTGTACTACAAAGAATACTCAGGTCAAGAGATCCGCTTTCCACTTCCTGCTCTGCCTCCAACTAATTAGTGTAAGACAAGTTTCTTAGAAGTGCTTTAGTCCTTCACCCTCTTATCTCTAAAATGAGAGGCTTGAATTGGATAAACTTGAAGGTTCCCTTTGTTTTTAAATCCTCTCATGCTTGTCCAGGATGTTTTCAGACTCTTTCTGGATCAGGTTGTTATGTGGGATGGAATCTGGATCCTGTAAAGACCTTGTCATCCCTTAGAGGATGGAGGCCTAGGCCCTGAGCTTATGATCTAGTGGGAGAAATAAAACTAACAAATGTTAAAAAATTAAAGAAGAGTTAAATGTTCAAGTGTAAGCTATGATAAGTACAAAAAGAATGCAGGGAAGCTAGAGAGGAGTGTTAATTGGAATGGTCAGGAAAACTTCATTGCCAAGGGGGAATTTGAGTTGACATCGTTTTTTCCTGGGCTGGGTGGACTGCAGGGCTGACAAGAGTGGTGGTTCTCCTGCTTTTGAGTTTGCTTGTCTCTAAAAAAGCATCCTTCAACAGTGAAGCACAAAACATATTTTTCTGCCTTAAATTAAAACAAAGTAGAAGAAACATCTAGTTCTGTGGAAGTCTTTAAAGGGAAATCAAAATCCAAAAAACTCTATATTTAATTTTTCAAGGCTAATCTTGACTGAGAAGATTGATACTGAAAAAAAATCACCACTACCAAATATAGAGCAAAAAACCCAGCGTACTTCCGTATCGATAATAAAAAAATGGTATTAGAAATTACCTAAAATGTAAGTAAATTCCTCAAATTATAAGTATTATTGAAAGTGACATATCTCTTTATCTTAACTAATTGGGAAAGAGACCAGATAATTTATTTAGATTTTATAACATAGGTGCACACGAATTTTTGACTCACCTCTTTTAATGTCAAAGGAGATGTATTTTGCATTGTTATTAGAATTTTACTAAATTTTATGTTCCCTTAAGAGGAGGTTATGTGACCAGGGCTCAGGTATTGAAAAATACAAAATAGAGCAGTTACCCTCATTTAATGAGCTATATTTAGTACACACAGTGCAGCTCCGTGTTCTCTGAATATCCTGAGAGTTTTGGTTTTTATCTCTATGGCTAGATCATTTTGAAATTGCAGACTTTGGGTAATTTTTCTCTCAAACACATGCTATTATAGTTTTACCGTATAGTCATGCTGCATAATGACATTTCGGTCAAGAACAGACCACATGTACAGTGTTCCCATGAGATTATAATACTGTATTTTTGCTGTACATTTTCTTTGTTTAGATATGCTTAGATACACAAATACTTACAAATTTTACACAAATTTTGTTACAATTGCCTGCAATTAATACAGTAACATGCTGTACAGGTTTGCAGCCTAGGAGCAAGCAACTATGTCTATAGCCTACGTATGTAGGAGGCCATACCATTTGGGTTTGTGTAAGCACAGTCTATGATGTTTGTACAATGACAGAATAGCCCAATGACGTGTTTCTCAGAAGGTATTCCTGCCGTTAAGTGATGCATGACTGTATATGGTAAATCTTTTATATAATCAACTATTGATTATCTATCTCAAGATTGACAATACAATAGAAATCTTCTATTTTTAAACTAATAAACACAAATTTATGTTACTTAATAGCAAAATTATTTTGGTTGCAAGTGACAGAAAACCCAACCCATTGGGTGAAGCAAAGAAGGGACTTTTTGGGGCCATGTAATTGAAAAATCTGAGATAGAACTAGTTTCAGATATGGTTGGTGTAAATAATGTAGTCAGAATGTGGTTTCTCTGTATCTCATGGTCTTGCTTTCCTCTGAGTTGCAGAGCCAACTTCGTTTAATTACATGATGGCTGCCAGGTTTTTTTTTTTTTTTTTTTTGTGGTCTGTCTGGCTCAAACCTAGTGGAGAAGAGAACAGCCACCTTTCCCAACCCCCCAAAACCAAATCCTGAATTTCATCCCATTGGCTGTGATGTAGATCATTTGTCCTCCAGAGTCTCTGGGGCCGGCAGTACTGATGGGCAGGATCAGAGATCTGTGTCTATCCCTGGAGCTGTAATCATTTGTCCTCCAGAGTCTCTGGGGCCGGCAGTACTGATGGGCAGGATCAGAGATCTGTGTCTATCCCTGGAGCTGTAATTAGTGTAACAGTAGCCAATGCTCCTCTAAGGAACCATTCCCTTCTCAATCAGGAGAATTGAGGAGCAATTGTTCCTTAGAGGAGCAATGACTACTGCTCCAAAAGAAGGAAGAATGGATGTTTGATGTGAAACAGTGGCAATGACAACAGTCATTACATATATCTTTCTCAGTTTAAGCCAATGTTAAATTTACATTTTTCTAAATACGAAGGTTTCAATGGTAGAAGACCATTACAGGATCTGCTTTGTGGTCAGATAGTGTAGAGCTGGAATTTAAAACAGTAATTCCATCTACAAAATGGATATCCTTAATGAAATAATTAAAAATGACAGTATTGGATATCTGATGGCCTACTTTCCAGGCAGGAATGATATTAAAAATATTTAGCAACCTGTGACAGAGGCATCAACCAATCAGAATGAGTTGGATCTAACCAATCAACAACTAACCAGTGCAGCCCCCTGAGTGAGAGCTGGCTGTTTGTCAGCACAACTTACTGGGAGGCATTCTTAAGGTGCTGTCAAGTGTCTTAAAAAATAGAGTTACTGTATTAGTTTCCTAGGAATGTTATAACAAGGAACCACAAACTGGGTGACTTAAAGTAACAGAAATTTATTCTCTCACAGTTCTGGAGGTTAGAAGTCTGAAATCAAGATGTTGGCAGGGTCCTGCTCCCACCAGAGGCTTTAGGGAAGGACCATTCCTTACTGCTTCTAGCTTCCAGTGGCTGATGGCAATCTTTAGCTCCTAGATGCACCGCTCCAGTCTTCATCTTCACATGGCTTTCTTCCCTGTTTGTGTCACTGCATCCAAATTTCCCTCTTCTTATAGGAAGATTAACCCCTTAGTCCTTATTATTTTAATTCTATTAAAATGTAAATGTTGGTATGACAATGTGGTGGGGAATTAATATTTATTGGCATGTATGTTTGTTCTTGGGGAGGTATTATATTCTTACACATGACTTTATTGAATTCAAAAAAGTGTTACCTTAAAAAAATGGAACTGGCCACAATTAGATGAACATCATTCATTAGTGTATTTAAGAGCAAGTACAAGAAACAGGAGACAAATACTGGTAAAGGGCTCAGAAACCATATTTTGTAAGGAGTATTTGCAAATGGTGGTCATTTCTTCAGCGCTTGGAAGAACAGCTGTGTGGAAAAGGGATTAGACTTCAGAGGGCAGAACTAAGTAAGTTAAAGGATGTGAAATACAGGACAAAACTTTCTTAATGTACAATGCACTAAAATGGAAATGACCGCTGTGTAAGGGAGTAACAAGGGCCAGTTCCTGGAGGTACTCAGGCAGTTGCTGAGATGCATAAGTACCTTTCTGGGACATTTTCATAGAGATCTTGCCTTGAGAAAGAAATTGAAATGGAAGCTTTCTTGCAGCTTCAAGATCTATTTCAAGTCCTAAAATTGTTCTCTATGTGTATGCCATGAAAATCAATATTAATTATGTGACAAGCTATTTCTATAAGCTTAAGTTTTGTTCTGTGATCTTGGTGCTATGGACTAGTCAGGAAAAAAGGGAAAGGTTTAATCTAGGAGGGTGGAAACATCATTAATAAATAAGAGAGGTAGGAGAATAAAACTTGCATTTATTGAGTACTTACTACGTACAGGGTGTTGGACTAGTCTCTTTATCCATATAGTCTCATTTAGTACATTTAGTTTTTCACTGATCAGTTTGGAACTTATGGGAAGTGGTTCTTAAAATGATGAATTCTTAAAATAATTGGCATTTTCTTATATATTTTTTGGTGATGAAACACAGGACTGTTCTGATGGCTACATGTGCAAAATACACTTTCAAATTAAGAATGGGTCTGTGATGTCACATCTAGGAGCATCTACCCATGGACAGACATGTCTTCCCATGGAGGTGAGTAGTTTAATGCATCATGTTCTTTTCAGTCTCCGTAAAGTATACATTTAAAAATGTATACTTTAATGACTCCATCGCATTCCATCCTATGGAAGCACCACAATTATATGGCACTCATATTGAAATAAAATACTTTAATTCTGTTAAGTAAATATTTTAAAAACTTCAAACTTCTTCCCACTGGAGAGAGATCCAATTGCCATTGGATCCTGGGCCTGTTGTAGGGGGAGAAGGAGGTATTTTCCTTTGTAATACTGAAAGCAAGAATTGTGGTAAAGTTATATAAGATCCACTCTGACTCCAGATTGTAGTGAGCCGTCATACTTTTGGTTTCTCTTGGACCTGAATACCACAGATGCCTTCTGTTGTCTATTGATTTTTTTTTCCAAGTAAAATTCCCTGAATATAGCCCTAGCCCCAGGCTGCTTAATACTTGATTGGAGACCTCTTTGCCTGCTCTGCCTTTAGCCCCTTTTCCCTTGAAAATATGCTGGATCTGGGTCTTATTCCTTAGGGGACTTTAACCTTGACTTGAAAATCTTGCTGAACCAAATTTTATTATGGTACTAATGACTGAGTGGTTTTCTGAGATATTTTCATTTTTCTTTTTATCGAAATGCAAATAGCCTTATTGTATTTCTTGTGAAAAAAATTGTATATACCCATTGTAAAAATAAATAATAGAGAAATATATAAAAAGGATTTAAAAATATCCCATATGTCCTTCAGTAGTTTACCACTGGTAACATTTTAGTAAGTATCCTTTCACATATTTCTATCATATACACACACACACACACACTTTTTTTTTTTTTTGCAATGAACAAGTATATCATGGACATCTTTCCATGTCAGTAAATGCAGATTTCCATAGTTCTCTTTAATGCCTCCATTGCATTCCATCCTATGGAAGCACCACAATTATATGGCACTCATTGAAATAAAATACTTGAATTTTGAAAGAGGATTGGTGAGGACCTAATTATTTCAGCACAAAAGAAGAAATCACTAGTGTTTGAATTCTGAGCATCCTGGGGAAATGAAAGAGGTGAATTTTTGTGTGTGTGCAGGAAGAACTGTTTCTCAGAACATGTTAAATCAGGCCCATTTGCCAATCAGACATCAGCCCCCTTGCCTGTATATGATGCTGGCCTGCAAGTAACTTTCACCTATTTATAATTAGGTTTGCAAGTTATTCTTGAGAGTATTGTGCTTGGTAATAAGCTAAGTGCCCCCAGATGGGTGCTTGAATCTTGATTACTGCTTCATGGTTCCAATAACCAACATCAAATTTGAAGCCAAGCATATTAGGAAGCTTTTCAATTCATTATATATTAACTTAAAAAAAGTTTTAAAAATTAACATAGAAATGGTGATTTTAAAAATGAATTACTAGTTTTTGCCTAACAAGTTGGCAGAGATTTGAAAAGCACTAAAAAGTGGTGTTGACAGTGTGAGGGAACTGACACTTTCTGGTTGATGTTTTAACTTCACAAAGTTTAAAGATGTGCACATACTATGAATAATCTAGTCCAATTCTAGGAATTTAGCCTCATAAAATATAATTTTTTTCAACATTTTTCATTTCCAACATTTTCCAATAAATTTGAAACATATGGAAAAATTGAAATAATTTTGCAGTGAATATCTATATACTTACCACCTAAAGTCTACCATTAACATTTTGCTGTGCTTGCTTTATTATATGTTGATCCCTCTGTCTATTAATACATCTTATTTTTTGATGCAATAATTTTAATAAAAGTAAATTGCACACAAATACTCATAAAATATTTGAGTACACAAAGATTTACCTGCAAGTATATGAGCCCTTATTTATAATAGGAAAAATGAAAACAATGGAAATATACAATAGTAATGGATTGGTTAATTATGGCACATCTCTAGATGGATACAGTCATTAGAAATGATATTCTAGGTGACTGTTTAATTACGCAGGTTAAAGGTTCATGTCGGCCGGGTGCGGTGGCTCAACGCCTGTAATACCAGTACTTTGAAAGGCCGAGGCAGGCGGATCACCTGAGCTTAGGAGTTCAAGACCAGCCTGGTCAACATGGTGAAACCCCCATCTCTACTAAAAATACAAAATTTAGCCAGGTGTGGGGGCTTGCGCCTATGGTCCTAGCTACTCGGGAGGCTGAGACAGGAGAATTGAGCCTGGGAGGTGGAGGTTGCAGTGAGCTGAGATTACATCATTGGTGGGTGACAGAGTGAGACCTTGTCTGGGAAAAAAAAAAAAGTTCATGTTAAGTGAAAAAAAGGTAGATTATGTGGTATAAACAATAGAATCCGAGTATGGTTAACATTCTTCAAACTACATTGACTATTACAATTTTAAATTATGATTCTTTTTAAAATTTATCTCTTCAAAGAGTGAAACCTATAACTCTTTTCTCTCACTCCCTTGAAATCCCTAAGGTTATTTTTGCTTGGTCCAGTGATTTCATTTGGAGTCACTATCCATCCTTGTAAGCTTCCATTACTGCTGTAGCTCTGGTAGGCATCCTTCTCTTTTTTTCCCAGGTAAGAGCAGAAGATTTTAACAGCAGAAGTTTAGAACAAGACAGCCCAGTACCCCATCTTTGTGTGTCTCCCAGCTTCCCCACCTCTCTATAGCAGAAACAGTAATTGGAAGATTACATATACATATACAAACATGTAATATTCACATAAGGCCTAGAAATAATTTCCCCCCTTCCAATCACATAAGATTTTCTTAGAATGTTTTTTTTTTCTTTTTCTTTACATTTATTCTTACTCTTTCTCTTCAGGAATTTGCTTTAAAAGTATATGTCCTTTATCTCTCCTTCTTGGTACTCCTCAGACTTATGCTTAGTGTTTTAAAAGCCAGATTGCTTCCTTAGACTGTAAACCCCATGGAGGTAAGATGACTCAATGAGTATCTGTTATTTGACTAAACCTTCAGGTTTAATTACCCATAGAACTAGCTCACTTAACAAATCAGATGCCTCTGTATTTTGATATAAACTGGATAATCTAGTGAATTACTTAGAATTGATTAATTATATGTGTATTATACATATATACTACATATACATAATGTATTATATATAATATATGTAATATAGTATATTATAAAAAAGTATGGGTGTATGTGTATATATGTGTATATACATATATATACATGTACACATATATATATATACGTATACATACATATACACACATACCTTTTTTTTTTTTTTTTTTTTTTTTACAGGCAGGGTCTTGCTCTGTCTCGCAGGCTGGAGTGCAGTGGCACAGTCAGTCATAGCTCACTGAATCATCTAATTCCTGGGCTCAAGTGATCCTCTCACCTCTGCCTCCCAAGTAGCTGGGACTGCAGGCATGCACCACCATGCCTAGCTGATTTAAGAATTTTTTTAGAGATGTGGATCTTGCTCTGTTGCCCGGGCTTGTCTCAAAGTCCTGGCCTCAAGTGTTCCTCTCTCCTCAGCTTCCCAAAGTGCTGAGATTACAGGCATGAGCCACTGTGTCCAGGCTGAATTCTAAAAGAGTTTATTTTCTACTAGAATAACATATTTTTTTTCAACAATCAATTTACATAGAAAAATCAACAATGTTTAAAAAGAGAGGTTTGCAGGGAGTTTTTAGTAGTTTGTGTTTCTGAGTTGTCACGGGAATGGAATCGGATGATAAACCCTTCATCTTCCAGTCAACTCCAGTGTTTTATTTTTAATATTTGGCAACTCATAGTAAATTTAGGCTGCCTAATTTACTCAGATTATAACAACAGCACAAGTAGAAGAAAGAGTGCTAGACTTGGAGATAGAAATTGTTTTGTAGTTCTCTTCGCCATTTACTAGTATTGTAACCTTGAGTAAACTTCAGTGTTCTCATTCAAACTGTGGGCCCTTCTTACTTCCTGTTTTGGTTGGATATAACAAGCGTACAGTGCTATTATTAATACTAATAATGTCACACTTATAATTATCTTTTTATGGTTATCTCATAATTATGCAAGAAGAAGCAGGATGTGAATGGAGAAACATGAAGGAGCAGGAAGAGAGCAGAGAATGTAACACTTCCTTTCTTTCCATATTCTATTCTTACCTTTAGACGTTGGGAATAATGAGTAGCCTCCAAGTTGGAAACTAACCCTTATTCAGCCACCACCACCAGTTATCTCAGAGAGTGGTACAGAGACAAGTGAGAGTGACTCTCACTAAAAAACAGTGGTAGACTAATTAGAGCATTTAAAGCATTCCATTTGAACTACATATATAATGTCTTACTTTCCTAGATCAACATTAGACAGAGATGTATTTTCCTCTTAAGTTCTCTCTTTCTTCATCATAGATTTGTTTATAACTTTTATTTAGTCAATAGTATAATTAGAGGTATGGCAATTTGAATTTTTTTAGTTTTTCATTTTAAAATACCTCAGATGGCCAGGTATGGTGGCTCACACCTGTAATCCCAGTGCTTCGTTATGCCAAGAGGGGAGGATTGCTTGAGGCCAGGAGTTTGAGATCAGCCTGGACAGTATAGTGAGACTCCATCACTACAAAAACAAGAAAAATTAGTTGGGCCTGGTGGCATGCACCTGTAGTCCTAGCTACTCTGGAGGCTGGGACAGACGGATTGCATAAGCCTGGGTGTTTGAGGTTACAGTGAGCTATGATCACAGCACTGCGCTCTATCTAATATGGGCAACAGAACAAGACTCTGTCTCAAAATAAAAACAAAAAAACCAAAAACAAAATACCTCAGAATTAATGTTTTATCTTAATAGATAGTACATTTGTGATACCAGTAGAAGATACTATGACAATTTAAGTGGAATGTAATTAGATAAGGAACAGCCATCTACTGTTTGTTTAAAAAATGCAATGAACTGCTAACAATTTTTTTTTTTTTTTTGAAATAGAGTCTCACTCTGTTGCCCAGGCTGGACTGCAGTGGTGTGATCTTGGCTCACTGCAACCTCTGCCTCCCAGGTTCAGGTGATTCTCCCGCCTCAGCCTCCCGAGTAGCTGGGATTACAGGCACCCATCATCATGCCTGGCTAATTTTTGTATTTTTGTAGAGACGGGATTTCACCATGTTGGCCAGGCTGGTCTCGAACTCCTGATCTGAGGTGATCTGCCCACCTTGGCCTCCCAAAGTGCTGGGATTACAGGCGTTGAGCCACCATGCCCGGCTGAACTGCTAACATTTTAAAAACTGAGACCTATCAGAGGGTAGAGGGTCAAAAGAGGGAGAGGATCAAGAAAAATAACTAATGGGTAATAGGCTTAATATCTGGGTGATGAAATAATCTGCACAACAGACTCCCATGACACAAATTTACCTGTGTAACAAACCTGAACATGTACCCTGAACTGAAAAGTTAAAAAAATTGAATAAGCAAATTTCATGAAAGGGATTGATTGTGCTCATGATAGATGAACTCAAAGAATAATCCTAATTTGTACAAATTATCAAATTTAGCTGTAAGTGATTTTACAGACTAGATTATCTATCATGAAAAATTATTGGTAGTTTTGTGATAATTAATAAGTTTTATAATCTTGTAAGCAACTGCATAAAACAACATTATTTTTCATTTCAACCATCGCTGATCAAAAGATACTTCAACTCTGCACTGAAGAGTGATAAATTCTTATTTTACTATGGTCCTTGGGATTCCAAAACAGGGTTTAGGTAAAATACATCATCTTTTGATCCTAAATATATGATGATCAAAAGTCTAAATTTTTTTTTTTTTACATTTTTCTTCTAAATTAGTTGTATTTGTAGATAGTTGAACAACCATACCAAAGATATGTAGATATGTGAATGGATATCAAACTTGAGGGAAGGGTTTTTGTGGAGTTAGAGAGTACTATTTGCTTAGCTCCCGATGTTTTTATTGGATGAAATATTAGATTAATTTTTTTTATCAATGACTTTAACAGGTTCTCTTTCAACACACATTTATGCCAGCATTAATGCCTTCATGTATTAACATTTTAATTCCCCCAAAATAATACTTATCATGGTCAATTACTTCTATTACATACCAGTTCATCTTACTAGTTGCTTTATTATCTTATTTAATCTTCAGAAAACTCTTATGACAATAGATATTAATATTAATATGGCAAATAAATGGATAAGATTAGTGAAGGTGGATAAAAACAGTTATAATAATAATAACAATAACAATATTATAATAAAGACAGCAGCCTAAGTTTATGGAGGACTAACTATAGGTACTGCACTAAGTGATTTGCATATATTAATTCATTTCAACTCATGATATTGATATCTTTATTCTCTTCACTTTATTATGAGGAAACTGAGACATGACACAAAGGTTAAACTTGCCTAAGGACAATAGCTAGGAAGTGATTATGTTCTGGCTTTTGTTAAGTTCTGGCTTTGGGAAACAGTAGTTCTTAAAAGTTAGTCATATTAATTAAGACATTTATTGAGAGTAGGTAGTATGATTTTGCATGTGACATTTCTGAATTTGTGAGATGAAAGTGAGATGCAGTTTTTGAACAAGATATTTTCTTTACCAGTGACCAACAGAAGTATGTTGCATCAATTTAAAATCCTCTAAATATAGGGCCGGGCGCAGTGACTCACGCCTGTAATCCCAGCACTTTGGGAGGCCGAGTCGGGGCGGATCACTTGAGGCTGTGAGTTTGAGACCAGCCTGGCCAACATGGTGAAACACCATCTCTACTAAAAAAATACAAAAATTAGCTGGGCGTGGTGGCAGGTGCCTGTAATCCTAGGGAGGCTGAGGCAGGAGAATTGCTTGAACCCAGGAGGCGGAGGTTGTAGTGAGCCGAGATTGCACCACTGCACTCCAGCCTGGGCGAGAGAGCAAGACATTGTCTCAAAAAAAAAAAAAATCCTAAAAATATAAATGAATAATTTCAACAGAAGCAAACATAATCGATGCTGGCTTGGGATATCTTATTTTATGTGACACTTATTTTCATAAATGGGTATTGATACTACCATATCACTTTATCAATTTATGATTTTTTTTGTATTTAATTGAAGACTTTTCTTAGAGAAATTGAGATATCATTTAATAGTAGTGAAAAACGTGATTTAACAATTGATCTACTTTAATAAACAGGAGCATATTGTCCTTATTGAAGCCTTATTTCTATACATGAAACGATAATTTACAAATAGAAGTGGGAACCAAGCCCTATACTTCAATTAGACAATTTTTGACGAAAATTAACCATTATTAACTCTTAAAATTTTTGTGGATATATTATTGCAAAATAGCTGCTAAACTTAAGTTTTTTTTTTAAGGTTCTAAATTAACTTACTGGCTAATGAAGACTAGAGAGACTAGAGTTGAGAAATAAGGTGTAAGTTTTTTTTAAAAAAATCGTGTCCAGCACTCATCCACTCAGTAAAAGGAAACAGTATCTAGTTAACTTAGATACTGATTTTTAATAATAAGTAGTAAAAATTATTAATGAATGCTCAGAAAGGGGAAATATCTGAAAGTATTTCCTATGTAACTCGTGTTCTAGCCAACATTGCTTTGTATTTTTTTGTCTCTAATGTCTTCATTTATGAAGTTTTGAGTCATTTTCCATAGAATAGAGATAACCTAGATTTTGTCTTTTGATTCACACAATTCAGCTACCTATACACACTGACTTTAAGTTGGTCAGTAATTTTTATATTATTGAAGTTTGTGTTCTGCTTGAAGTTCGATTACTGTAGTTCCTCATCCTTTTGCAGAGGTATCAGAGGTGGGTACCAAGCATATTTTATTTATCCATTTACTATCCTTATTACTTCAGAGCCTCAGGTTGCACCTTCAGATTACATTTTTAAAAACTATGAAAATGATAGAGTCATAAAAATGGCAATAATATACTAGTGGAAGAAAAGATTTTTGTCTTAGGGCCTTGTAGTTCACTAACTGGGATTTTCCTTAGACCAGGGCAGGTAGAATATTATAGAAAGTGAGGCCCTCGACAAAAAACAACCTATCATAAATTTCCTGAAGCATAAAACTGAGAATCAGTAACAGGAGATGATCTCAATTGCCAAGGAACATATTCAAAGAATGATGATCTTCTGAGGTAACCAGGCCTTGAAATACACTCATTTGCCCTAAGGATTTTATTAGGTGGCTTCTAGGATGAGTTCTATTTTATATGTCCAAAATAGACTCATATGTCAGAATATTTTTTTTATAATGGAATAAATGGTGAGCCACAGTTCTCAGTAAGCATTAACAATTTATCTGTAAAGCAACTGCTATTTTTGGACTGAACTATAGATGTATTGATAGATGTAAATGATGACTAAGAAGCATGATTACCTCTGTATTTGGGAATGTAATTTTAAAGCAGTGTTAAAATTCCAGGAAGTCTGTTATGTTTAATGTGCATAGATGCAAATGGAAGCATGTGGAGTAGTCAGTATTTATTTATTGAATGAATGAATCTAATGCTGACAGATAAATGGATTTTTAAAGGAAATAACTGTGAATGTAGCAGACCCCAATCCCACTTTTGTGTTTTACTTAAGATATTATTAAAGGGTTCAAAGACAAATTAAAATGTAATTTAATTTAAAGTGTAAGTGTATGCTATATAGTAGTGTGGTCTGTGAGAGGGGAGAGTATGGAATATTCTGAAAACCAGTCATGTCAGATTAGGATCTTTAATTCCAGTAAAACTGGGGATTATTGCACTAAATATACTATTTATTATACAAACTATATTTTTTTAACTAGTATATAACAAAAGTGTTTGTTTACTCATTCTTGAAACTAATCAGAAAGCAACATGTAGAGATGCGGCACTGAAACTATTTGAACCATCTAATGAAATTTGTGACTTAGGGGATCTTAAAGCAGTTTAGTGTTCTGCTATAAAGCCAGGAGTCTTAGATAGAGGCAGGGCCTTGCTTCATATTCTGCTGAATCTTCTTTTTACTTTAAGCCCTTGGTACCTGAGTAATAGCACTTTGCAAAATTCAGAGTGTGTTAGGTTCAGTAAGAGTCTGTAACCTAAATGGCTTCTTAAGGTTACTTCTATCTTTGAAATTGTCTGTGCTATATTCTCCTTGGCAAAGCAAAAAGAAAATCTACTTTTTGAAATAAATCAAGTTGACTAAATATACATAGGTAACTAATTCTCTTTTTATGTATTAAGCTAGTAGAAAAGCCTTTGTAAAGATACGTGCCACAGCCATTGTATTTTAACTCAGCAGTAAGTTATATCAGAAAGTTTTCTTTACATATAGTTGTAATTTTGAGGTATTTTTTTAAAAATCAAAAGTAAGATCATTTCTAGCAGCAGCTGTATACTTAAGAGGATACTGAGCTGATGTTTCTGTACAAAAATCGGACAGGCTTTCATTGTGGAGCATTTATGTCCAATTGTAAAGGTCTAACTTAGGAAGCAGTTGTTTCAGAGGAGGGCCATTTAATACATTATTTTAATTGCCCTAATTATACATTTTCCCCATTTCTTTTAATGAATTTGGGATGCTTTTCATAGCAAAGACTTGGAACCAACCTAAATGCCCATCAACGATAGACTGGATAAAGAAAATGTGGCACATATATACCATGGAATACTATGCAGCCATAAAAAGGATGAGTTCATGTCCTTTGCAGGGACACGGACGAAGCTGGAAACCATCATTCTCAGCAAACTAACACAGAAACAGAAAACCAAACACCAAATGTTCTCACTCATAAATGGGAGTTGAACAATGAGAATACATGGACACAGGGAGGGGAACATAACACACCAGGGCCTGTCATAGGATTGGGGGAGAGGGGAAGGATAGCATTAGGAGAAATACCTAATGTAGATGACAGGTTGATGGGTGCAGCAAACCACCATTTCACATGTATAACTGTGTAACAAACCTGCACATTCTGCATTCTGCACATGTATCCCAGAACTTAAAGTATATATATAATTCTTATCTGAAAAAAAAAAAGACACTTAATAGATTGTTGGGGGTTTCAAACTTTAGGTGGCTCTTTTTTCATGAAGAATTTCTGAGGAAGATATGTTGACTTTATAACCGAATCTAAACTTAAATATATATATATATCTTATATATATATCAAGTATATATATATATAATCAAATTTCAACTTAAAGTATATATATATATAATTCTTATCTGAAAAAAAAGACAATAGGTTGTTGGGGGTTTCAAACTTTAGGTGGCTCTTTTTTCATGAAGAATTTCTGAGGAAGATATGTTGACTTTATAATCGAATCTAAAATAAATGAAAGTGAAACCACTACTTAGAACTCTTTTCTGCCCCTTTGATTTTTTTTTTTTTGAAGCCAGTAGAAACTCCATATGTGGAGGGAGATACGTTACTTAGAACATATTACAGTAAGATTTGATCTCACAAAAGATTAAGTAGAATCTAAAATTTGAGTTTTCAAAATTATTTTATTAAGTATATTTACAATTTTATTCCTTAGTTAAAAAGATTAATTTAAAAATACTTTATGGAATGAAGGGAATTCCCATTAGCATAATTTTCTATGGAGGGCTCAAAAACAATCTTCTCATATATCCTAAAGGAATTCATTGTTGAAGTAGCAATGTAGAATCTCATGATATGAATGGCAAGCTTCAGATATTAAAATGATTGTTGAATTTTTTTGGTAGCTTGAATGAGATTGACTACTTGTCTGGATTTTTTTTTAACTGTTGGGTAAAGACTAACCATTGCATAGAGTATCATTTTTACATAAAATCATTGGCCAGAACAATGGCTTATATAGCCCCTGATATTTCATCCACTAATACCTGAAATGCTCACTATGAAAGAGACTTTATTAAAAATGCAGATGAATTATTTTGGGAAAAGGGAACAAAACATTTTCAAACTGGAATAGTGGTTCTGAACCCTGTGACTGGACTCTAAGCTCTGACTTGGTTAGATCACTTCCATCACAACTGTGTCCTTAGCATTTAGCACAGTGCCTGGCACATAAATGCCAGAAACTGATATCGCTTGTCTCTTGATTTTTCTGGGTTAGAACTATCTAGAATTTCTTCTCTCCTCAATATACTGCGAACTTAACTAAAAGTCAGCAATATTAGTATAAATATTTTGTCATTATCAGTTTATTATCTATTTTATTAAAGGATACTTATTAAATAAAGTGGCCAGGAATAATTTGTTAAAGTTTATTTCTGAATTTATGTGCTTAAGGGCAAATAATAATTTTACCTTAAAGCAAAAGGAAATAACCAAGGATTGCATTGTTAAAGGTTTTCAAAAGGGAGACATCAAAGTGTTTTAACAATATTGTTTTTGATTGCATAAATGTGATATGGGAACTTCAATAATGCTCTTCCATATGGTGCCTGCGAATTTGCTGTTTTGGATTGTTTGCTCTTAGCAAGTATAAGTCTTACGTATTTGTGATAAGCATTGAGAGAAGCTTCATGCAGTTCAAGCTAACCTCATAGGAGCCTTAGGATAGAGATTACATGTTTGTCTCAGCTACAGTTCAGAATGCATTGAAAAGACCCAGGAAGGCTGTCAAGTTGGCAATGGCACCTAAAGGCTGTCCCGATGGATGCCTGAGAAAATGCATTTTTTGGTCAGTGAATGGGAGGGTACAACAGCCTGGCAGACTAAATCTCGTCTCTATGCTCCAATTGCTCAACTTTAGCTTATTTTGAAGGAAAAGAAAAGTAGTAATCTGGAAGGGACAAGATATTTTTAGATAAGATTATTAAAATGACTATTGGCTATTCTGAAATAACATTATTAATTGTTCTCTTTCCAATAAGTATTTGTGAAGCATTTCACCCTCAGCCTTCCTTTAAGTTTTTTAGATATGAAAAAGAAGGGGAAAAATATCAATGTAACAATTATCTTAAACTCTGAAATTCTTCTCTCTGTCCACAACTTCCTTATTTTCAACTGTATTTATGCTTCTCTCTGAACATTCTTTGTATATTCTTTTTGTCTCAAGGTCCTCAATGACATCAGTCCTCTTTTATTTCTCTTGCTTTCTTACTTAGTCTTGACCTTGGCTACTTCAGCAATGCCCACAACAGTACCTAGGTTCCATGTCCCTTGGCTGTATGCTTCATGTTACACCTCTATTGCCACTTCCCAATCCTCTTTTACAATCCCCTCTGTCTTCTTTCTTTCACTCCCAGGTTTTGTGAATAAGTAATCTATAGTACCTGGACTTTTTCGTTATTTGTTCCAACTTCAACTCTTTTTCTTTTGGCTTCTACCAAAATCAAGCTATGGAAATTGCTTCCTTCTAAGTTACTAGTTACCTTACAATCACCACATCTAATGGCTTCATCTTTCTTGACCACGTTGTAACATTTGACACTACTGACTAAGCCCCTTCCTCTTGAAATTATCTCATTTTTGTCTCTGTGACACTGGTGACAAGGAATATATTTTTTATTCCCCCCTTTCTAATAGGTCATTTAACTGTTGTTCTATGGCAGTAGTTTGAACATCTCCCCTAACTCAGAGTCCTTGCAGGAGGGTTGGAGGTCAACCTATGTAAATCAAGATGAATCCAGAGAGGAGGCATGGGGCTGAAAATGAGAATCTGAATCAAGAGTCATGAATATAGAGCTGATCGTAGGGGATCTTGGGAAATTACCTCCAATAAAGCAGAAGTGCCCCCAGCTTTCCATTTTGACAGCAGGCATCCTGATAAGTCAGACTGACTTAAAAACACATGGTTGGAATCTGGCAACAAGAAACTTGGAGGCTGAGGATGGATTCCATGTCTCCCTCTGTCTACCTTATGAACCTATCAACCGATCCTGGCTTCCATAATCACTCAGCAGTTGGGAGAGAGGCTGCAGGAGCACACCTTGGGTGTTTCTGAGGTGGGATGCCAACTTCGAAAAATGTTTCTTCAAATCATACTTCTTTGATCACGCAGGGTATTGGAATTAACCTTACTGCCAGAGGTATCTAGTACCTTTTCCTCCATGTATTATACCTTGGGTCCTTGGGGATGGCTGAGAGAGGTGCACATGGTGATACGTGTAGAGGGTAGTGGTGGGAAGCAAGAGGGGCTCTGCACTAAGGAAAGTAATTGTCAGTAGAAGGTGAAGAATGTTAAGTTGTGACTTTAGATTGGGCTGTGAAATAGTCAGCGTTTTTAGCAGTTTGTCTGAATCTCCCCTCCAGAGGGGTATTAGGCTAGCTGTGCTAGGATATTAGCCAGGTTGCTTGTGTGCTGTTAGGTTCCTGAATCTGGGATTCCTGTTCAAGTTAGCAGGGAGTACTCAAAATCAGAGAGATAGAACAAGTCAGAATCCATTAAGGAAAGCTGAGTTTTAAACACCAGGAAGTGTCCAAAGAATTGGAGGGAGTGATGGTGTCAAGAGTTTGAAGTTAGGCAGAAGTAAGACTGCAGTGAGATTAGGTGGGGATAAAGTGAGGAGGATCCTAAGCGATTACCCTCACTAATTTCAAGTATGCTGGAACTTCTTTGCAGTTGATGGATGGATGGTATTTGACTGTGTCAAGAGGTTTGAGGGGTTAGGCAAAGCTAAGAGGTAGTATGAACATGTAGGTAGAAGAACCAGATGGAATCTGTAATTTTCATGCTTTCTTCTGGCCTTTGTCCTTGTCTATGTATTCTTTGTGCTAGTCTCTTGCTTGCTAGAGGTTATCTGCTGAGTCTTCCTGGATGGTATATAGCTGTTGCAGGGATTGTTTGGTAGCTACGGGTGACAGCTCTGCCCAGAGGTTCTGGGAAGCAGCTGAGTGGAAGCTGTAGTGTCTAGGGTTATATCTCTCCTAATCAGCTGCTCGTTCCTTCAGTGTAAGATCCATAGCTTATTTATCTTTGCAGCACTTTCCCAGGGGATGATTTTGAATGAATGACATACTGGAAGGTGTATTATAAAGAACAATGAAATTTTACTCTGTAGAAAGGCTTTTTGTGAACATAACCAATGTGACATTATTGCTCTACAATGGGCATTTTATGAAATAATGAAGAAAAAATTCAGAATATACATACATGCATCTGCTCCAAGGTATATTAAAAATGAAATTTTAATTGCCGTTTATCCCAAAGGACCAAAAGTGTCTTATTGGACACAAGATCTTTTTAAATAAAAGTCGATCCACCTTCCATACTGGAACTTTTACATATAAGATGATGTAGTTTAGTGTTCTTTTAAAAAATAATAAACGAATGTTTCAGGAAACCTGTGATAGACTGAATCAGGTGGAACTGATTTAATGTTATGGATAATTACATAATTAGTGATGTAAAAAATAAACCATACTATCTACTTGATGGACTGGAGCTGCTGTGAAGGAGGTACATAATTATATAATCAGCATCCTCCTCCTGTGCTGATTCTAGGTAATACTTTTTCTGACTTGTCTGAGAAGGGATCTCCTGTCTTATATTTCTTGATGTTATTTAAGTGAAGAGAGCTGAGTGTTCAGTAATTCTCAATTCATGAGCTAGGTCTATGTGAGAGCATCCACTGAACCCAATGACTTTCAAACTTTTTAAATATAAACCCATAATAAGAAATACATTTTACATTAAGACCTAGAACACTCCACACATGCATACCTGAAACCAAGGTTCATGAAACAATTCTTACTCTTTCTGATCTATTCTACTCAATCTACCCTGCGCTATTTTGTTTTTTAAAAATGCTGGTCAAGGCCCAGCAATTGATTTCAGAACTTACTAATGGCTCATGAGTCACATTTTGAAAATACAACCTTTGACCCTTAGTGGTTGCTAACATCAGCAGAAGGGATTTGGAAGGTAACATATGGGTCTGCCAGGGGCTTTGTGTAGCAGGTGGTGTGGCATGGTTGAAAGAACAAGGGCTTTAAAATTAGGGAAATTTGGTTTTACATCCCTGCTTTCCCTCCTTCTGTGTGACTTTGAAAATATTACTGAACCTCTTAAAGCCACAAATCTCTTATCTAGAAAATGGGATCCCAAATACAGGAGTTGGGAGGTTGGGAACTGGGAGCTGTATGTAAGCATGTATGGGTGTGGATGTGTGTATTAAATATCATGAAGTAAAACAGTTGGCTAATGCTGTGAAAGTAAAACACATATGTGGTAGGTGCTTCATTAAGTTTAATTTGCTCTCCACATCTTTCTCAACTACAGACACCTCAATTGGAGAAAGATGTCATTACAATCCCTACCTCGCAGGGTGGCTATGAGGATCAAATAAGATGGTGGGAGCCAAAGGTTTACAAATGTTCACTTTTATTAGAGTAACCTTAAGGCAGCTTTACTGTTTCAGAATAAATCTTTGTGTGAGTAGAATGGTGAGTCCTGCAAATGGTAAGTGACAAAACTAGAAAACAAAACTGGTTTTGAAATTCTGTATCATAACTGTTAGTAGCAAGACTTGTTTGGAGATACAGTGGTACTATGTGTTGACACTGAAATGCTGCTCCCAAAACTGTTGAAGGATGATTTATAGTGTTTATAGTGCCTATTATAAATCACAATATACATTTGAAGTTCCATATTCCATTCTATATAAAATTATTCCACAAAGAACTTTGCTTCATCAAGACCTGGAAAATGAACACGAAGACAACTAATTACCCTTTTGTATAAAATTTCTGTCAATTTTTCTTTACCCAAAGTAGAATACAGTATAATAATTTAATTGTAAGACTTAGAAAAACGTAAACGCCATCTCACAATGTGAAAACTTGGGATGGTGGGGGAGCTTTCTATTGTACTTTTTTATATTTTTATAAAACCCCTTTTTTCTTTAAATATGTTATAGTTTTTACAACTTCTGCAATAGTTTATGACTTTGAAATGCTAGTTCCTTTCTAGTTTTAATTTTGGACTTTTTTTGCCTGAAAGGACATTTTTTGGTTTTGTTACTATCTGTGCTCCTTTCTTTCATTCATCTTTTCTTTGGTATTCTACTGAGATTGTGATTATTTAGTGGTAACCTGGGCTTTGTTGGTTATGTGGAAGGGACATAAATCAGCCAAGGCAGGTATGAGGCAATGACAGCTACAAAGCATCTTCTCCATATCTCTTATTCTCCACGGTACCTAATCTCTGGTTGCTCCAAAATGATTCATTCTCACTTTAAGCATATGTTGGTTGATTGCACTTAATTTTTATGCCATTTCTAAGTTTCCAGTCCCTTAACTTGAATTAGAAAATCACCTAACACTTTATGTTAAGTTTGAGTCACACTTAGCGATAGTCAGGAGAAAGGACCTGGCTCCTTTAAGACAGAAGCACCTTTTTTCTCTGCCAGAAAGCTCATTGTAAAACTGAAGGACTTAACCAAAAAGGGTTTCAATGTAAATTGAATATTGATAGAGAAGGGAGGTTAATTGGCCTTAGTTACTTGGTTGCTAAGGTAGCATTTTCCTGATTGGGAGGAGAAACCCTCCTGGGTGTTGCACAGCTTCTTGTGGACCTAAGATGCTTTGTTTTATCTCTTGCTTTCTGTTTCTGAGTTGGAAGAGGAAAGAGCAGAAAGATATCATAGGAATGAAAAGCTGCATGAAGCAGATGGTTAGGCTCTCTCTTCGTTACAGAAAGAGAGAGAGCTAAATACTGACTAGCAACAAGCCAGTGCCAGCAAGGACTCTTTGTTTAAGGCAGACGGTTGGAAAATACCATAAGGGCAAGATATAAAGAGCTTGCTGGGAGGACATAGAGAGGTTAGACCAGAGTGTTTTCAGTGCCTGAAACATGTAGGCAAGAGAAATCAAAGGCTATTTTGAATGGCATCCAACATCTGTGTGAAATCATGGGGTTAAAATGTTTTCAATATGGTTAGATTTATTAAGAAAAATTATTTAGTTTGTATTTAGTTGTTTGTGTTTTGCAGGTTTTATACTATATTGTATGTTTAGCTAATTTAGAATTTGTTAATCTATAACTATTTCAACAAAATGTTATAAATATCTCATGTTATTGCATAGTTCATCACTTAATAATGAAAGTAACTTTGGAGTAAATAAATTACAAATTTTTATTGAAATATTTTTTCAAAGCAAAAATGTCTGTGTAGGTCAGGTGCGCTGGCTCATGCCTGTAATCCCAGCACTTTGGCAGGCTGAGGCAGGTAGATCACTTGAGGTTAGGAATTCGAGGCCAGCCTGGCCAACATAGTGATATGCTGTCTCACTAAAAATACAAAAATTAGCCAGGTGTGGTGGTGTGCACCAGTAATTTCAGCTACTCGGGAGGCTGAGGCAGGAGAATCACTTGAACCTGGGAAGCAGACATTGCAGTGAGCTGAGATCACACCACTGGACTCCAGCCTGGACGACAGAGCAAGACTCCATGTCCAACAATAACAACAACAACAACAACAAAACAACAGCAACAACAAAAAGTCTTTATAGATTGTCTATTCATATATGCTAGGCTCTCTGATTATACTTAAGTAGTTTGTAAAGTTAGTATTTCCACATACTGAATGATACTCCATTAACCCTAGGAGTTAGTGCCGATACTTATATTTTGCTTAATTTCATTTTTTTCCTTACTGATTCCTTCAACAAACATGTTTTTGGCTATCTTTTGAGCATCGGGTACCGTGCTGAAGGATACAGGCATAAAACACTAGGAAATAGTGACACACTTCTCAGGAGAGTTTGGAAAATACAAGTATTTTTACTGGTATTTTCTGATTTGTAATAAGTTTCTTAGGTCTTCTTCATTATGGGTATTGAATGTTATTATTTGTACTGAATCTTATTTAAAATTTTAATGGCAATTTTAATTGTAAAATCTTTTCAACAGTATTATTATTTTTGTGGACATATACTTAAAGAGAAGACTAGAATTTCTTGACTCCTCCTAAAACCTTGGAATGTCATAGGAGAATACAGAAATCCTCCTTGGTAACTTTTCTTCAATTTACCTTAGGTTTCATGGCCATGTAGTTCTTGTGTTGTGAGTGTAGCAGGAGGATCTCAGACAAAAAGCAAATGTGGTAATACTTTTGAGGGCCTCTGATTATAGTAATATTCTCAGGAAAGCTAGTTTAACATGGAATTATTTAAGTGTAGCCAGAGAGCTTAGTAAATGTAATGATGGTCATCAGTGATATACTAGAAGTCAGATAATATTATCAAGTAAAAAAATTCATAGAATAGTAGACTAAATTGGACTCCCTCAATTGTATAGTAGTAGGATAATATGTTAAATATGTGAAGAGTACTCAGTGGTCCTTTTTCCTTATAAATATTGAGATACAGGTACATTCTGGTTGTTTAAAAAAATTGTATGCTAAATCCACATTTTCAGATCGCCTAATTCTAATCTTGCTTTACAATCCATTGGTTTAGGCTTTTGGTAGCCATTGTAATTTGGATTGCCTTTCAAAGATTTGAGGTTTGGTAAATGATAGGTGTCTTCAGGGAGAAGGGAGAACAATAATTTTGAGATCCAGCTGGGCATGGTGGCTCACGCCTGTAATTCCAGCACTTTGGGAGTTCGAGGCAGGCGACGCTTCAGCTCAGGAGTTCGAGACCAGCCTGGGCAACATGGCAAAACCCCATCTCTATTTTAAAAATACAAAACTAGCCAGGCATAGTGGCGTACGCCTGTAGTCCCAGCTACACGAGAGGCTGAGGTAGGAGGATCACTTGGATCCAGGAGGCAGAGATTGCAGTGAGCAGTGCAGTGAGATCATACCATTGCACTCCAAGCCTTGGTGACAGAGCAAGACCATCTCAAAAAAACTTCACTGAAAAACAAAAAAATAGACTAACAAAATATAAGATTCAGTGTTAAAAGGTAAATATTTTATAGAGATTTTGAGCAGAATCATGAATAAATGAGAGAAACTAGCATTTGTAATAATAATATTTTGTGGGTTTTTGGATGTCCTGTTTAACTCAGTATCCATTACTTTATAAGTGTATTGCTTATTTTTTTGTAGCTGTAAAAGAGACTATGCTGAGCTCAGATTAAAAAATTTTTTTTTTTTCAGAACTCAACTGCTTCTATTAAGATATGAAGCTCAGCTAGTAAACTCATTAAGTAAAGACCCTAGGCAGTTCTCCAGTGCTGAGCCTGAAAGCGCGGTAGTGCAGACGTCTTTGCATCACCGTCATGAATGACCTTGAAGAAAGCCAGCACTTTATAAAGCAAAATCCTGTCTGTGGCACTTCGTTCTGATTTGATTGATGCTTTAGAAAAAGCTGTAAGATTTTCTTTTCTTTATAATGTGGGGTATATATTCTTTATACTTCATAGATTTTGCACTTGTCTGGAGTATTTTGTTGGCAGGTTCTTATAGGTTCTGATCTTTCACTGACTGTAGTACAAGTAAGGGATGAAATCACTCTCGTTTGATCAATTATTATTAGGGAGTAAGGTCTTAGTGCATTGGGATCATGGTTTTTAACGATGGAAAAATACTGACTTTCTAACTTAAGTGTAATATGGTCATTTTTCTTCGATTATAATTTTTCAGACATCTCAGTTGATTGAAGGTTCTTTAATACTGAGATTCTATGATTTATATTTTACAGAGGATATACATTCTTGTCTGGCCACTATCCCACGTACTTTCTTGGATGGTTAGTTCCCCTCTTTTTAGTTTTTTCCTTTCATATGCAGTAAAGGCTTTTAGTACACATTTTTGTATCCAAAGAAGACACCAGAAGTCTGAGAAGATAAAATGATTATTTTACCTGATTGGAGTTACTTGGGCATTTCCTGCAAAAGAAGCTATCAGACAAAGGCACAATCATTCCTATGACTGCTGTAACACTCCTATAGGAAAAGTGGGGAAAGCTTCAGCATTTTGGCTCTGGAAAATGTGTGTGCCAGGTGTGGTGGCACGCGCCTATAGTCCCAGCTACTCAGGAGGCTGAGGCAGGAGGATTGATAAGTCTAGGAGTTCTGGAATGTAGTGCACTATGTCAACTGGGTGTCTTTGCTAAGTTTGGCATCAATATGGTGACCTCTCGGGAGCAGGGGACCACTAGGTTACATAAGGAGGGGTGAACTGGCCCAGATTGGAAATGGAGCAGGTCAAAACTCCCATGCTAACCAGTAGTGAGATGGAGCCTGTGAATGGCCACTGCATTCCAGCCTGGGTGACATAGTGAGACCCTTCCTCTAAAAAAGAAAAAAGAAACTTTTAATAAACAAACCAAAAAAAGAAAGTGTGTATGAGCTGTATTGGGCCACTGGGGCTAGGTGTTTAGGGATTAACACAGGCATTGCAGTGAGGTAAAGGTGGAGTGCATATCAATTGTAACCTGGTGAATTGCAGAGGCTATTTAGAGTCCCCCCTCTACCAAGGAGCTGTGGCAGCCAGTGAATTCAAACTCCAGTATCATACCTCCATTGTTCAGGATCTGAACTTATTGCTTCTGATCTATGCATGCTAATGGGACTCTGAATTTTGCTTCTTGTTTAGCCCTCTTTTCTGCTTTTATGTGTACTTTGTCTAGTCTGAGTCTCCATGTGTTTCTAACCTCATTCTTGTAGTTTCATTCAGATTCTTCATCTGTCTCCCTTGGTGTCATTATTTGGTTTGATGCTCTTTGGTTATATCTGGGCAAAGCCAATTGTATTAGTCCATTTTCATGCTGCTGATAGAGATATACCCGAGACTAGGAAGGAAAAGAGGTTTAATGCACTTACAATTCCACATGGCTAGGGAGGCCTCACAATCATGGCAGAAGGCAAGGGGAACAAGTCACATCTTACATGGATGGCAGCAGGCAAAGAGAGAGAGAGCACTTGTTCAGGGAAACTTTTTTTTTTTTTTATATACTTTAAGTTCTAGGGTACATGTGCACAACATGCAGGTTTGTTACATATGTATACATATGCCATGTTGGTGTGCTGCACCCATTAACTCATCATTTACATTAGGTATATCTCCTAGTGCTATCCCTCCCCAATCCCCCACCCCACGACAGGCCCCAGTGTGTGATGTTCCCTTTCCTGTGTCCAAGTGTTCTCATTGTTCAATTCCCACCTATGAGTGAGAACATGCGGTGTTTGTTTTTTTTTCCCTGTGATAGTTTGCTGAGAATGATGGTTTCCAGTTTCATCCATGTCCCTACAAAGGACGTGAACTCATCCTTTTTTATGGCTGCATAGTAATCCATGGTGTATATGTGCCACATTTTCTTAATCCAGTCTATCACTGATAGACATTTGGGTTGGTTCCAAGTCTTTGCTATTGTGAATAGTGCCGTAATAAACATATGTGTGCATGTGTCTTTATAGCAGCATGATTTATAATCCTTTGGGTATATACCCAGTAATGGGATAGCTGGGTCAAATGGTATTTCTAGTTCTAGATCCTTGAGGAATCGCCACACTGTCTTCCACAATGGTTGAACCAGTTTACAGTCCCACCAACAGTGTAAAAGCATTCCTAATTCTCCATATCCTCTCCAGCACCTGTTGTTTCCTGACTTTTTAATGATTACCATTCTAACTGGTGTGAGATGGTATCTCATTGTGGTTTTGATTTGCATTTATCTGATGGCCAGTGATGATGAGCATTTTTTCATGTGTCTGTTGGCTGCATAAATGTCTTCTTTTGAGAAGCATCTGTTCATACCCTTCTCCCACTTTTTGATGGGGTTGTTTTTTTCTTGTAAATTTGTTTGAGTTCTTTGTAGATTCTGGATATTAGCCCTTTGTCAGATGAGTAGATTGCAAAAATTTTCTCCCATTTTGTAGGTTGCCTGTTGACTCCGATGGTAGTTTCTTTTGTTGTGCAGAAGCTCTTTAGTTGAATTAGATCCCATTTGTCTATTTTGGCTTTTGTTGCCATTGCTTTTGGTGTTTTAGACATGAAGTCCTTGCCCATGCCTATGTCCTGAATAGTATTGCCTAGGTTTTCTTCTAGGGTTTTTATGGTTTTAGGTCTAACATTTAAGTCTTTAATTCATCTTGAATTACTTTTTGTATAAGGTGTAAGGAAGGGATCCACTTTCAGCTTTCCATATATGGCTAGCCAGTTTTCCCAGCACCATTTATTAAATAGGAAATCCTTTCCCCATTGCTTGTTTTTCTCAGGTTTGTCAAAGATCAGATGGTTGTAGATGTGTGGCATTATTTCTGAGGGCTCTATTCTGTTCCATTGGTCTATATCTCTGTTTTGGTACCAGTACCATGCTGTTTTGGTTACTGTAGCCTTGTAGTATAGTTTGAAGTCAGGTAGCATGATGCCTTCAGCTTTGTCCTTTTGGCTTAGGATTGTCTTGGCAGTGTGGGCTCTTTTTTGTTCCGTATGAACTTTAAGGTAGTTTTTTCCAATTCTGTGAAGAAAGTCATTGGTAGCTTGATGGGGATGGCACTGAATCTATAAATTACCTTGGGCAGTATGGCCATTGTCACAATATTGATTCTTCCTGTCCATGAGCATGGAGTGTTCTTCCACTTGTTTGTGTCCTCTCTTACTTCCTTGAGCAGTGGTTTGTAGTTCTCCTTGAAGAGGTCCTTCACATCCCTTGTAAGTTGGATTCCTAGGTATTTTATTCTCTTTGAAGCAATTGTGAATGGGAGTTCACTCATGATTTGGCTGATTGTCTGTTGTTGGTGTATAAGAATGCTTGTGATTTTTGCACATTGATTTTGTATCCTGAGACTTTGCTGAAGTTGCTTATCAGCTTAAGGAGATTTTGGGCTGAGATGATGAGGTTTTCTAAATATACAATCATGTTATCTGCAAACAGGGACAATTTGACTTCCTCTTTTCCTAATTGAATACCCTTTATTTCTTTCTCTTGCCTGATTGCCCTGGCCAGAACTTCCAACACTGTGTTGAATAGGAGTGGTGAGAGAGGGCATCCCTGTCTTGTGCCAGTTTTCAAAGGGAATGCTTCCAGTTTTTGCCCATCCAGTATGATATTGGCTGTGGGTTTGTCATAAATAGCTCTTATTATTTTGCAATATGTCCCATGAATACCTAATTTATTGAGAGTTTTTAGCATGAAGGCTGTTGAATTTTGTCAAAGGCCTTTTCTGCATCTATTGAGATAATCATGTGGTTTTTGTCTTTGGTTCTGTTTATATGCTGGATTACGTTTATTGATTTGCGTATGTTGAACCAGCCTTACATACCAGGGATGAAACCCACTTGATCATGGTGGATAAGCTTTTGGATGTGCTGCTGGATTCGGTTTGCCAGTATTTTATTAAGGATTTTTGCATCGATGTTCATCAGGGATATTGGTCTAAAATTCTCTTTTTTTGTTGTGTCTCTGCCAGGCCTTGGTATCAGGATGATGTTGGCCTCATAAAATGAGTTAGGGAGGATTCTGTCTTTTTCTGTTGATTGGAATAGTTTCAGAAGGAATGGTACCAGTTCCTCCTTGTACCTCTGGTAGAATTCAGCTGTGAATCCATCTGGTCCTGGACTTGGAAACTTCTGTTTTTAAAACCATCAGGTCTCATGAGACTCTTTCATTATCACAAGAACAGTGCAGGAAAGACCTGCCTCCATAATTCAGTTACCTTCCACTGGGTTCCTCCCATGACACATGGGAATTGTGGGAGTTACAATTCCAGATGAGATTTGGGGGGGGGGACACAGCCAAACCATTTCAGCAATCATTCAGTTTTCTTGATAGACTTTAGCTCCTGCCCTCTAAACATCTGTCATATGAAGATAAAAGGGTAAAATCAGACTGGCTTTTTTCCTAGACACCTTGGCCACAATGATTTATAACAATTCATATATTCTGGAGTTCAGTGTGAGAAAGTTGTTGAAATATGAGAAGAGTAATTCAGAAATACCTAAACACCTACTTTCTTATATCTTCAAAATTTGTTAAACCCAGAAATATCTCAGTAAATAGGCACTTAGGCTCAGTTTCTTTTTCTTTCAATTACTTGATTAACGTAATGTCTCATGGGCAGCTTCATTTTAAAGACCCTCTTGAGAGTCTTTGAACTTGGTTAATTTATTCTAAATCCTTCTTATATTTTGTGGCTGATGGACTTTGAGATTTTTTTCCCTTTTTAAAGTATACTACAAATACATTGACACTAAAACAAATTCTCAGACATTTATCCAACTGTTAGTAATGTTTCTTTTTTTTTTTAACTGAACTAAAATGGTTAGAAATTCATTCACTTTCATGAAATAGAAACCATATCAGGAAATATGGAAGACTGGTGTTTTAGTAAATAGAGATATATTTATAATTTTTCCAGATAATTCCAATCATGGTTGTCTTAGAAACTATGTTTGTAAACTAGATAAACAACTATAGTAGAAAATTAAAAAATACTGGGGGGAAGGTTCCAACATGGCCGAATAGGAGCAGCTCCATTCTGCAGCTCCCAGCGTGAGCGACACAGAAGATGGGTGATTTCTGCATTTCCAACTGAGGTACCGGGTTCATCTCACTGGGGCTTGTCAGACAGTGGGTGCAGCCCATGGAGCAGGGCGAGGCATCGCCTCACCCGGGAAGCACAAGGGGTTGGGGAATTCCCTTTCCTAGCAAAGGGAAGCTGTGACAGATGGTACCTGGAAAAATGGGAGACTCCAACCCTAATACTGTGCTTTTCCAAGGGTCTTAGCAAACGGCACACCAGGAGATTATATCCTGTGCCTGGCTCGTAGAATCCCACCCCTACGGAGCCTCACTCACTGCTAGCACAGTAGTCTGAGATCAAACTGCAAGGCAGCAGTGAGGCTGGGGGAGGGGCATCCACCATTGCTGAGGCTTGCGTAGGTAAACAAAGTGGCCGGGAAGCTCGAACTGGGTGGAGCCCACTGCAGCTCAAGGAGGCCTGCCTGCCTCTGTAGACTCCACTTCTGGGGGAAGGGCATAGCTGAACAAAAGGTAGCAGAAACTTGTGCAGACTTAAACATGCCTGTCTGACAGCTTTGAAGAGAGTAGTGGTCCTCCCAGCACAGAGTTTGAGATCTGAGAACGGACAGACTGCCTCCTCAAGTGGGTCCCTGACCCCTGAGTAGCCTAACTGGGAGACACCTCCCAGTAGGGGCCAACTGACCCCTCATACAACTGGGTGCCCCTCTGACACGAAGCTTCCAGAGGAAGGATCAGGCAGCAACGTCTGCCGTTCTGCAATATTTGCTGTTCTGCAGCCTCCACTGCCAGGCCAACAGGGTCTGGAGTGGACCTCCAGAAAACTCCAACAGACCTGCAGTTGAGGGTCCTGACTGTTAGAAGGAAAATGAACAAACAGAAAGGACATCCACACCAAAACCCCATCTGTATGTCACCATCATCAAAGACCAAAGGTAGATAAAACCACAAAGATGCAGAGAAACAAGAGCAGAAAAGCTGAAAATTCTAAAAATCAGAACACCTCTTCTCCTCCAAAGGAATGCAGCTCCTTGCCAGCAACGGAACAAAGCTGGATGGAGAATGACTATGACGCGTTGAGAGAAGAAGGCTTCAGACGATCGGTAATAACAGACTTCTCTGAGCTAAAAGAGGATGTTCGAACCCATCACAAAGAAGCTAAAAACCTGGAAAAAAGATTAGACGAATGGCTAACTAGAATAAACAGTGTAGAGAAATCCTTAAATGACCTGATGGACCTGAAAACCATGGCACGAGAGCTACGTGATGCATGCACAAGCTTCAGTAGCCAATCTGATCAAGTGGAAGAAAGGGTATCAGTGATTGAAGATCAAATGAATTAAATGAAGCAAGAAGAGAAGTTTAGAGTAAAAAGAGTAAAAAGAAACAAACAAAGCCTCCAAGAAATATGGAACTATGTGAAAATACCAAATCTACGTCTGATTGGTGTACCTGAAAGTGACAGGGAGAATGGAACCAAGTTGGGAAACACTCTTCAGGATATTATCCAGGAGAACTTCCCCAACCTAGCAAGGCAGGCCAACATTCAAATTGAGGAAATACAAAGAACGCCACAAAGATACTCATCAAGAAGAGCAACTCCAAGACACATCATTGTCAGATTCACCAAAGTTGAAATGAAGGAAAAAATGTTAAGGGCAGCCAGAGAGAAAGGTCGGGTTACCCACAAAGGGAAGCCCATCAGACTAACAGCGGATCTCTCGGCAGAAACTCTACAAGCCAGAAGAGAGTGGGGGACGGTATTCAACATTCTTAAAGAAAAGAATTTTCAACCCAGAATTTCATATCCAGCCAAACTAAGCTTCATAAGTGAAGGAGAAATAAAATCCATTACAGACAAGCAAATGTTGAGAGATTTTGTCACCACCAGGCCTGCCTTACAAGAGCCCCTGAAGGAAGCATTAAACATGGAAAGGAACAACGGTACCAGCCACTGCCAAAACATGCCAAATTGTAAAGACCATCAATGCTAGGAAGAAACTGCATCAACTAACGAGCAAAATAACCAGCTAACATCATAATGACAGGATCAAATTCACACAGAACAATATTAACCTTAAATGTAAATGGGCTAAATGCTCCAATTAAAAGACACAGACTGGCAAATTGGATAAAGAATCAAGACCCATTAGTGTGCTGTATTCAGGAGACCCATCTCACGTGCAGAGACACACATAGGCTCAAAATAAAGGGATGGAGGCAGATCTACCAAGCAAATGGAAAACAAAAAAAAGCAGGGGTTGCAATCCTAGTCTCTGATAAAACAGACTTTGAACTAACAAAGATCAAAAGAGACAAAGAAGGCCATTACTTAATGGTAAAGGGATCAATTCAACAAGAAGAGCTAACACTCCTATATATATATGCACCCAATACAGGAGCACCCAGATTCATAAAGCAAGTTCTTAGAGACCTACAAAGAGACTTAGACTCCCACACAATAATAATGGGAGACTTTAACACCCCACTGTCAACATTAGACAGATCAATGAGACAGAAAGTCAACAAGGATATCCTTGTTGAACAATATCCTTGATGAACATGGAGGCCTGTCATGGGATCGGGGGAGGGGGGAGGGATAGCATTAGGAGATATACCTAATGTAAATGACAACATAACGGGTGCAGCACACCAACATGGCACGTGTATACATATGTAACAAACCTGCACCTTGTGTCCATGTACCCTAGAACTTAAAGTATAACAAAAAAAAAAGAAAATTAAAAAATACTAATGATACATGTAGAATATAGAATTGCAATAGGTACTCACTAAATTTACAAAAGTGTTATTCTATTAAGTTAGTAAAAAATGGGTATTTGCACACACTAGGTACAAAGTTTAAACAAGGCTTTTAGAGGAGGTTTTTCTATTTTTATTGAAAAGCTGTATTAAAGGACTATTTTACTTATTTCTAATTATCCCCTATTAGACCCTCAAAATACATTTAAAAGTCAAGTTATTTTATTTTTATTTGTGAATTGATTGTGGGTTTATTACAGTATACATTTTGGAATAATAATGGATTACAATAGATAATATTGAATTAAAACAAGAACTTAAGAATTTTAAATAAACATGTCAGTAGATGTCAAATTTAAAGTCTTGTATTTAAAAAATTCTTAACTGGGTCAATGATAGATTCAGTAAAAGGTGTTTGATTGACTTTTTCACCAAATTACCATTTCCCATTATTTACTAATTAAATTCTCAACCTTTATTGAATAAATACTGTATTCTTAGTATAGAGAAAAAATAATCAAGACATTATCCTTACTTTCAAAAAATGTTTTAAAAGCTACATATTTTAATAAACAATTGAGTGGATTCTACAAAGAGAAAATGTTTTCTGGTTACTGTTATTAATAAGCCAATCATAATTTATAATGAAATAATGGAATAAAATTTAAAATTACAATAAAATTAACAAAATAATACCATGAAAACAATAACAATAGCCAAGTAAATTAGTATAGTAATAGCTTTAGGGATATATTTGGCACCTCAGTTGGGATGAGTGGACTAGTTGGGACTGACAGGGCATCTCTCTTTCTCTCTACCCCTACATGGCCTCTCTACATGGCTATCTTAACTTTCTTCCAGCCAGTTTGAGAATATGGCTTTTTCAGGATAGTTGGACTTCTTAGCTGTGGTCTTCATTCTCTAGAGCACATAGTTCAAGAGACCAACATGGCAGCTGAAGGGCTTCTTATAACCTGTCCTTGGAAATCATGCATTCTCTTGGTCAAAGTGAGTCTCAGGACCAGCCAAGATTCAAAGGCAGGAAACCACACAAGTGCATGTGTATCTGGTTTGTTGGTAGAAGTGGGGGAGAGAATGAGGGGAGGCATCTTAAGAAATTAGCTATCACAGTGTATAATATTCCTTCATAAGTACATAATCATTTCACTGGATATTTCGTAAACATCAGTGTACTTCTAAAATTAAAATTCACATTAATTTTATGAGTAAAAATATTTTATAGCCAAAATATGCTTTCATCTGTATATTTGTAAGAGTTTTAGAGTCTAGATCGTATTTTGTTACAATGAGAAAAATGTCTTTTCAAAATAATTGCCTTAATGTTTTCATTTGAGTTCATGTTGAGTATCCACTGGGTGCAGGATATTGTCCAAGTCATTAGAGGAAAGATTCAGGGAATTATAAGAGCTTTTGACCTGGAACTCAATAAAATGTTAGTGTTTTAGACAGGGTTTATGCATCAAAAGTCAAATGGCAATTCACAGCAATGACATAAATTTTCAAGGAAAGGAGAAATAAACATGGTTTGAAATAATTTAGGAAGGCTTTGTAATAGAATTGAAACTAAGCTAAAGACTGAAGGATGGGTTATATTTTGAGTGATGCAACTTGAGTATATTGAGTAGAAGTACTCAATATATTGAAAAGTGCTATGTAATAATGGAAATTATTATTAATTGGGCTTAGGGGAATTATTATTAATTGGGCTTAGGGGATCTGTCTGAATGGAACAGATCCACATAAGCTATGGCTAGATGGTGGAGAGCTTTTGTAGGTGGCATCTGTGGCTTTTCCCTGTGTAGCACTCATTTTCTACTTTTCTGACTGTGTATTTCTATATTGTCACTTATTAATTCAGCAAATATTACTGACTTCATATAATACTCTAGATACTGTTCTATGTGCTGGTGATATAGTGGTGAACCTGACTGTCAAAGCCCTGCTCTCAGAATCTTCCCCTATCCACCCCAACTGGACACTAGTTTGATAGGACAGTTAATCAAAATACTTTGCCTTCCTCTGGCCCAGGGTGAGCACATGACTAACTTTAGAGTGGTACAGGGCTGATATCCTTAAAAATTTGCTGAGAGGGTAGATCTTATGTTAAGGATGATGATAATGATATCATCATTATAAATAAAGAGGGCAGGAAGAAACTTTTGCAGGTGATAGATAGGTTTGTGACATAGATTGTGGTGATGGTTTTATGGGTGTATACTTATTTCCAAACTTATCAAGTTGTAAAATATGTACAGCTTTTTGTTTACCAATTATACCTTAAGAAAGTGATTTAGAAACAAAAATAAGGAAGCAAAGAGATAAATAAATAAAAAGAAAGAAAATGGTTGGTGTTGACTCATTTCAGTGGTGTTGCCCTGAAGAGTATATTAGCTTTTTCCACTCACTTTCCCAGAGCTAACATGGTTCCTTCTTCGGGCATACTTTTTTAGTTTTTCTTTAAATTTTGGGATCTACCACTCATCTTTTAAATAAACTTTTTTTTTTCTGCTTAAGTTAGCCCCAGAATCAGTTTCTATTGCTTATAGACAATAAGCCTTAATATGGTATTATATGACTATTTCTTCTTCTGGGAGATATGAACTATATTAGGTAATCAGTAAGACTCTTCACAGATTTTGGATACAGAGAGAGTTATTTTAAAGAAGACTTGGATATGTATTGATAGGTTAGAGAAGGGAAAAATTGCAATTAGACTGACAAATTAGAAAATTGTTGAAATACCCAGGTATAAATAGTAATAAATAATTGAATTAAGGTGATTGCAGGGGAAGAAAGAAGTGATGAGGAAAAGCAGAGCTGGGACTAGGGTGAGGCAAGAGAGACACACTCAACTAGAGTGCGTTCCTCCTTACATATTGTGCTGTAGGTGAGTCTCTTACCTCATCCTAGTCCCAGCCCTGGAGATGACATTTAAAGAAAAAATTGAAAGGCTTCGTGTGACTGATTGGATATAGAAAGTAATCGTAATTATAATGAGACCTAACACAATGTGTAAGTACTATTCTCAGCACCTCTGCCTTCAACTCAAAATACCCATGTGGGGTAAGCTTTCTTCTCTCCATTGTCCTGTTGAGTACCCTAAGGGAAGCACAGTTAGAGGGCTAGGTCACTTAGGTAGTAAGGGAAAGAGCTGGAGTACAAGAAATTAGATAGACGGATTTAATGTAATTCCTATCAAAGTCTAATAAAATTCATTGTAGATGTAAACAATATTGTCCTAAAATTTATATGAAAAGGCAAAGGAACCAGAATATTTAGAACCTTTTTTAAAGAAAGAATAAAATGGGAGGAATTAGTTTACCTGATTCCAAGACTTACTATATAGCTACAGTAATAAAGATTGTGTGGTATTGGCTGGGCCTGGTGGCTCACGCCTGTAATCCCAGCACTTTGGGAGACTGAGGTGTGCAGATCACCTTAGGTCGGGAGTTCGAGACACACATGGAGAAACCCCGTCTCTACTAAAAATACAAAATTAGCTGGGCATGGTGGTGCATGCCTGAAATCCCAGCTACTCAGGAGGCTAAGGTAGGAGAATCACTTGAACCCAGGAGGCGGAGGTTGTGGTGAGCCGATATTGCACCATTGCACTCTAGCCTGGACAACAAGAGTGAAACTCTGTCTCAAAAAAAAAAAAGATTGCATGGTATTAGTGGAGGGATAGACACATACAGCAATGGGACAGAATAGAGAACCCAGAAGTAAAGCCACATAAATGTGTCCAAATGATTTTTAACAAAAGTGCAAAAACAATTTAATTGTGAAAAGAGAGCCATTTCAATAAATGGTGCTGAGCAATTGGACATCCCTAGGCAAACAAACACAAACAAAGAAACAAACATACCCTGACCTCAGTCTCACACATTTTACAAAAATTATCTCAAAGTGGATTGTGGATTTAAAGGTAAAATATAAAACTGTAAAACTTTTAGGAAGAGAAAAAAATAGAGAACCTTGGGATCTAGGATTAGCCAAAGAATTTTTGGATTTGAGACCAACAGCATGATCCATAAAAAGAAAAACTGATAAATTGAAATCCCTCAAACTTAAAAACTTGTGCTCTAAGATCCTATTAAAAGGATGAAAAGAAAAGCCACAGAATAGGAGAACATAGTTACAAACCACATATCCAAAAAAAGGACTAGTACTGAGAGTATATAAAGAACTCCCAGAACTTAACATTATAAAAACAGTCCAATAGAAAAATGAGCAAAAGACTCAAAGAGTCACTGAAGGGAATATATAGATGACAAGCACATGAAAAGATGTTTAACATTATTAGCTTTTAGAGAAATGCAAATTAAAACAACAATGAGATATCACTACACACCTATCCAAATGCCTTAAAAAAAAAAAACCCAAAACCAAACCAAACAAAAACAGTTATAACACCAGATGCTGGCAAGGATGCAGAGAAACTGAATCACTCAAACATTGCTTTTGGGAATGTAAAATGATATAGCCACTCTGGAAAACAATTTGGCTGTTTTTTAGAAAACGAAACATACAATTACCATATGACCCAGCAATTATGCTTCTGGGCATCTATCCCCGAGAAATTAAAACTTATGTTCACTCAAAAACCTGTACACAAATTTTTATAGTAGTTTTATTTGTAATAGCCCAAACTTAGAAACAACCCACATGTCCTTTAATGGGTGAATGGTTAAACAAACTGTGGCACATCTATTCCATTATTCTATTCAGCAATGAAAAAGAACAAATTATTCATACTGCAATTTGAATCAATGGCCAGAGAATGATGCTGAATGAATAGAGTCAGTCTTACAAGGTCATGTAGTGAATGATTCCATTTATATAACATTTTTAACATTATAAAACAATAAATTGGAGAACAGATTCCTGGTTGTCTAAATAAGGGGTGGGGATAGGAGGGTGGTGGGTGTGGCTGTAAATGGGCAACAAGTGGGATCCTTGTGATGGTGGAAATGCTCTGTATCTTCACTGTATCAGTGTATCAGTGCACTGCACTGTATCAGTGCAAATCATCCTTGTAATTTTGCAGTATAATTTTGCGAGATGTTGCCATTGGGAGAAATTGAGTAAAGGACATACCATATCTTTATGTATTATTTCTTACAACACATGTATATCTTACCTGTGTAAGTATAATCTCAAGATTAAAAGTTTAATTAGAAAATGATTTTAAAGCTGATAACTAGGAGGATGAAGGTGCTTTTTAATATAATTAGGAAAATTTCCCTCCTTCAATGCAGGTGATTTTAATAATCCATTGAAAAAATCCAATGAAATAATTAATTCACACAACCATGATGGTGTTTGATAAGCTTCTACACATCTTAAAGATATTTGTAATTTTACAGAGAGCTTACTGACAGAAATGAATTTCTACTTGATGTGATTTCAGGCAACATGACCAAATTGGTAGAACAGTATAAGAGATATTTTGGGGAAGGAATAATGCTTAGGCAGCCTCTCTTTTCTTGGGACCCCATCTAGGAGTCAGCTCTGTTCTGCTATTTCTGCCTTTAAAAAATTTGCTTTCTTTTTTCAAGAGATGGTATCTTTCTGTGTTGTCCAGGCTGGACTCCAATTCCTGGCTTCAAGCAATCCTCCTGCCTCAGCCTCCTTAATAGCTGGGATTACAGGCATGAGCCACCATGCCTGACTTATTTCTGCCTTTTTTTTAGCTTTTTTCCTCTCCAATTCAGTGGCTTCATGATACTCATAGGGGAAATTTTGACAATGGAGTAGAGCTAAAAGGAGGCAATTCAACTGTGATCATTTGAGTATATACTTTGCTTGAAAGTTAGGAACTGGGGTTCTCTTTTAACAGAGATCTTCTTAAACACTGTTAATTTGCTTTTTTGGTAGCGAGATCAGATTTAATCTTACTATTATAGTGATTTCCATAAAATATCCTCTTGCAGATTTCACTGTAAAGGACCAAAACTCCCAGGAGACCTGTATGTTGACAAAGTCATACCTGGAATTTAATGAGATCTATTTTTCCCCATATTTTTACAATGTGGAAAAAATTGACTTGAATCTTATCTCATATTTGTAGATTGCAGTGAAGACTTCTCAAGAAGCATTTTCAGTTGGATAAATGCTGACTTAAGGTCGTTTGGTTAATACATAGTCAGGGAGCTGTAGAAACCATATTACAAGACCAGGGTTAATTACTACCAGTAAAATCATATTACAGTGAACACAATACTGAAAAAGTTTTCTGAATAATAAGACTATTTCCACATCAAAATGTTGGAAAACACATGTTTCTGATTTTCTTCTTGAAACATAGAAGAATATTTATAATAAAGTATGCATATACTTCAAATGGATATATGGAGTTTTTTATATGAACACTACCAATTTAGTTTAATAGCTTTTGTATTTGAAGGTGGGTTTGAACATTTTTCTTTTGGATTGTCCCATTAAAGTATTCTCAAAATTTAGTATATGGTAAAAGTACTACTCAAATCAAGGGGAAAGAATGGTTATTTATTAAATGTTATTAGGATAACTATTTGGATAAACAAGATTGAATACTACATTCATATCATATGCCAATATAAATTAAACTGCTAAATATACAGAATTAAAATATAAAAGCACCAGAGGAAAATATAGGTTTACATTTTATAGTATGAAATGACAAAGGCTTTTAAAACATGATATTGATAACCAAAAATAGATATTTCTGGTATCTACTGGTATATAACAAACCATCTCAAAGCTTAATGGCTTGCAGCAACGTGGTTTACTATTTCTCAAGAGTCTGTAGACTGGTTAAGCAGTTCTGTAGGTCTCACCTGGAGTCAATTCTGAGGCTGCTTTCACCTGGTGAGTGGCCAGAGGTAAAGGGACTAAGAGGCTGCTACCTCTCTCTCCCTGCAGTGTCTTACCATTCAACTGGGTAGCCCAAGCTTCTTTACTCAGTGACTGGGTCCCATGAGACTGAAGGCAGAAACTGTGAGACTCCTGGAAGCTTATGCTCCAGAGCTCATGCTCACATCTGTCACATCTTATTGGTCAAAAGAAGCTGCAAGCTCAGCCAGATATTAGGGTGTGAATAAATAGACCCTACCTCTTGAGCAGCAATATCACATTGCAAAGGGAATACAAACATGGTGAGGCATAATTTACTGGAAGCCATTATCATCATTACCTCCTTTAATATCTCTTGATATCCAAATGTTCTACCTGAAAACAAGAATGAGTAGGTTTAGACAAATATTTTAGATAAATTCTTTACTATCTGACCTTTTGCTACTTGCTACCAGAAACTCAAGATCCCGATAAATTAGGATTATGTTGTAAGCTTGCTATGTAAATTTGGTGACTATACTTGCACTATCCTAACTCAGAAATACAATAGCTTTATCACTGACTTTAAGCAATTTGATTATGCTTGGTGTAGTTTTCTTCATATTTCTTGTTCTTGAGGTTCATTGAACTTGTTACATATGTGGTTTTATAATTTTAAACATATTTATCTCTCTCCCCATTTCTCTTCTTTGGGGACTCCAATTACACATATATTAGGCCACTGGAGATTGCCACATAGCTCACTGATGCTCTGTTCATTTCTTTAGTATTTTTTCTCTAACATTTCATTTTGGATCGTTTCTATTGTTATGTCTTCAAGTTCACTAAGCTTTTCTTCTGCAGTGTCTAATTTTTCTTTATTCCCTTCTCAGTCATTATAGTTTTCATGTCTAGAAGTTTCATTTGGCTCTTTTGAAAAATATCTTCAGTGTCTCTGCTTAACATGTTCAAACCTTCCTCTAGCTCAGGGGATGACAAATGGCAGCCCATGAGTCAAATCTGGTCTACCACCTGTTTTTGTAAATAGTTTTATTGGAACACAACTATGCCCATTTGTTTATGTATTTCTGAGTCAGTTTCAATTGATTAATTTTTATCTTCATTATAGCTCATATTCTTTTGCTTCTTTGCATGTATGGTAATTTTTTATCAGATGCCAGACATGGTGTATTTTTTCTTGTTGGATGTTGGATATTTTTGTCTTCCTATAAACATTTTTTGAACTTTGTTTTGGGGTACAGTTATGTTATTTGGAAATAGTTTGATCCTTTCAAGTTGTGCTGTTAAGTTTTTGTTAGGAGGGACCCAGCAGCCATTAGTCTAGGGGTTATTTTGCCCCATTACAGAGGCAAAGCTCTTCTGAGGACTTTGCTCAGTGCCCCATGACTTACGACTGGTGAGAACCCAAATGATTCCCAGCCTTGGTAAGTGTCAGATATTGTTTCCTCTAATTGTTTTGTATGATTCTTTTCTTGACCTGGGTTCTTTCCTTATACACATGAGCCGATCTGTACTTAGCTGAAGATTTGAGGGACTTATTTTTCTATGCTGCTCTCTCCAGTTTCAGCACCTCATCGCGGGAAGCCTTATGGACTTTGCCTCGGTTATACCTTCTTGCACTGTGGCCTGAAAACTGTCCAGGCAATAATCTGGATAATTTGGGCTTGCCTTGCTTTTTTCTCATATCTCAGGAATCACTGCCCATTTGTTGCTTGATGTTTTGAAAAATTATTCTTTCATATATTTTGTACAGTTTTTTAGTTGTTTCAGGTAGCAAGATAAATCTAGTTCTTGTTACTCCTTGGCTCAAAGTAGAAATCTTCAGAAGCCTAATTACTTCAGATGGCAAGTGATATTTGCATTTTACCATATTACTAATAAATAACAAATAATAATGATATATATAGGTGACAAAACGGGTACTAATACATTCTGTTGAGAATAAAAATTGTTACAATCTTTCTGGAATGCTATCTGGTAATATGTATCACAATTTAAAATAGTTATTTGATGTTGCAGTTCCAAATCTAGAAATACATCCTAAGCAAATACGCTCATAAGTTTTAAAAAGTATTTTTTAAATAAAAATATTTAAAAAGTGTTTAAAAAGTAGAATTATTGATAAAACCAGGAAATAACTTGAATGTCAATTATTAGTTAATTTTTGCATATGCAAATATTTATTACTTAAAAATCCTAAAATAATTACCTTTGCATGTTTTTGTAATTATTTCCTTAGTTGTTAAATATATGCATGCATATACATTGAGTATACCACTATTTTACTATTACAAATATTGAAGTGGATGTTTATTAACATGAAAAGATGTCATCAACATATTAAGTGAAACAGCAAGTTACGAACTAGTATTATAGATGATACAGTGGAAAATATACAAACACACGAACACATGCACACATACATATACACATATAATATTCCTCTGGGAAGTAGAATTAGAGGTGATTTTCATTTTCTAGTTTCTGTTCTTATATATAGAATATTAATAGTGAGCATGTATAGCTTTTATAGTCAGCTAAAAATTAAATAAATAAAGCTTTTACTACATTTTTAAAATGAAGATAACAGAAAAGAAATCTGTATATAGAAGGGTTGCAAAGTTCTTAGAAACTAGATTATAAAATGGAGATAAAACCTGTAATTTGTTAGTTGGGAAGTCTGAGTGGTGGGAAGCTGGATCTGAGTCTGAGCCCTCACTTTTGCCTTTGTAGGTAGGGTGATCCTAGGCAAATTATGTAATACCTTTCACTTTAATAGTTTTAAAGTAATTATTTGCAAATTATAATACCTCCTATTATTGTTATATTTATGTCACAGGTAATATAAACACTTGGCAAAAAATAGGGTATTTAAAAAAATTGTTTTACATGGGGGAATAAGAATAGTTTTTACCAGGCATAAAATCCACTTGGATTATGGGATGAGTTTATTATTATCATGGTGCAATTAGCAAATACTAATTATCTCTGTATGCACGCTGCCATCTTTAATTTCAATTAAGCTCAATTTTTGTCTAAAATCTGATCTTCAATTAAGGGAATCACAGAGTATTTTGTTTCATTTAATTTTAACCGGGAGTGGTGTGTATACTTGCAGCTGGTAGTTCTTCTTGGCCGCTCTTCCTTCAGTGTGTCTTAGCCCACCATTGTTCTGCTTGACTGCCCCATTCTGGCTGGGGAGGTGCACAGGCCTATTATATTACTACTGCAGAAGTCACAGTGACATTGTGGCCTTCCTCATATTTCTCTCTTTCTTACCACCCCTTTACTCCTAGGGATAAGCTGGCTCTGAAGAACAAGAGCAACTGTGTTTTTCTTAAAACAAGTTGTTATTAGTAGGAAAATTAACAGGCATTAATGATGAACTCTTCCAGTGAAAGCATTTTTTAACTCTTTTACACCCCTGTGATGGTCCAGCTCTGGAGACTTCACAGAGGCAGGCAGTCTATCAGCTTCTTTCCTTTGCATTAAATATAATTGCGTGCCACTAATACTGTAGGCTAGAAACTAGCATTTATTACCAAATACATCACTAATCTTTCAAATAAAAACACTGGCACATCAGCTATCACATGGATACCGTTTTATAGTCAAATAAAGACTCAAAGCATCAGTGCTACAGTCTGTCTGGGTTTGGAATATTTTTATGCACTGCTGTGAGAAAAGCAGGTGCACTCACACATCTATTTCTAAGATTTGTCTATTTTGTCAGATGATTTGGGTTTAAAATTTCTGCAGATGTCAATTTAAGCCATTTTTGCTATTAGTAGAACAGTTTAGAAGTTAGCTCTTGTAAGTCTCACAGATATATATTTCCTGTGGAATGACTTAAATCCAAAGTTAGCTCAAAATGAAACCCTCCCCCTCTGAATATTGCTGTTTCAGCCTCACAATCTTTTCCAGTCATAGTATCAATACTCCTTTGCAATTTCTTTTGCTGCCCTCTAGCCCTTGGCTTCACCTTCCATTACTGTATTTCCTTGATGAGAGCATGGACCAGGCTCTGAGGTATAGAAAGAAGGAGTCCATAGATTGTGGACTAGGTGGGCCAGCTTTGTCATTGAAGTCTTGAGAGTGCATAATGGGGCCCATCTGTCTATAATAGTCAGTGTCTGTTCACTGATATTGGCATCCTGGTGAGAAGTGTGAGCTAGATTGGTAATTTAGCATTTCATCCTAAAGCGAAAGTTTCTATGAACCAACATCATGTAGACTAATGCCCTTGCTTAACAAAAGAAGTCATCAACTAGTAATTCCATATCCTTTCATACTGTGCTCTGCCACCTCTCCACTGCCCCAATCCTTTTTTTGTAAAATCATCTGATCAAATAATATCTCCTGTCTTTCAATTACTTTCATATTATTATATTTATTTTTCTTAAATTACCTACAAGGAAATGTCTTCTCAGTTACCTCAAGGTTAAGGTCAATTAGCTCCATTTGCTTAGTAGTGTGTGCATTGTGAAGCAATAATATATCTAAATTAAGCAAAATTTAATCTCCCATAAAATTATGGTTCGTTATATCTAAAATATCTTTTGTTATATGTTTTGTAGAACAGAGTTTTTAGTCAACCTTGATTTTTTTGTTAAAGAAGGAATTTTCTTTCTTAAGGAAGAATGCTGTCTAAATACAAATTATTGTTATTGTGGATACTAATGACCTTTATTAAAAATTAAATTTTTTTGTATTGAAATTTAAAATTTAAAAACACCTTCCTTTTGCCAGAACCCAAATATTCCTGATAAAGATCAAAGGTCACAGAATTAAATTAAAATGATCCAGTAGTAAAATAGCAAAGTATTTAATAAATTCTTTTCACAATTGCTTAAATTATGTGAAAAGGTTTATCAAAACATCTAGGACCATCTTAAATTACAACACAGTATTTACTCAAAGAAGTCTCAGGAGAAGTCACAATAGATCCATCTGGAAGGATTTCAACCTCCGCAAAAAGATAGCCATGTTTAAAAACGAAACCCAAACTAGAAACACAAATCATTTTCCTCATTTAATTTTTAAATATATTTAAGTCATTTTCCATTGTATTATAGGTATTAAAAGTAATGGCAGAAACAGCAATTACTTTTGCACTGGCCTAATAGCTCAATTTTAATAATCAAAGATGCTAGCCATTAGGGTACAAATAATGGGCATATTTCTACTCTAGTAGAATGTTTTTAACTATTGTTTGTATTGGTCAAAAAACCAAAGCAATATTGTAAAATTGGGGTGTCATTTACCGTACCCCAAAAGCAATGTGTCTGAAAGAAATAATTCACTATGGTGTGTGCTTCAGAGGGATCTGGAATATGGAGCTTGAAAACTAGAAGGAAGAGAATGGACATCTTAAAACTATTTTAACAACAACAAAAAACGAGCAATAAACATGACATTTTAAAAAAAGGATAGACTGTAACTCCTAAGGAAATCTTGTTTCCCCCTGTGACGTTGAGTCTGTATTCTGCTGCAGTCTTAACCATCTCATTCAACAGTGGCCGCTTGACCATCTCATTCAACAGTGCCCAAGACAGTCATTTTTCAGCCAAGGCTCTCAAAAGCTAAAGCCAGGTAAAGGTGTTAGGTACTTTTAATTTAGATTAATTAATCAATTTTGATACATAGGAATGAAACATTTAAGTCTTTCCTTAAGTTTATTATTTTAATACCTAAAGAGATAGACTATATGGCAATAGTGAACTTAATTATTTAATTGAACTTAGCTTTAAACATTTTATTGTTAATATTGTTGTTGGGTTTTTTTTTTTTTTTTTTTTTGAGACTGAGTCTCGCTCTGTCACTCAGGCTGGGGTACAGTGGTGCTATCTCAGCTCACTGCAACCTCCGCCTCCTGGGTTCAAGCAGTTCTCTGCCTCAGCCTCCCGAGTAGCTGGGATTGCAGGCGCCCACCACCACGCCCTGCTAATTTTTGTTTTTTTAGTAGAGATGCGGTTTCACCATCTTGGCCAGGCTGGTCTTGAACTCCTGACCTCGTGATTCACCCGCCTCGGGCCTCCCAAAGTGCTGGGATTACAGGCGTGAGCCACTGTGCCTGGCCATGTTGGTTTTAACTACCACTGCAAACAAAGGGGTTATCGTTTATAGACTTCCATACTTGATTTGACTTGGAAGACAAAACCATTAGCTAAATGGGACTGGTAAAGAATTTTCAGGTCATTCAGAATTGACTAAGATTTGGAGAAACAGTCATAGCTGCTGGAACAATGTGAGTTCACAAGTGCTGCTGAATAGATAGTTCTTTAAGTGATCCACAACAAGTCAGCCTGACCCAATTACATGGGTCTTTGTCCAACTCACCCACAACATTTAGACTTGTTGGCAGCATTGAAGTAAAATAGAAATATGAACTTTATAAGATCAATAAAATGGCATTACATCTTGAATTTAATTTAGATTTAACCAGGGACTTGAACTGACATGAACCATGAACCAAAAGCTAGACAAAACTGTACTAATTTGCCAATCTTTCTTTTCCTACCAAAAGGAAGAGAAAAAGCTATCAGAGTGGTTCACACTGCAACCTCACCTAGATTTATATTTTCTCAGATTATTCATTGTAAAAGATACTAGATATTTGTCAGCCAAACTTGAATATAATATTTAGTTGGAAAAAACTTTACCTCTATAAAGGAAAGAATGGATGTGGTTTGTCCCTATTTCATGGTAGCCTGATAAATTTTTAAAAAGTACATCGATTGGATAAAAGATTGATAAACATATTGAATAATTAAAAGGAATGATAATTTAATTATTGAATAATTTTAGTTATGATGTAACTTAAGGGATATTGGTATAATTATTGAGAAAATATTTACTTTATCTTTTAATCAGAAATAAATACATTAATATATGTATATTTAAATATTTCTGTATATTATTTTTTAATCAATAGAATTACATTTATAGACACATAGAACTCTTATAGTGACTGAACCTACAGGAAATGAATAGTGACAATGAAGGTAATATCCAATGTTTGGCATTGTGTATATTAGACTGCACCTTTTGTTCAGAAAATAGTTACATAGCTCTTTTAAAGTCAATAATAATAATCATAAACAAGATAATCCCATCAGCACAAGTCAGTCTTACTCTGTATATTAATTTAGCATAGTATTACACTTAATGAATTATCATTAATCATAAATATGTTTTTACATGTGCATATTTAAGGTCTTTAACATTTGCAGTCTTGGTTTTTCTGAAGGCCTAAGCTAAAAGACATTCATTTCAAATCTGAAAAGCAGCATAATCAGTCTTCTGAACCTACTGCAATCAATATCTATGCAAATGGGGTGGTTATGGAATTTACACTGCTTTGTCAATCAATCACTAGTCAAGTTCCCACCTTACACTCAATGTACTAATAGATTTTTTTTTCTTTTTAAAGAGACAGTGATTTCTGATTTCTTTCTTTCTTTTTCTGTGTTTTTTTTTTTTTTTTTTTTTTTTTTGAGCTGGAGTCTCGCTCTGTTGCCCAGGCTGGAGTGCAGTGGTGTGATCTCGGCTTACTGTAACCTCTGCCTCTTGGGTTCAAGCAATTCTCCTGCTTCAGACTCCTGAGTAGCTGGGATTACAGGTGCCTGCCACCACACCCAGCTAATTTTTGTATTTTTAGTAGGGAGGGTTTCACCATGTTGGCCAGGCTGGTCTCGAACTCGTGATCTCAGGTGATCCACCTGCCTCGGCCTCCCAAAGTGCTGGGATTATAGGCGTGAGCCACCGCACCTGGCCCAGTGATTTCTTTTTTCTAAGTATTTGTTATATAAATGGGTGGTGGTGTTTTGACTGCCTCCCCATCCCCACGTTTTCCCTGCATACGTACCCATCTTCACTGTGTCAGCTCATACTGCCAGTCTCTCTCTAGGTGGTAGTAGTTGGGGAAGGTGGCTTCCTGAGCTCCACCTGCTGGGCTTCCCATGGCCCAGTAGTTGGCCCCTGAATTCTTAGAAAGAGAAAAAGATCTTTGGGAATTCAGAGGTGGTTGAACTAGCATCCCCAGAGCATTCATCATTTGCTTCTTGCCCACTAGGAGAGAGATCTTCAGTGTAGATCTGGGCAAAAGAAGGGCTCTGTCTTTTGCCTTGATCATCACCTAAAGTTCTATACTTATGTTAAAGAGAAAAAAGACTGAAATATACAAGGCAGGGAAAGTCTGGTGTAACAGCACTTCCAATACACAAAACAAAACAAGAACTAGTTTTTTTTTTTTTTTTTTTTTTGGCTGCCTGTAACCACAGCATGAGTCTTCAGTCTAGAGGACTGTTGAAGAGGCTAATGCATAAGGCTGTCTTGGTATGGGGTAAAAAAGGAAGTTAATAATTCCCCTGTTCTTTGAACTGGTCAGATTACATCTGGTGGATTGCATTGAGCTGTATTCTGAAACATTTAAGAAGGATTCTGAGTAGCTTCAACCTGTATAGAAGAGGATGACTCAGATGGTGAGGAAGCTGAAAATGTTATTTTTAAAGTAGAGAGGTTATAGGTAAAATGTGTTGTTGCTTTTCAAATATTAAAAACTTATCCATAGTCTCAGTATGTGAGTTAGGAATTAAGTTCCTAATTAAGTTGTGGATAACAAGAATATACACATAAGGGTTGTTCTCTTATATAAACAGAGTCTGGAGATAGTAAAGCAGCTCCATAAAGTCACTGAGTACTCCGACTCTGATATCCTTCATGTATGATTATTTCCATCCTCAAGATCACCTTGTGGTAAGTTGCTCAGACTCTTGCAATCACATCCTTTTTCCAGACAGCAGGCAGAAGGGTGGGTTTGGTGTGGAGGAAGGGCACGCCTTCTCTTTTTAAAGAAGGCTTTCCAGAATTCCCTTTCTACTCATCTTTTTTGGCCACAACTTGGTCTTGTGGCCATACCTGGCTGCTATGAAGGCTGGAAATGTAGTTTTCTAGCTAGGTGTATTGCCCAGGATTCTATTATTAGGGAAGAAGGAGGACAATGGATATTGAGAGGCAAATAGCTTGGTATAGCATGTCTAAACTCAGAAGGCAGAATGGATCAGTAGGTAGAAGTTAAAAAGAGTTACATTTTACTAAATATAGAGAAGAATTTCCTAATAGTTTCATCTGCCCCAAATTCAATGTGCTTTTTTAGAGGTACTGATGTCACTGTTGTTGAACATTCAAAAGCAGCTGGTAAATTGCTTATCAGGGAAGTTTTAGGAAGAGACCTGATATGTAGTTTTTTCCAATACTATGTGCCAAGACTATTTCAATATACCTATGCAGAAGCCATGCTGAGTTTTAGTTTGATTAACTATTCTTATAAGAGGTTTCGATAAAATAAGATTTCTGTTTACTACAATCAATAATGACAAATGTTCCGTAAAGTGAACACTTAGTACACAAGTCTTGTTTTCATATTGTGCAGATGCCAGCATATTCTTTTAATGGAAGGCACTGTTGAAATAAGATTCTGTGGACACATACTGACTTCACACACTTAGCAGTCTTTCTGATACATAAAGTTCTGTGCCTTATGACTTTTATTATAGAATAATTTGTTACAGGAAAGATTTGATCAGTTGACTCAAATTTCACTCAGTATAGCTGTGACATAGATACATTTTAAGATTTGTGGCACATGAAATGTATAGCCTCAGTCTTACTTTGTGGTAGATTTTTATTTTCCTGAGGTGTTTCAATTATATATGTTTCTTCAGAAAATAGTAAGATGTTGGTGTGGTATGTATTTTGGATTTGTATTCACAGTCCTCTAATTAAGAGATCTAGACATATTAGAGTTATGACTTTTTAAATTTTAGGCTATTGTGTCCTTCCCTGCCTCATGAGTCTGTAGTAAGTAGACTGAAAGTACTCCAGTACATACATCTAGGTCTGTGCTCATTCTTACTGACACAGATAATATTAAGTAAACACAATAGTTATTGAATGTCTACTCCAATAGAAACAGAAGGAGAAAATCTATTGTTTGCCAAATTAGAAAAATGCCATAGATAAAAGAAACATCATTTTCAAGATTCCAAACAGGTAAACCAAGTATCAGTAAGAACACAATGGCAAACACTGTTGAGTTGGGCTCTTTTAAAGACTTAAATAACTCTTCCAATACATAAAAAGACCAGCCACACATAAATTGGACTATATATATTTTCAAGGCATGCTTTTGACCATCCTTCTCACAGTGTTTTTAGCTGATACCCTAACTTTCTAATACTTATTCAACCATTTACAGTTCAGCTGTGCTTTGTGTAAACCACTGTTGGATCCTAGCTGGTTAATCCTCCTCTTCATTGGCATCCAAGCCTCATTTTCACCCAATTTTAATGCTTGTAGTTTGAGGAATCCTAACTTGATCCTCAGATGAAATGGTTAACTAATATAATATGCACTGTGTTGAACTGAATTGAGTTATGTTTTCTAAAGATGACAATTTATTTTTTTTAGGGTGGAGATTAGTTTAAAAAAAGGGGACTTGATTATTTGTCTTTTTCCTTCCATCTTCCCAACTCATCCCTAAGGAAAAAAAGGGCCAACTTTCTTCTACCACTTTTTATTTCTAAAACTTTGCACAAATAACTCATCTGGAGCTCAGGTTGTTTGTTTGTAGACAGGGACAATAATACCTATTATGTAAGGGTTATGACAAATTAAATTTAATAAATATGTTTTGATCTTTTTCTGTGTTCTTGGTCTAGTAAAATGTAAAATAATTTATTTGTAAAGCTTTTATGACAGTATCTGATACACATTGATCAAAAATTGTTGATTTCTTTTGTATTCTAAAATGAAGTCCTAACATAGCAGGGACCCCATTAAGCCAAAAGTCCTAGCCCTTTATTCCATGGACATCTAAGTTTAGCATCTCCTTGCTGTGCTTGCAGTTTTGGGATTCACTCTTACATAAACCTGTGTGCCCCTCTATCTCTTTTTCTACCACTTACCTGGGGCTTGTTAACAGGTCTATTTCTTGTCTTACCTCCTGCCTGCTGCTTCCCACTTGTCCTGTTTCCCCTGCCCCCAGGGACTTAAGAAACCCATACTCAGTTATGAATGTATGCCTTGGGTGGGTTTCCTTTAGAAACCCATACTCAGTTATGAATGTATGCCTTGGGTGGGTTTCCTTTAGAAACCCATACTCAGTTATGAATGTATGCCTTGGGTGGGCTTCAGTGGTTCTCCACAGCTTCTGCCTACAAGTGTTTTAAAAAGCTTGGTGGGTGTTCACAAAGTGATCCCACTCGTGCAACCAATTCCCAGATGAAGAAACAGGACTTTACCAGCACTCAGGACTCTCTCTTGACATTTTCAGTTACTACCTGCCCCCAACAGTCACTACAGATTGACTTGTTACACTACAATTTATTTTTCCTCTTTCTTCTTAACCTTAGATAAATATATCATACATATTCTTTCATGTCTGTCTTCTTTTGTTTGTAAAATTCATCAGAGTTGCATGTAGTTATTTGCTCATTCTGCTTGTTGTATCTAGTTCCACTGTTCAAATATACCATGTTTTGTTTATACATTCTACAAAATGATAGATGTTTATGTTCCTTCCATTTTTTGGCTATTATGAAAAGTACTGGTATGAACATTCTTATATATCTTTTTTGGCGAACATCTGTACATATTTCTCTTGTGTTATACCTGAGAGTGGAATTAATGGGTCCTTGTGTATGCATATGTCTACCTTTAATAGATTCTGCCCAACCGTTTTCTAAGGTAATTGTAATAATTTATGTTCCCACTTGCCAAATAGTTCTGAAAGAGTTTGTTATCTTTCCATAGGGTGAATGAAGTAGGTGAACTCCATACTGGAATTTTCTCATCTTCTCTCTTGAAAATTAACTGTCAGTTTTTAGGTCATGCTAAAATACTTTTTTTTTTCAGTTTTAGATGAAATTTTGTGCAATTATAAGTTATTAATATAAAAAATTGATACAACTAATTTGTTTTTCTGAACACTATTCAAACAACTGATTTAACATCCGATTTTATAGGTAAATTAAGTAGTAATGTTAACTGACCAGATTCTGTACTGGTTTTGGTTGTCATATTGGGATTAGCTGAAGGCAAGAGAAAGAGCAGAGAGTTACAATAATTTAAAACTCAATAGTTTTTTCTTAAACACCATTATTTAATTAAATTATCTGTCCAGCAAGGATCTGATAAATAATACCTTTAGAGACCTACTGATTTAAGGGGGAGACAACTTAAGCTTTATTGTTAAACCTATATATGAGATTATATTGAATTGTCATATACAAGGTCTTTTGTTATTATTTTCCAGGGGAAAAACATCTAGAATATAAAGTTATATTCATTTAAATGTATTTTTGTTTCAAAGTGTCTAGTATTTGTTGATGTTATAGGTGTTTTGAAATAAATGTAACATAGTTGAATTGGTTTTGTGATCAGTTTATGCTGCATCCATCTAGAAATCACTGAGTTATTGTGGCGAACACCTAACAATGTCAGTGTTTGATGTTACCACACACTTGCACATAATGACGTCAACAAAGCGGGAGCCTGGTTAATGGCTTTCTTCTCTACAGAACTTGTTCAGTAATTTGCTGTACTGGTATTGGTTAATAGGGTAAATTGATTACTGTAAGGAATGCAAAAAGCATAGATTTTATTGGATACTACTGTTTCCTTTTTGCAATAAACCACATCGTAAATTTCCTGTGTTCATTCATCATTGGGTTTATATTATGTTAAATGAAAATGAATCACATTTTCTGAATATTTTTTTCCACACTTCAAAATGTCTTTTTAGATATTGTCTGCCAGCTAATTTACAGCTCTGAAACCTTGTTGTATCATTTGGAATAGAGCATTTGATAATTTAAAGTGGAATGAATCATTGTTTGATGAAGAATTGCTGTTAAATCTTTTGGGATGTAAGAATTTCTTTGCTGCAGTCATATATGTAACTGTATATTTCAGTGAGAATGCCCTCTGAACATTAGAGGACATATTCATGAATTGAAATTCCAAAAACAAATCTAATGATTTGACAGCTCTGCTCAAAAACAGAAGCTCAGCATTTTAGAGGTTGCCATTTACTGAATGAGTCAGAGGGAGTCTGGGAATACCCTTCTGTACTCTGACTCTTTTCTCCCCACTCCTTTGTGCCTGGCTGCCATTGTCCTATGGCACCCACCTAACAGAGTGGCACCCAGTCACCAGCCAGGCTTTGATTTTGTCAGTTGCAGAGGCTAACAGTCAAGAATCTCGGCACAAGAATGCCAATAGTAGCTTACTGCAGTGGCTAAACCCTTGTTCTTGTTCACATGGAGATTTCTTAAGGAAAAAATGATTTCCAAGCTATGCAGAATGGACTAAAAATACAATTTTGACTTTCAAATACCTGATTTCAATAACAATTTTTAGTGTCTAAAAATTAAGAATAGAATTAATTTTGTTATACATTGTTTGAAAGTAACTATAATCAAATCAAATATATTGACTATTTTTCCTATTTGGCTTCTTCTGACTAAACTGTTGCATTTAATATTACAAGACTTCATTTTTATGGATAATCAAGAATGTGCATGAAACCTTAATTTCCAGCATAGAGGGTAATTGCTCAGTAATCATTTACTTTCTTTAAAACATAACTGCATTTAACTAAGAAAGTAAGAAAAAGAGCTATTTTTAAAAATGGCATTGAAATGGTGTATAAGATCAAACAGCGTATGAAAAATATACCCACCTTGGTGTTATTTTACCATCTTTTACCTCAGTAACTTAAAGTGGACCTTTCTAGTTCACTTGTTTAGTCACGGGATCATAGCAGCTTGCTCATCTCTAGTGGTATGAAGCCGTATTTGAGAGGTTGGGCAATAGAGCCCTACAGTGTTATGTGATTTGCTCAGTAACAGAGGTAGCTCCAGCATGCACACCTCTGAACTGCATGAATCCACTGCCTTTTCCACTTGCCTGTGGTTTACCATTGTTCTTTGTTTCATTTACCAGGGTGAGATCTCATTTAACATGTTTTAGATTACAGAGGTTTTATAGTAGAGCTAAAAGCATATAAAACAAGAATTTATTAGAAAGGACACCAATCTTTAACAGCCTCTGCTGGTCTCAGGTTAATCTTACTATGGTATCATTTTCTTAACAATGGACTATCATAAGCTATATCATAGCTCTTATACACATTTATGCAAAACAATTAAACTATAGTGTATGAATAAACATTCCCTGACCCCCACCTGATTTTCCTACCCCCTTCTATGAGCAAGCAGATGGCCATTTTAAAGTAAGATAAGTGGAGAAAAATAGAGAAGTAATAAGGGGCAATTTGAGCAGTCAGTGTACTGTGGTATCCGTGGGACCCTTCTCCAACTTCATGTGATAGCATGCAGTATAGAAAAGGTTCTTTCAGCAAGTGTTTAGGAAAATATGTTCCAAAAGATCTGCATAACATTAGTGTAACCAAGTGTTCCTCTCTCTGGCTTCCTGTTTTGGAATTAAATGCCTTCAGGGTACTCAGAATAACTCTGTTTAGGAACACAAGAAGAATTTAACCTCTTATGTTCCTAATCAATTTTAAAAATATATATATAGATTAAATAGAAAGCAAAAAGATCTTATTCTACTTTGCTTCTCAACAGTTTCAGCTAAAAATTAAAACTGTTTATACATAAAGTCGGTGGTTTAGTTAGAAAACAAAGGTATAAACAAGAATTCTGACAGGATTATTATCAGCAAAATTTTAAGATCAGTTTTGTCCCTGTAAACAAATTTCATAGACAAACCTTTTTACATGTAGGATTATTTCCAAAAGAACTCAGTGGAAAGTTTCTACTCTGGGTGTTTGCAGGAGATAAAGGGAGCAGCTAAGCTGAATTGATGTTTACTTCTTTGTGGTGTTATTGTTCAACATTCTTAAGTTGCTTCTGCAAAGCCAGCAGAGGGAGCACCAAACAATATTTTTGTTTACCTTAAAGCTTACAATGTATTTTAAAAATATTTTCTTTCACTTGCATTAAAAAATGTCTACAATGAATAATTTGTTGATTTTACATTTTTACTGTATAGTTTTAACTTCTCTGAAATTAAAAGACTTGAGGGGCTTTATTATGCAATTTAATTCTATAAACATTCAGTAAATGCTTACTGTTTATAAGACTTGATGCGTGATGGAGAGTCAAAGGTGAATACTCCACAGTCTCTATTCTTCAATAATTTATAATTTAGTTGGAGAGAAAGAAATGTAAATATCCTCTGTTTACAATGCAGAAGGATAATAAAGGTAGAATATGGGCTAATTCTTAATAAAAAACAAATAGGGATATTATGGAGAAGGTGACATTTGAATTGGACTTTGAATAAGAGGTTTCCAAAAATGGAAATTCTAGACTGAATGGAGCAGCATGAATGCAGGGTATACTTAGAGCAAGACAATTCTAGGCCTGAGGCTAGATAGAACCTGGTTGATAGAGGGGTTATGTACTGGGAGGTGAGGTCAGAATGCTAAGGTAGAGTTAGATAATGGAGCACCTTGAAATCCGTGCTAAGTGCTTTTGAGTTTATTCTGTTGTCAGAGGAGAGCAAACTGCACACCATTTCGAGGAAACAAATAATGTTTTGATTAAATAATACTTGTTTCAGTGTGAAAGCTTGCCTGGAGAACTGAGAGATTAAAGATTAGACATTTTTATACTAGGTAAGGTCAGACATTATATCATCGTGGATAATAATAAGAGTAATGGTTGTAGTAATACCTTTCATTTGTATTTGCGAGTATACATATATATACACATGCATACATATTTGTGTATCTACAGAGAACCCTAGACACCTATATATATGTGCATATATATACACACAGTATATGCAATAATACTGCTCTTATATAATATTTATGTACATATCATATATGTATATATGTGTATATATGTATGTATAACATGTGTATATATCTCATGTATATGTGTGTGTATATATCCCTCAAGATAATCCTATGATTTGAAGATATATATTGAAAATGTCAAGTAATATGTATATGAGGTCTCATAGCATAGTCAGAGCTGAGGTGGTACTCAAATTCTAGGTTGTTTGAGTCTAAGCCTGATATTCTTTTTATCATGTTATGCTGTTTTTGCATTATATGATGTCAGTGTTGATAGGAAGGATGGAATGTGCATCAGAGACATTACAAAGGTATAAAATATTTAAACACAAGGCAGAAAAAGGAGTTGAAGATAGCTCTCAAATTTTCAGTCTATGTGACTATGTGACCAGGAAGCAGGAATGGTGTTGCCATTGCCTCCATAGATGTAAGGGAAGGAACAGCTAGGGGAGTGGGATGGGAAACAGGCATAGGGGGGAAGATAATTCCATTTTGGCATGTCAGATTTGAGATCCTGAAGGCAATCTTATAGAAATATGTAGCACATACTTTAAATTTTGGATTTGGAGCCGAAGAAAAGTCAGAGCTACAACTTGAGAATCGATGATATATTTCAGAGAAAGTGTATAGACTAAGAAGAGAAATGAAATGAGAGCCTAACCTTGGTGGAAGACTACATATAGGAGGCTAAGGTAAGAAATAAGAGACAGAAGGAGCCTGCACAAACTCTGACAGAGATGAGAGTGGTCAGGGGAATGCCTTGTTCCTCAATCAGCAAATATTTGCATTCTTGCTGTGTGCAAGGCCTTTGCCCAGAGTATAAAAGAGGGTGCCATCGCAGAATCAACTGTTGTAGGGGACAGTATGGGAACTGAGGAGAGGTCATTAGATTTGTTCACTCAGGAGACCAGACTTCCTAAATATGCACAGAGCTTTAGTTGGGCACTAAAATACAAAGTAGACTTCCGCCTCATGACTCAGTTTATGAGAAGTTAAAAGATCCCAGAGAACTCACACCTTGGGCTGAAATCTGTGAACTCTTAACTTTGATATCCAAGAGAGTTGTTTGTGGATCAAACTTATTTTTTAGTTTCCAAAAGCTGTATAATGCTCTTGTAAGCCTGATTTCTTGTCTTTATTACTTTTTATTTGATTTTTTATGAGAGAAAAAAATCACTATTTTTTATAATGATATATGTTCACTATAAAAAATTCAAATGCAAAAGAGGGATTAAAAAGTTACCCCTCAAATAACCACAATACATTAGATAACCAGAAATAGAATTTTCTTCCCTTTCTAATTCTTCGCTCCTTCCCTTCCTTCTTTCCCCCCATTGATCTGCTGATCATACTATGCCTGTTATTTTATTTTTTAATATATATATATATTTTTATTATACTTTTAAGTTCTAGGGTACATGTGCACAATGTGCAGGTTTGTTACATATGTATACATGTGCCATGTTGGTGTGCTGCACCCATTAACTCGTCATTTACATTAGGTATATCTCCTAATGCTATCCCCCATCCCCCCACCCCACAATGGGCCCTGGTGTGTGATGTTCCCCTTCCTGTGTCCAAATGTTCTCATTGTTCAATTCCCACCTATGCGTGAGAACATGCGGTGTTTGGTTTTTTGTCCTTGTGACAGTTTGCTGAGAATGATGGTTTCCAGCTTCATCCATGTCCCTACAAAGGACATGAACTCATCCTTTTTTATGGCTGCATAGTATTCCATGGTGTATATGTGCCACATTTTCTTAATCCAGTCTATCATTGTTGGACATTTGGGTTGGTTCCAAGTCTTTGCTATTGTGAGTAGTGCCACAATAAACATAGGTGTGCATGTGTCTTTATAGCAGCATGATTTATATTCCTTTGGGTATATACCCAGTAATGGGATGGCTGGGTCAAATGGTATTTCTAGTTCTAGATCCCTGAGGCATTGCCACACTGTCTTCCACAATGGTTGAACTAGTTTACAGTCCCACCACCAGTGTAAAAGCATTCCTATTTCTCCACATCCTCTCCAGCACCTGTTGTTTCCTGACTTTTTAATGATCGCCATTCTAACTGGTGTGAGATGGTATCTCATTGTGGTTTTGATTTGCATTTCTCTGATGACCAGTGATGATGAGCATTTTTTCATGTGTCTGTTGGCTGCATAAATGTCTTCTTTTGAGAAATGTCTGTTCATATCCTTTGCCCACTTTTTGATGGGGTTGTTTGTTTTTTTCTTGTAAATTTGTTTGAGTTCATTGTAGATTCTGGATATTAGCCCTTTGTCAGATGAGTTGATTGCAAAAATTTTCTCCCATTTTGTAGGTTGCCTGTTCACTCTGATGGTAGTTTCTTTTGCTGTGCAGAAGCTCTTTAGTTTAATTAGATCCCATTTGTCAATTTTGTATGCCTGTTATTTTAAATAAAAAATATTAAAATCCTTTTACCTACATTTATAAAAAGGAAAAGAAACTAAAGGTACCTAATCAAATTGTAGAACTTTGAAATAAGTGCTTCTTTACTACACACAATAGTAGATATGGTAGAAGATCTGTCTGAAGTTAAGAAAAGAGATTATGATAAAAATTAACAAGTTTAGAGTTATGGTTTTAGGATACATGTTTCTGTTTAGACCATATACATTGATCTGTTTTGAAAGATGCTTACGTATACTCCACCTTCCTCCCTTTCCTATTTCTGTTTGTTACAATGGTATTTTTATTTTATCAAACTTTATAACATTTACATGGACTTAATTTTGTAATAAGTCCTATAGTTGTTTTAATTCTAATTCTATATTTAACTGGATTAGTCCTCACCATAATTTTTTTACCTTGACTTTTCTAACCCAGAATTTTAACTGTGACTCATATTTTAACTGTCTAGATTCCATCAAGTAGAATCCTCCAGGCAGGTCTCCTGGGTGACCATTTTGTGTTACGGATGTCTTCTGTTATGTGGTATACAGACATCTTGCTTATGCAGACTGCTCTCTAGCTGTGGTTTCTTATCTTCAGAACTCTGCAGATGCTGGTCAGTTATTCTCTGGTCATGAAAGTTGCAGTGGCTTGTGAGGCTGGACTGATGGTTCTCAGTTTTGTATGTGATTTTCGATTTTCTTTCCTTAAAAAAATTTTTCTTTTTTGGTGTCTCCATTCAATTTTAATGTTGTAAACATAAGAAAATGAATTAAATTGAAGCCTTATTTCATAGTGTGCCCCAGAATAAAATCCTAAATAGACTGAATAATTACATTTTTAAAGTGAAGCTGTAGAACTAGTAGATGAAAACACTGGTGATCCTCAAATCTTTCTACAAATGGCCTCAAATAGAAACTATGAAGGGATGATCTGTAAGTTTTTCTGCATCAAAAAGAAAAACCAGAAGACATTACAAAAAAACTAACTATTAATGTGAAAGGACAAATTACAATAGGTAAAATATTTACAGCGTGATAGATGATGGATATTTGTGTTCATATATCTGTTTTGTTCATGGTGAAACTAACACTACAAAAGAAAAGTGGTTAAAGGGCATACAGGGACAATTCACAAGTGGAAAAATTCAAAAGAAGAGAAAACTCCTACTCATTTAATATACTTTTGATAAATCAGAAAGAAATTTTTTTTCTGTTTTGAACACAGGTTTTATAATAAGTAGTTACATATGTTGGGTTAAATAAACATGAGCATCTCTTCAAGCTTTGAAATTCTGTGGTTTGGGGATGTGTATGTATTATCCTTGCTGTTAGATCATTTCTTCCTTTATAAGTCTCAGAAAGATGTCCACTGCATCTTTCTCCTCTTTATCATGCATAGCCCAGAACTTTGCAGGTGGTGATCCTGAAATACAAATTTAATGAATAACAATAATTTGAATTTTTAAAAAGATAATGTTTGTTAACCATTTTTAAAATATATTTGAGGGGGCTTTGAATCTTTTGTATAGGTACTGTAATTGTGATAGGACTTTTTTCAGATTTTGGGGGGTAATTTAGTCTTCTGTTGAGAATTCTGATTAATGCATTTTATTATTTGCATAGAAAAATTTATTATTTTGTATATCTCATAAATACCTAAATCTCATTTTCAAAATTCTATTTGTTAATTTTACTAAATGATGATATACAGTATTGTACTTTAAGACCCTGATTCCTATGAATTACAAAAAGAATTTTGTTTATTATATGCATGATTTATTGGACATTAGTGCTGTGATTATTAAGAACCTTCAGAATAATCGATTGTAGAATAAAATGACAAAACCATGGCATAAACATGCATTTTACATATATGTTTAAAGGTTTGTGATAATTGATCCATTTTGTTATGTTGATTTAAGTAGGGAAACTGAAGATTTTCTTAAATCAAGGTACATATTTAAAGTGATAGAATGATTTTATTGGCTTCATAACAGCAAACTTTGTTTGGAGAACCATATTGTGCAAGTGGTTAGTGATATTAAAATTGGTATCAGCCTTGGGATATCAGATGTATTTATTTTTAACTTTTATGCAGATATAGTTATTAAAATGTACATTTCAAGTACACATTTTGAGTGTCTTTAAAAGTATTTTTGAATGATTTCCATTTGAGAAGTAAGAAGCTAGGTTTGTTAGTTATTAATCCAAATATAGTAGTATAGCTTATTTTATTGATCTTTCTGTGATTTTTAAATTAGGAGTGAGAAAAGTCACAGACGCCGTTTGTTGACATATTGCAATCCATATGTGTGCTTTTTTGATAAAGAAGGTATAGCATATACTATTCCTCCAGAACGTTTAGCACCAGATTTATGATTTTTCTAATTTGGTTTGTAGCTTGCCAAAGAGCATGTGAGTGCATATTTGATCAGAAGCATATTTTGCCTTGAATCAGATGAAGAATACTTAATGAGTCAATGCTAAGAAGCAATGCAGAGAAGATTGCAGACTAGCAAACTAAAAAGGCTTTAAAATAGCTTAATGTAAACTATAATAGAGATAAAGTATTATTATATAAAAAGTCAAATTTTTCAGTTTTTCATGTTCATCCTGTTAATAAAATTATCTGCCATAACTATTGGGAATGATATTTTATATTTATGTGATGCAGTTCACATTTTCAGTGGGATGAAGACTTATTTCAAGTGTATTGTACTTATTCTCGCTTGGGAGCTGGAAAGATGCTAGTTCTACATTAGAGATGCCAATAGCCCTACTCCCTCTAGCAGGCCTTCCTCTAAGAATGAGTGCTAGAAATTACTACTTAAAATTAATTGGTTTTTTTGCTTGTTTGATAAGAAAAAATTATCTCTTTGTTTTGACTTGTATTTGTTTGATTATCAGTGAAGCTAGAAAATGTTCCTGTCTACTTAGCTGTGTCCATTTTTTCTTTCATAAATTACTTATCCTTGTTTTTTGTTCATTTTTCCCTTAAGGTACTCACTTCTTACTGGTTTATGAGATTTTTTATTTATTAAGGATGTGAGCACTTTGTTTTGTATGTTACAAATATTTTGCCTAGTTTTTGTACTTTGATTTTGTTTGCAGTGTTTTTTGGCATACATAATTTAAAAAATAATTATAGTCAAATCTAGTAATCATTTAGTCTATGATTTTTTTCTTTGTTGAGATTTGAAAGACCTGCATCAACCCTACATTATATAAATTTTCCTTCCTTGTGCGACTGTGATGTAAGAGGGAGTAATCAGGCAAAGGCTTTATGTTGCTTAGCTTAAATAAATTATAAGGAATTGCCTTTGTTGGACTGTGGTTCTTATTTATAATGACTTACTTACAAATATCTTATATGTATGATTGGCTGTTTTACCTCAGACTGGGGAGGGCTGTCCTGAAGCACAAGAAGTGTCCTCCCACATTCTGTTCTTTCTTCCTTGTTACTTACTCTCTGCCATGGTAGAAGTGGAGAAAGGGGAGAGAGAAATGAGACATGTTTCCAATGACACTGTCTTCTCATCTTCTCTACTGTGAGGAACACTTTTATGCACATAGAAATTATACTATGCGTACTAAACCAATTATTTGGTTTCCTGCCCTGCCCACAATAGCAATAATAATTTTTCCTAGTGTTCATTGTATAAAATTACAGCTATATTTTGAGTCAATTGAGGCTTTAAGGGTAGCTTGGGAACCTAAATAAAATTATTTCAAGATTAAAATGAGTTACAAATGAACTTTGGAAGGATAGCCCACCTGTAGGTTCTGGGCTGTTGGTCTCCCTTCTTGAGGAACCAAGTCTAAGGACCAGGAATGGGCTAGTTGGTCTTAGATGACTCTTGAGAGTCCCCAGTGATTCGGCATCTTCGGTTTACAGTGAGACTTGTTTTCTAAGTTCTATGAAGTGGGCGGCAGTCTGACTGATACATAGGTAAATCTCTGTGGGATCTAAGACAGCATTAGCCAATAGAATTTCCTGCAGTTATGTAAAATATGTACTATATGACTTCTTTACTGGTGAGAGAAATACTCAGTATTTTTACAGTACAATATGATCGCTACTAGCCCATGTAGATATTAAGCACTTGAAATGTGGCTAGTATGACTGAGAAACTGAATATTTAATGTTATTCAGTTTTAATTAATGTAAATTTCAGTTTAAATAGTCATGTGTGACTAGTGGCTATTATATTGAAAAGCACAGTTTTAGAGGTTTGTATTGAATGGAGTAAACCACAGAATTAACTAACTTTCTTTTTATGTGATAAAAATGTCATAGAATGCATAGATTTTATCTGGATCCTGTTTGGAAGAAATCAACGATGAAAAGTTTAAAAGGCGTTTTTGAGGCAATCTTAGAAAATTGAAAATGATTGGGTAGTAAGTGATTTTATGGAATGAGTGTTAATTTTGTTAGGTGTGATATCAATAGATTTATATTATTAAAGTACAACAGTGATGTTTTCAGATGAAGTTACATGATACCTAGGGTTTGCTTTAGGAAAAAAGTATTGGCTGGAGAGTAGATGAGATAGAATTGGCCAATGTTCACAGTTTTTGAGTTGGCTGATGGACACATGGGATTCGTTTTACTGCTTTTATACTTTTGTATGTGATTGAAAGTTTTTATAATAAACAGTATTGAGTTGAGAGAGCTCCTTGCAGGTCATACAGTCTCGCCTTTTGACCAGATTCATTTACTCAGCCATTAAATGGCAGAGGTAGGATTCAAATCTGTCATTTGGCTTTAAGTTTAATCAATTTTTTTGTAACATCATACTGTCTCATACTTTAAACACATAGTTCTACACCCCATCTGCTTCATGACCTTTGGCAAGTTATTTTGCACATTTCCTTCTTGTATGGTAAGGCCAAATTTGTTAGCAGAGCTGGCCACATAGATCAGCAGAGGCAAAGGGTAGGGTCTTTTATGGCAAGTTGGATCAGGCTGGGATTTCACTGGATTCAGATTCAAGGGCTGAATACAAGTAGTAGCTTGGGAAAGAAACCAGAGGAGAGGTAGCAGTAACAGATTCAAGAGAAGAAGAAGCAAGGGCAAGCTCCTAAGAGAAGTGGAATTGATACAAGGTGGGAATAGGTAAAAGGCTGAGAACACAGTTTGCGTAGAAAGTTAAGTGTGTTGACTGCTAATTCTTACTGGGAGATGGCTATACATTTCAAGGGCAATTTAGCTGACTTGGCATATAGTAGACTGACATTTCTCATTTTGAAATTCATGTTCCACTATGCTTGTCTCTAATCTAAAATAATTGTAATAATATAGAATTTTTGTCCAGAAGGGGCTGTTGAGGTCATATAATTCAACCAAATTATTTGTGTTATCAAATTCATATTGCATTTCCATATAGTAGTTGGCATTGAATTAGGTCCCATAAGGATTATAGAATTTCAGTTATATATGCTGTCAAGAAGATTTTGAGAGAATGAGCAGATAATAATTATGATTATTCAAGTAATATAACTATTTCATTAAATTGATTATTGGTTAAAGTAGAGAAGAATGATTTTATTTATTAATAAAGATGTATGAAACACAATTTTGAATTATATTTACACTTAAGTTTCTAGTCTCAGGGCTATTGTTGAGCAAGAATTTCTCCCATCAGTAAATGCACCATCGCATATTATACATTTTATATGTATATTGCAAATGTCTATGTTGTATATTTTATTTCAGGAGTGAGGGAGGGGAAATTTCAGCTATTAAGCTATCAATGCCTAGAAATAAACTGCTGAGTAGAAGGTCTATTATATTATTGCCTCACTAGGACCTAATTATTTAAAAGCAAAACAAAACAAACATCATCTGGCTACGCCTCCCGAATCCTATTTCAATCAGGATTCCAATGTCTTCAAGCCAATTTTATTTTTCTGAGACCAGGTATTAGAAGGGAAGATCTGAGAGAATGAAGGTGTGATATGGCTGGATACCAGGGTAAAACATCATATGGGTATTCTGATGTTTTTCTGCTTGTATTTATTTGCATTTTCTTGGGCTATTGGAATTTTTTTACTCTACTTCTGAGTTTTTAAGTCAAAACCTAGAAAAAGTATTTAAGTTTCTCATCCTGTACCCAAACTATTCTGTAGTCAAAAGCAACAGGCTCCCAAAGTCAATTTCTAAGTTTAATAGCATATTTTTATTTATTAGGTGCCATTTAGTTAGGACCACCGTGCTCATTTGCTCATTTGTTAATTAATTTAACAACTTACTATATGTTCTTATTGAGGATAAAAGGATGCATAAGACATAGCCCCTACCCTTATGCTGCTTTTATTTTAGTTGAGTAAACAGACATGGAAGTAATTATGATTGAGCATGCCAGTTGTTATAATGGAAGCATATGCAAAAGACAATGGAAACATTATGGAGCAAAGAATTAGGAAATGGAATGAGGTTTGAGTATGGACAGTTTTCACTGAGAAGAACCTTGAAAGAATAAATTTGAGCTGATTAGATTTCCTAGTATATTAATATTAGCAACTGTGAGAACCAGATTTTTAAAAATTTATGCAAGTCATCTGTCAATCAACTTTGAAGTTATTTGTGATTCCATTTCCTTGTTGTCTGCTTCAGATATTTTTTTGTTCTCCAACCTTTGATCTTTGTCTTGTCTGGTTTTGTCTTTGAATCCTGGTTGGTACTGATCCATTTTAGATGATTGACCTTACTTGAGCTATCTCCTGGCACTCTCAAAGTACACTATTCTTGTAACTACGCCGTCCTTGACCTATTTCAGCTTAAAGCAAGAGGAGTTTCATTCATATGATCTGGCCAGGACTCCAGAATCCTATTTCAATCAGGATTCCAGTGTCTTCAAGCCAATTTTATTTTTCTGAGACCAGGTATTAGAAAGGAAGATCTCCGAGAATGAAGGTGTGATATGCTAGAGACCAGGGCACAGGGGATTGAGAGAGAATATACTGAATATGAAAAGTCAAGTGATGGCTGGACTGTGATAACCATGAAAATATGGATTTGGGGCTTTATTCTTCAGGCCAAATGGGGCCTTTAAATGTTTTTTAGGAGGATTGTGGCACTATCACAACTGTACTATAGAAAGATAACAGAGTCATGATTGGGCCATAAGAGGAGATGTTGCTGTCAGAGAGACCAGTTGAAGAAACGAGATGCTGAAGCCTTGTATTGAGCAAGACAATAATGATGGAGAACAATAAATAAATCAGAAAAATTTCATAAATGGAACCAGTAAGAATAGGGAGCTAATTGGAAATTGATGGTAAAGGAAAGAAAAATATTGATGTTATTTTTGACTTTTCTGGTTTGGGTGATTGGACAGGTTATATTGCCTTTGTAATTACATGTGTAATTAATAGAAAAAATTAATTACACGTGTAATTATTTAATGGCTGTCTTCTTCACTAAGCTGAACCCCACAAGAGCAGAGTGTCTTTCTTGTGTGTGTGTGTGTGTGTATATATATATACACACAAATATACATATAATATATACATATATATACAAATATACATATAATATATGTACATATATATATATATATATGTATGTATATATTCCCTAGCACCTGACCCAGTGTCTGGCTATATTAATGTTCTCAACTAATAGTTGTTGATCAACCAACTAGTTTCATTTGTTTACTAAATTTTGTATTAATGACCAGGCACTGTTCTAGATGAACTTTAATACCCTTAGCTAAGACATGAAATGCATGAGGATGAGCAGGTCCAGTGAAAAGATAATGGATTATATTTTGGACATATTGAATTGAGATGCCATGGGACATCCACTTGGAGATATGAATCTATCTAAACTTCAAAACAGTGATCTTGTTTGGAGATTCAGATTTAGGATATAAGTGGATGCTGAAGCCATGGAGATGTTTGGAATTAATAGAATGAGTAAAGTGAGGCATGATAATGGCTGAAGACTGAACTCTGGGGAGTACAAGTACTTAGGAGGTAGACAGAGAAAGAGGAGCTAACAAAGCAACTGAGAAGGATGCCCAGGGTTTTAGGAGAAAAATCTGGGGATAATATTGTCATCAAAGAGAAAAGAGGAGAGAGTTCAAGGAGGGCAATGTCTTGGGATAGATTATTTTGGAAATTTGAATTCCTGAAAGAGTTTTAGGAAGACCAGAGATTTCTGGAATATTCTATCCTTTGTTTTGCCTCAGAATTTATGTTTGAACTATGTTAATTGATAGTCAAATTACTTTAACCTATGGAGATTTTCTACTACTTCAAGCCTATGAAATCCAAATAAAATTCCCTTTATTAATATGTTTCCATTTATAAAGCCTTAAGATTGTTTATTGCCTGACTATGAGAAGACAAAATTTGGAAATAAGTTTCTACTTTTAAATGCAGTGTATAATCTGTTTTTTCTACAGATTTTTGTGGTCCATTGCCCCTTTAACTTGAAAAAATTTTGCTTTTCAATCTTGATAACACTTTTAAAGCAATTAAAAGACAAATCAATTTCTAGCCATTATAAATGGTTGTTAATGCATAAGGGTATTATTATAACATTTGTGAACATACTGGTGTGTGTGGTAGGATGAGAAAGCTGTAATTGTTTGATTTGTAAGGCTTTATTACCATGTTTTTTCTTTTTGAGATGGAATCTCTCTCTCTGTGGCTCAGGCTGGAGTGCAGTGGCATGATTTTGGCTCACTGCAACCTCCGCCTCCTGGGTTCAAGTGATTCTCCTGCCTCAGCCTCCTGAGCAGCTGGGATTACAGGCATCTACCACCATGCCCAGCTAATTTTTATATTTTTAGTAGAAATGGGGTTTCAGCATGTTGGCCAGGCTGGTCTTGAACTCCTGACCTCAGGTGATCTGCCTGCCTCGGCCTCCCAAAGTGCTGGGATTACAGGTGTGAGCCACCGTGCCTGGCCTGAATTACCACACATTTTTAAAAAACAACAATAAATACCACAATCTTGTTTTTACTCTTCTGGTTTTATTTGGAAAAGCAAATTATTTTAGCAACAGACTAGGTTCCTTTACATTCAAACAGCAAGAAAGAACTAAAAAAGAGACAAAACAACAACAACAAACCCTTTTCTTTGGAAATAAAAACACTTGAAGAATTATTTGGCTGTAGGAGTCCACCATTTATTGTGTGTGTGTGTGTGTGTGTGTGTGTGTGTGTGTACGCACGCACATACCCGTGAAGATCTGTTTTGTAGCTCTGAATTTACAAATTGGAAGGGTTGCTACTCCTTTATGACTGATGGACTTCCTTGTAAATATACTCTGTCAATGTGTACTTTACTCCCACTGCATGATCAGTAAATTTGGGTTGAAAGATTGTTATTGACAGTATTTCTAATATAACCTAATGTTTAAAAAATGCTTGACTTGTTGCAATTATATGCAAAATCTTGAGTCTTCTGATTCCGTTAGTTGTTTTGTGTAGTAGAAACTTCCCTGGCCCATTGATAGTCAGGTTGGAGCCACTGATGTGTTTGGCCAGGTTCCAGGAAAGTCTTCAACAATGCCATAGTCTGCTCAGGTACTATTAGCCTAGCAGGCAGTTTCAGAGCCTGCTATACATGAAAAAAGTCACAAATAGATGGATTTGAACATGTATTTAGGACTAGTCAGGCAGGGAAAAACTATAGAAAGAATTGTTCAGATTTTTGATTTAGGCAAATCTTACCTGAAGTAGGATGGAAGTGACTTGATTAAGTGGAATTGAGCTAATAGCTTTTTCCCTGATTTCTTGATAGAGACTGATTTTGATGATAGTTAAGAGGAGATAAAAGAGAATCCCTCCTTTTACTTTTTTCTGTTTTTTTTTTAAGCCCCAGCCACTTTCCCTAACAAATCTTACTGTCTATATTTATATTATATTCTTCTCAAGGCAACATTCAGTCTCCTTTGGCTGAGCAGAAGACTAAAGACTTGACCTCAAAGGAACTGTTATTGCTTAGCCAAGATTTAGGAGAGGAGACATTAAAGTAATTTAGAGGTCAAGTGGCCTTAACCAGGGTAGGGAGTAGGGATGTTTACCCGTTTAGATTTAAAAGGTTCTAATATTTTTGACAGGAAGATACACATTTATTACGTTGCATTTATTTGAAAATCCTTTGAACTTTGCTTATAAATATTATCCTCAAAATATTTGTTAAATGAGTGAAATGATAAAACTATATTCAGTAATATGGGATTCAGTAACCCTACCATGGACCCAGGAATAAGGGTTAGAAGAACCTACGGTCTTTTTTCTTTAAGCAGTCATGATACTGGTTCTTTTATAGTTAATTCTTCAGTTTTGTGTAAAAGGAATTGTAACATGGGGAATTATGGGAACTCCTGAGGTGGTCATAGATAGCTTCAGTCCTGTGTTTTGCCCATAGGAGCCGCTAAGAAGGTGACAGAGGACATAAATGCCCTCTTCACACGTTTTCTATTTTGTCTTTTCACAGTTAGACATAACTGGATATCCTGAAACTTTACTGAAGTTGTTTGTCAGCTGAAGGAGGTTTTGGATCAAGACTATGGAATGTTCTAGATACAGAATCACATTGCCTACAAGCAGGGATGATTTGACTCCCTCTCTTCCTATTAAGATGCCCTTTATTTCTTTCTCTTGCCTGATTGCTCTGGCTATGACTTCCAATACTGTGTTGAATAGGAGTGGTGAGAGAGGGCATCCTTGTCTTGTGCTGGTTTTCAAGAGGAATGATTCCAGCTTTTGCCCATTCAGTATAATGTTGTCTGTGAGTTTGTCAGAGATGGCCCTTATTAATTTGAGGCTCTTATTCCTTTGATGCCTAGTTTATTGATAGTTTTAAACATGAAGGGATGTTGAATTTTAGCAAAAGCCTTTTCTGCATCTATTGAGATAATGATGTGGTTTTTGTCTTAGTTCTGTTTATGTGATGAATGACATTTATTGATTTGCTTATGTTGAACCAACCTTGCATCCCGGGGATAAAGCCTACTTGATTGTGGTGGATTAACTTTTTGATGTGCTGTTGGATTCAGTTTGCAAGTATTTTGTTGAGGATTTTTGCATCGAAGTTAATCAAGTATTTTGTTGAGGATTTTGCATCAATATTGGCCTGAAGTTTTTTTTTTTTTTTTTTTATGTCTTTGCCAGGTTTTGGTACCAGGATGATGCTGGCCTTGTAGAATGAGTTGGGAGAGGAGTCCCACCTCAATTTTTTAAGAGTAGTTTCAGTAGGAATGGTACCACATCTTCTTTGTACACCTGGTAGAATTTGGCTGTGTGAATTCATCTGATCCTAGCCTATTTTGGTTGATAGGATATTCATTACTGATTCAATTTTGGAGCTGTTATTGGTCTGTTCAGGGAATGAATTTCTTCCTGCGTCAGTGTTGGGAGGGTATATGATCTTTGACAAAGCTGACAAAAACAAGCAATGGGGAAAAGACTCCCTATTCAAAAAATGATGCTAGGATAATTGGCTAGCCATATGCAGAAGATTGAAGCTGTGCTCTTTTTTACATCGTATACAAAAATCGACTCACGGTGGATTAGAGACTTAAATGTGAAACCCAAAGCTATAAAACACTGGAAGACAACATAGGAAATACCATCCTGGACATAGGAATGGGCAAAGATTTCATGACACAGACACCAAAAGCAATTGCAACAAAAGCAAGACAAGTCGAATCTAATTAAACTTAAGAGCTTCTGCACAGCAACAGAAACTATCAACAGAGTAAACAGACAACCTACAGAATGGGAAAATTTATGCAAACTGCAAACTATACATCTGACAATGGTCTAATATCCAGCATCTATAAGGACCTTAAACAAATTTACAATAGAAAAACAATCCCGTTAAAAAGTGGGCAAAGGACATGAACAGACACTTTTCAAAAGAAGACATACATGTGGCCAACATGCATATGAAAAAATGCTCAATGTCTCTGATCATTAGAGAAATGCAAATCAAAACCACAATGTGATACCATCTTACACCATACAGACGGCTGTTATTAAAAAGTCAAAAAATAACAGATGCTGGCAAGGTTGCAGAGAAAAGGGAACACTTATACACTGTTGGTGGGAGTGTAAATTAGTTCAACCATTGTGAAAAGTAATGTGGTAACTCCTTAAATAGCTAAAAACAGAACTACATTCAATCCAGTAATCCCATCACTGGGTGTATATCCAGAGGAATATAAATCATTCTACTATAAAGAAACATGCATGCAGATGTTCACTGCAGCACTATTCACAATAGCAAAGACTAACCTAATCAACCTAAATGTCCATCAATGACAGATAGGATAAAGAAGATGTAGTACATATACACCATAGAATACTATGCAGCTATAAAAAAGAATGCGGTCATGTATTCTGTGGGAACACAGACGTAGCTGGATGGAGGCTATTATCCTTAGCAAACTAATGCAGGAACAGAAAACCAAATACCGTTATGTTCTTACTTATTAAGTGGGAGCTATATGACAAGAACTCATGAACACAAAGAAGGGAGCAACAGACACTGGGTTCTACTTGAGGGTGGAGGGTGAAAAGAGGAAGAGGAGCAGGAAAAATAACTATTAGGTACTAGGCTTAATACATGAGTGATGAAATAATCTGTTCAACAAACCCGCATGATATGAGTTTATCTATATAACAAAACTTCACATGTATCCCTAAACCTAAAATAAAAGTAAAAAAAAAAAAAGCATAATTAGATGGGTCCTTTACAAAGCTGTGAAGTTGACTAAGGCTTTTTGAAAGCTAGATATTTTGCTATATAAAGACCACCTTTAACATTTAGAAGTTGGAAATGGAGACCAGGCATGGTGGCTTACGCCTGTAATCCCAGCACTTTCGGAGACCCAGGTGAGAGGATTGCTTGAGCCAGGAGTTCTAGACCAGCTTGGCAACACAGGGAGACACTGTCTGTACAAAAAAAAAAAAAAAAAAAAAATTAGCCATGCATGGTGGTGTAAGCCTGTTGTCTCAGCTAGTCAGGAGGCTGAGGTGAGAGGATCACTTGGGCCTAGGAGGTCGAGGCTGTGATTAGCTGTGATTGCACCACTGCACTCCAGCCTGGGTGACAGAGCAAGACCCTGTTTCAAAACATAAAAACTAAAGTAGTTGGAGATGGAGCCTGAAAAATCTATTCCAATCCTAAACCACTAGTTAAACAAAAGGAAATGGTGGAGTTAAAAATGGGCTATCTACTTTTTGTTTTTTTCCACTTATATTCCATGGATTTTTTTTTTTTTTTTGAGATGGAGTCTCGCTCTGTCACCCAAGCTGGAGTGCAGTGGTGCGATCTTGGCTGACACTTGCCACCACGCCCGGCTAATTTTTTGTATTTTTAGTAGAGATGGGGCTTCACCACGTTAGCCAGGATGGTCTCGATCTCCTGACCTTGTGATCTGCCCGCCTTGGCCTCCCAAAGTGCTGGGATTACAGACGTGAGCCACTGCCCTTGGCTTTTTTTTTTTTTTATAATTTAAGTTCTGGGATACATGTGCAGAACGTGCAGGTTTGTTAAATAGGTATACATGTGCCATGGTGGTTTGCTCCACCCATCAACCCATCATCTACATTAGGTATTTCTCCTAATGTTATCCCTCCCATTGTCCCCCACCCCCAAACAGGACCTGGTGTGTGATGTTCCCCTCCCTGTGCCGTGCATTCTGATTGTTCAACTCTCATTTATAAGCGAGAACATGTGGTGTTTGGTTTTCTGTTCTTGTGTTAGTTTGGTAAGAATGATGGTTTCCAGCTTTATCCATGTCCCTACAAAGGACATGAACTCATTCTTTTTTAGGGTATTCCATGGTGTATATGTGCCATGTCTTCTTTATCCAGTCTAACATTGATGGGCATTTGGGTTGGTTCCAAGTCCTTGCTATTGTGAACAGTGCTGCAATAAACATATGTGTGAGTGTGTCTTTATAGTAGCATGATTTATAATCCTTTGGATATATGCCCAGTAATGGGATTGCTGGGTCAAACAGTATTTCTGGTTCTAGATCCTTGAGGAATTGCCACACTGTCTTCCACAATGCTTTAATAATTTACTCTCCATCCACCAGTGTAAAAGCATTCCTATTTCTCCACATCCTCTCCAGCATCTGTTGTTTCCTGACTTTTTAATGAACACCATTCTAACTGGCATGAGATGGTATCTCATTGTGATTTTGATTTGCATTTCTCTAAAGACCAGAGATGATGAGCATTTTTTCATATGTTTGTTAGCTGCATAAATGTGTTCTTTTGAGAAGTGTCTGTTCATATCCTTCACCCACTTTTTGATGGGATTGTTTTTTTCTTGTAAATTTGTTTAAGTTCTTTGTAGATTCTGGATATTAGCCCTTTGTCAGATGGATAGATTGCAAAAATTTTCTCCCATTCTGTAGGTTGCCTGTTCACTCTGATGATAATTTCTTTTGTGGTGCAGAAGCTCTTTAGTTTAATTAGATCCCATTTTTCAATTTTGGCTTTTGTTGCCATTGCTTTTGGTGTTTTAGTCATAAAGTCTTTGCCCATGCCTAAGTCCTGAATAGTATTGCCTAGGTTTTCTTCTAGGGTATTTATGGTTTTAGGTCTTTAATCCATCTTGAGTTAATTTTTGCGTAATGTGTAAGGAAAGTGTCCAGTTTCAGTTTTCTGCATATGGCTAGCCAGTTTTCCCAACACCATTTATGAAATAGGAAATGTTTTCCCTATTGCTTGTTTTTGTCAGGTTTGTCAAAGATCAGATGGTTGTAGATGTGTGGTGTTATTTCTGAGGCCTCTGTTCTGTTCCATTGGTCTATATATCTGTTTTGATACAAGTACCATACTGTTGTAGTTACCGTAGCCTTGTAGTATAGTTTGAAGTCAGGTAGTGTGATGCCTCCAGCTTTGTTCTTTTTGCTGAGGATTGTCTTGGCTATGAGGGCTCTTTTTTTGCTTCCATATGAAATTTAAAGTAGTTTTTTCTAAGTCTGTGAAGAAAGTCACTGGTAGCTTGATGGGAATAGCGTTGAATCTATAAATTAGTTTGGGCAGTATGGCCATTTTCACGATACTGATTCTAACTATCCATGAGCATGGAATGTTTTTTTCTATTTGTTCGTGTCCTCTCTTATTTCCTTGAGCAGTGGTTTGTAGTTCTCCTTGAAGAGGTCCTTCACATCCTTTGTAAGTTGTATTCCTAGGTATTTAATACTCTTTGTAGCAATTGTGAATGTGAGTTTGCCTATGATTTGGCTCTCTGTTTGTCTGTTATTGGTGTATAGGAATGCATGTGATTTTTGCACATTGATTTTGTATTCTGAGGCTTTCCTGAAGTTGCTTATCAGCTGAAGGAGTTTTTGGGCTGAGATGATGGGGTTTTCTGGATATACAATGATGTCATCTGCAAACAGAGACAATTTGACTTCCTCTTTTCCTATTTGAATACCCTTTATTTCTTTCTCTTGCCTGATTGCCCTGGCCAGAACTTCCAACACTATGTTGAGTAGGAGTGGTGAGAGAGGGCATCCTTCTCTTATGCCAGTTTTCAAAGGGAATGCTTCCAGCTTTTGCTCATTCAGTATGATATTGGCTGTGGGTTTGTCATAAATAGCTTGTATTATTTTTTCAGATATGTTCCATCAATACCTATTTTATTGAGAGTTTTTTAGCATGAAGGGGCATTGAATTTTATCGAAGGCCTTTTCTGCATCTATTGAGATAATCATGCGGTTTTTGTCATTGGTTCTTTTTATGTGATGGATTATGTTTACTGATTTAGGTATGTTGAACCAGCCTTGCATTCCAGGGATGGAGCCGACTTGATTGTGGTAGATAAGCATTTTGATGTGCTGCTGCATTCGGCTTGCCAGTAGTTTATTGAGGATTTTCGCATTGATATTCATAAGGGATATTGGCCTGAAATTTCCTTTTTCTGTTGTGTCTCCGCCAGGTTTTGGTATCAGGGTGATGCTGGCCTCATAAAATGAGTTAGGGAGGAGTCCCTCTTTTTCTATTGTTTGGAGTAGTTTCAGAAGGAATGGTACCAGCTCCTCTTTGTACCTCTGGTAGAATTAGGCTGTGAATCCGTCTGATCCTGGGCTTTTTTTGGTTGATAGGCTATTAATTACTGCCTCAGTTTCAGAACTTGTTATTGGTCTATTCAGGAATTTGAATTTTTCCTGGTTTAGCCTTCAGAGAGTGTATTTGTCTAGGAAATTATCCATTTCTTCTAGATTTTCTAGTTTATTTGCATAGAGGTGTTTATAGTATTCTCTGATGGTAGTTTGTATTTCTGTGGGATTGGTGGTGATCTCCTCTTTATCATTTTTTATTGCATGTATTTGATTCTTTTCTGTTTTCTTCTTTATTATTCTGGCTAGCAGTCCATCTATTTTGTTAATATTTTCAGAAAACCATCTCCTGGATTCATTGATTTTTTTGAAGGGTTTTTCATGTCTCTGTCTTCTTCAGTTCTGGCCTGATCTTAGTTATTTCTTGTCTTCTGCTAACTTTTGAATTTGTATGTCCTTGCTCCTCTAGTTCTTTTAATTGTGATGTTAAGGTATCAGTTTTAGATCTTTCCTGCTTCCTCCTGTGGGCATTTAGTGCTGTAAATTTTCCTCTAAGCACTGCTTTAGTTGTGTCCCAGAGATTCTGGTACATTGTATCTTTGTTCTCATTGGTTTCAAAGAACTAATTTATTTGTGCCTTAATTTTCATTATTTGCCCAGTGGTCATTCAGGAGCAGGTTGTTCATTTTCCATGCAGTTGTGCGGTTTTGAGTGAGTTTCTTCTTCTTGAGTTCTAATATAGATTGCACTGTGGTCTGAGAGACTGTTATGGTTTCTTTTCTTTTGCATTTGCTGAGGAGTATTTTATTTCCAATTATGTGGTTGATTTTAGAATAAGTGCTATGTGGTGCTGAGAAGAATGTATATGCTGTTGATTTGGGGTGGAGAGTTCTGTAGGTGTCTATTAGGTCCACTTGGTCCAGAGCCGAGTTCAAGTCCTGAATATCCTTGCTAATTTTCTGTCTTGTTGATCTATCTAATATTGACAGTGGGGTGTTAAAGTCTTCCACTATTATTGTGTGGGAGTCTAAGTCTCTTTGTAGGTCTCTAAGAACTTGCTTTATGAATCTAGGTGGTCCTGTATTGGGTGCATATATATTTAGGAGTGTTAGCTCTTCTTGTTGCATTGATTCCCTTTACCATTACATAATGCCCTTCTTTGTCTCTTTTGATCTTTGTTGGTTTAAAGTCTGTTTTATCAGAGACTAGAATTGCAACCCCTGATTTTTTGTTTTTTTGCCTTCCATTTGCTTGGTAATTATTCCTTCATCCCTTTATTTTGAGCCTATGTGTGTCTTTGCACGTGAGATGGGTCTCCTGAATACAGCACACCGATGGGTCTTGACTCTTTATCCAATATGCCAGTCTGTGTCTTTTAATTGGTATATTTAGCCTGTTACATTTATGGTTAATATTGTTATATGTGAATTTGATCATGTCAGTATGATGCTAGCTGGTTATTTTGCCAGTTAGTTAATGCAGTTTCTTCATAGTGTTGATGGTCTTTACAATTTTGTATGTTTTTGCAGTGGCTGGTACTGGTTTTTCCTTTCCATATTTAGTGCTTACTTCAGGAGCTCTTGTAAGGCAGGCCTGGTGGTGACAAAATCTCTCAGCATTTGCTTGTCTGTAAAGGATTTTATTTCTCCTTCATTTATGAAGCTTAGTTTGGCTGGATATGAAATTCTGGGTTGAAAATTCTTTTCTTTAAGAATGTTGAATATTGGCCCCCACTCTCTTCTGGCTTGTAGGGTTTCTGCAGAGAGATCCACTGTTGGGCTTCCCCGCAAAGGTCTGGTTACCCACAAAGGGAAGCCCATCAGACTTCCATTACCAAGCAAATGGAAGTCTGATGGGCTTCCCTTTGTGGGTAACCCGACCTTTCTCTCTGGCTGCCCTTAACATTTTTTCCTTCATTTCAATCTTGGTAAATCTGATGATTATGTGTTTTTGGGTTGCTCTTCTCAAGGAGTATTTTTGTGGTGTTCTCTGTATTTCCTGAGTTTGAATTTTGGCCTGTCTTGCTAGGTTGGGGATGTTCTTCTGGATAATATTCTGAAAAGTGTTTTCCAACTTGGTTCCATTCTTCCCATCACTTTCAAGTACACCAATCCAATGTAGGTTTGGTCTTTTCACATAGTCCCATATTTCTTGGAGGCTTTTCATTCTTTTTCTCTAATCTTGTCTTCATGCTTTATTTCCTTAAGTTGATCTTCAATCTCTGATATCCTTTCTTCTGCTTGATTGATTCAGCCTTTGATACCTTTGTATGCTTCACGAAGTTCTCATGCTGTGTTTTTAGCTACATCAGTTCATTTGGTTTTTCTCTAAACTGGTTATTCTAGTTAGCAATTTCTCTAACCATTTTTCAAGGCTGTTAGCTTCCTTGCATTGGGTTAGAACATGCTCCTTTAGCTTGTAGGAGTTTATTACCCACCTTCTGAAGCCTACTTCTGTCAATTCATCAAACTCATTCCATGTCCAGTTATGTTCCCTTGCTGGTGAGGAGTTGTGATTTTTTGGAGGAGAAGAGGCATTCTGGTTTTTGGAATTTTCAGCCTTTTTGCACTGATTTTTCCTCATCTTTGTGGATTTACCTACCTTTGGTCTTTGATGCTGAAGCCCTTCGGATGGGGTTTCTTTGTGGACAATCTTTTTGTTGATGTTGATGCTATCCCTTTCTATTTGTTGCTTTCCTTCTAATAGTCAGGCCTCTCTGCTGCAGGACTGCTGGAGTTTCCTGGAGGTCCACTCAAACCCTGTTTGCCTGGTTATCACCAGCGGAGGCTGCAGAACAGCAAAGATTGCTTCCTGTTCCTTCATCTGGAAGCTTCATCCCAGGGGGGCATCTGCCAGATGCCAGCTGAAGCTCTCCTTTATGAGGTGTCTGTCAATCCCTGCTGTGAGGTATTTCCCAGTCAGGAGTCAGGGGGGTCAGGGAGCCACTTGAGGAGGCGGTCTGTCCCTTGGCAGAGCTCAAGGGCTGCTGCAGGGAGATCCGCTGCTCTTTTCACAGCCTGCAGGCAAGAACGTTTAAGTCTCCTGAAGCTGCCCCCACAACTGCCCCTTCCCTTAGGTCGTCTGTCCGGGAGATGGGGGTTTCATCTATAAGCCCCTGACTGGGGCTGCTGCCTGTTTTTCAGAGATGCCCTGCCTAGAGAGGAGGAACCTAGAGAGACAGTCTGGCTGCAGCCGCTTTGCCAAGCTGCGGCGGGCTCCGCCCAGTTTGAACTTCCAGGCGGCTTTCTTTACACTGTGAGGGGAAAACTGCCTACTGAAGCCTCAGTAATGGCAGATGCCCCTGTCCCCATGAAACTCGAGCATCCCAGGTCGACTTCAGACTGCTATGCTGGCAGCATGAATTTCAGGCCAGTGGATCTTAGCTTGCTGTGCTCCGTGGTGGTGGGATCCACTGAGCAAGACCACTTGGCTCCCTGGCTTTAGCCCCCTTTTCAGGGGAGCGAATGGTTCTGTCTCGCTGGCGTTCCAGGTGCCACTTGGGTATTAAAAAAAAAGCCCTGCAGCTAGCTCAGTGTCTGCCCAAATGACTGCCCAGTTTTGTGCTTGAAACCCAGGGCTCTGGTGGTGTAGGCGCCCAAAGGAATCTCCTGGTCTGTGGGTTGCCAAGACCGTGGGAAGAGTGTAGTATCTGGGCCTGAGTGCACCATTCCTTAAGGCACAGTTCCTCATGGCTTTCCTTGGCTAGGGGAGTGAGTTCCCCGACCCCTTGTGCTTTCCAATTGAGGAGATGCCGCACTCTGCTTTGGCTAGCCCTCCGTGGGCTGCACCCACTGTCTAACCAGTCCCAGTGAGATGAGCCGGGCACGTCAGTTGGAAATGCTGAAATCACCTACTTTCTGCATTGATCTCACTGGGAGCTGCAGACCGGAGCAGTTCCTGTTTGGCCATCTTGCCAGCCACCCAAAATATCTTTATCTTTAATGAAGGGAATGTTTCTGGGACAAGTCTTTCTATAAACATAGGAAAAGTTGTAAAAGTAGAAAACATTCACAGTCAATCATCATGTCCTTTGCAGCAACATGAATGGAGCTGGAGGCCATAATCCTAAGCAAATTAATGCAGGAACAGAAAACCAAATGCTACATTTTCTCACTTATAATTTGGAGCTAAGCATCGAACACACATGAACAGAAACATGGGCACAATAGACACTATGGACTAGTAGGGGGTGGAAGGAGTGGGGTAGGTTAAAAAACTACCTATCAGGAACTACTGCCTGGGTCACGGGATCCATACTCCAAATCCCAGCATCAGACAATATTCCCATGTAACAAATCTGCACCTGTACCCTCATATCTAAAATAAAAGTTGAAAATTTTTGAAAGAAATGGCCACAGCAAAACATTATTAATTGGTATTAATATGGGAGTAGTCTGAATTTAAGGACAAATCTTCATTCTGGCATGTTATGTAGGAAATTCAGATTTATACTAGAAAGAACACTGAACTTGGAGTTTAAAGATAGGGGTTCATTTTCCAGTTCTGCCACATGGCAGAGGTTGAAGTGTGACTGTTATTTGTGTGACATTAAATAAGTCCTTTATCTTCTTCAAGTTTCTCTTTTCACATGTGTAACATGGGGAGAGTTATTCCTGGTCAGTCTATATTACAGAGTTTCTTCAAGAATAAGACAAAATGAGATAATAGAGGGAAAGTACTTTGGAATATTATACAAGATTTTTGAAAAGAATCCAACTTATGGAGGAGAGAAAAATATATGTAGTTTTATTCTACTTTTTTTTTTTTTTGATCACTTTCTAGCCCTGTGATCTAGGGTGAGATTGTCTGCCCTGTGCCTCTGTTTTCTCATCAGTAATATCTGGGAAGAATAATATAATTAGTTTTGTTAGTCTGTTTGTGCATTGCTATAAAGAAATGCATGAGGCTGGGTAATTTATAAGCAAAGAGGTTTAATTGGCTCATGGTTCTGCAGGCTGTACAAGAAGCATCCTGGCATCTGCTTCTGGGATAGGGGAGGGTGTCAGGAGGCTTCCAATCATGGCAGAAGGCAAAGAGGGAACAGGCATGTCACATGGCAAAGCAGGAATAAGAGAGAGAGAGAAAGTGAGGGGGAAATGCCACACATTTAACAAGATCTTGTGGGAATTCACACACTATTGTGAGGAGAGCACCAAGCCATGAGGGATCTGTGCCCATGATCCAAATACCTACTACCAGGACCCACCTCCAACATTAGGGATTATATTTCAATGTGAGATATGGGCCAAACCAAATCATTAGTCTTATTTATTAAATTAATAATGATTGAATTAATGTAAGAGTGTGTACTATAGTTCCTGGCAGTTGGCACTCATTGAAAGTTAACTGCCATTATTATTATTATTTTTTTTTATTATTATCCTTTAAGTTCCGGGATACATGTGCAGAATGTGCAGGTTTGTTACATAGGTATGTATACATGTGCCATGGTGGTTTGCTGCACTCATCAATCCCTCATCTACATTACATATTTCTCCTAATGCTATCCCTCCCCTAGCCCCCCCACCCCATTACAGGCCCCCGTGTGTGATGTTCCCCTCCCTGTGTCCATGTGTTCTCATTGTTCAACTCCCACTTAAGAGTGAGAACATGCAGTGTTTTGTTTTCAGTTCTTGTGTTAATTTGGTGAGAATGATGGTTTCCAGCTTCATCCATGTCCCTGCAATGGACATGAACTCATCCTTTTTTATGAGTGCATGTTATTCTATGGTGTATATGTGCCACATTTTCTTTAACCAGTCTATCATTGATGGGCATTTGGGTTGGTTCCAAGTCTTTGCTATTGTGAAAAGTGCTGCAATAAACATACGTGTGTGTGTGTCTTTATAGCAGCATGGGTGTATACTCAGTAATGGGGTTGCTGGGTCAAATGGTATTCCTAGTTCTAGATCCTTGAGGAATCACCGCACTGTCTTTGACAATGGTTTAACTAATTTACACTCCGACCAACAGTGTAAAAGCATTCCTATTTCTCCACATCCTCTCCAGCATCTATTGTTTCCTGACTTTCTAATGGTCGCCATTCTAACTGGCAAGAGATAGTATCTCATTGTGATTTTGATTTGCATTTATCTAATTACCAGTGATGATGAGCATTTTTTCATATATTTGTTGGCTGAATAAATGTATTCTTTTGAGGAGTGTCTGTTAATATCCTTCACCCACTTTTTGATGGGATTGTTTCTTTCTTGTAAATTTGTTTAAGTTCTTTGTAGATTCTGGATATTAGCGCTTTGTCAGATGGATAGATTGCAAAAATTTTCTCCCATTCTGTAGGTTGCTTGTTCATTCTGATGATAGTTTCTTTTGCGGTGCAGAAGCTCTTTAGTTTAATTAGATCCCATTTTTTAATTTTGGCTTTTGTTGCCATTGCTTTTGGTGTTTTAGTCATAAAGTCTTTGCCCATGCCTATGTCCTGAATAGTATTGCCTAGGTTTTCTTCTAGGGTATTTATGGTTTTAGGTCTTTAGTCCACCTTGAGTTAATTTTTGCATAACGTGTAAGGAAAGCGTCCAGTTTCAGTTTTCTGCATATGGCTAGCCAGTTTCCCAACACCATTTATGGAATAGGGAATCTTTTCCCTATTGCTTGTTTTTGTCAGGTTTGCCAAAGATCAGATGGTTGTAGATGTGTGGTGTTATTTCTGAGGCCTCTGTTCTGTTCCATTGGTCTATATATCTGTTTTGATACAAGTACCATACTGTTGTAGTTACCGTAGCCTTGTAGTGTAGTTTGAAGTCAGGTAGTGTGATGCCTCCAGCTTTGTTCTTTTTGCTGAGGATTGTCTTGGCTATGAGGGCTCTTTTTTTGGTTCCATATGAAATTTAAAGTAGTTTTTTCTAAGTCTGTGAAGAAAGTCACTGGTAGCTTGATGGGAATAGCATTGAATCTATAAATTTGGGCAGTATGGCCATTTTCACGATACTGATTCTAACTATCCATGAGCATGGAATGTTTTTCCATTTGTTCGTGTCCTCTCTTATTTCCTTGAGCAGTGGTTTGTAGTTCTCCTTGAAGAGGTCCTTCACATCCTTTGTAAGTTGTATTCCTAGGTATTTAATACTCTTTGTAGCAATTGTGAATGTGAGTTTGCCTATGATTTGGCTCTCTGTTTGTCTGTTATTGGTGTATAGGAATGCATGTGATTTTTGCACATTGATTTTGTATTCTGAGGCTTTCCTGAAGTTGCTTATCAGCTGAAGGAGTTTTTGGGCTGAGATGATGGGGTTTTCTGGATATACAATGATGTCATCTGCAAACAGAGACAATTTGACTTCCTCTTTTCCTATTTGAATACCCTTTATTTCTTTCTCTTGCCTGATTGCCCTGGCCAGAACTTCCAACACTATGTTGAGTAGGAGTGGTGAGAGAGGGCATCCTTCTCTTATGCCAGTTTTCAAAGGGAATGCTTCCAGCTTTTGCTCATTCAGTATGATATTGGCTGTGGGTTTGTCATAAATAGCTTGTATTATTTTTTCAGATATGTTCCATCAATACCTATTTTATTGAGAGTTTTTTAGCATGAAGGGGCATTGAATTTTATCGAAGGCCTTTTCTGCATCTATTGAGATAATCATGCGGTTTTTGTCATTGGTTCTTTTTATGTGATGGATTATGTTTACTGATTTAGGTATGTTGAACCAGCCTTGCATTCCAGGGATGGAGCCGACTTGATTGTGGTAGATAAGCATTTTGATGTGCTGCTGCATTCGGCTTGCCAGTAGTTTATTGAGGATTTTCGCATTGATATTCATAAGGGATATTGGCCTGAAATTTCCTTTTTCTGTTGTGTCTCCGCCAGGTTTTGGTATCAGGGTGATGCTGGCCTCATAAAATGAGTTAGGGAGGAGTCCCTCTTTTTCTGTTGTTTGGAGTAGTTTCAGAAGGAATGGTACCAGCTCCTCTTTGTACCTCTGGTAGAATTAGGCTGTGAATCCGTCTGATCCTGGGCTTTTTTTGGTTGATAGGCTATTAATTACTGCCTCAGTTTCAGAACTTGTTATTGGTCTATTCAGGAATTTGAATTTTTCCTGGTTTAGCCTTCAGAGAGTGTATTTGTCTAGGAAATTATCCATTTCTTCTAGATTTTCTAGTTTATTTGCATAGAGGTGTTTATAGTATTCTCTGATGTTAGTTTGTATTTCTGTGGGATTGGTGGTGATCTCCCCTTTATCATTTTTTATTGTGTCTATTTGATTCTTCTCTGTTTTCTTCTTTATTATTCTGGCTAGCCGTCCATCTATTTTGTTAATCTTTTCAGAAAACCATCTCCTGGATTCATTGATTTTTTGAAGGGTTTTTCATGTCTCTGTCTTCTTCAGTTCTGCTCTGATCTTAGTTACTTCTTGTCTTGTGCTAGCTTTTGAATTTGTTTTCTCTTGCTTCTCTAGTTCTTTTAATTGTGATGTTAAGGTGTCAATTTTAGATCTTTCCTGCTTTCTTCTGTGGGCATTTTAGTGCTATAAATTTTTCTCTAAGCGCTGCTTTAGCTGTGTCCCAGAGATTCTGGTACATTGTATCTTTGTTCTCATTGGTTTCAAAGAACTAATTTATTTGTGCCTTAATTTTCGTTATTTACCCAGTGGTCATTCAGGAACAAGTTTTTCATTTTGCATGTAGTTGTGTGGTTTTGAGTTTCTTCATCCTGAGTTCTAATTTGTTTGCACTGTGATCTGAGAGACTGTTATGATTTCTGTTCTTTTGCATTTGCTGAGGAGTATTTTATTTCCAGTTATGTGGTCGATTTTAGGATAAGTGCTATGTGGTGCTGAGAAGAATGTATATGCTGTTGATTTGGGGTGGAGAGTTCTGTAGATGTCTATTAGGTCCACTTGGTCCAGAGCCGAGTTCAAGTCCTGAATATCCTTGTTAATTTTCTGTCTTGTTGATCTTTCTAATATTGACAGTGGGGTGTTAAAGTCTCCCACTATTATTGTGTGGGAGTCTAAGTCTCTTTGTAGGTCTCTAAGAACTTGCTTTATGAATCTAGGTGGTCCTGTATTGGGTGCATATATATTTAGGAGTGTTAGCTCTTCTTGTTGCATTGATTCCCTTTACCATATGTAATGCCCTTCTTTGTCCTTTTGATCTTTGTTGGTTTAAAGTCTGTTTTATCAGAGACTAAAATTGCAACCCCTGATTTTTTGTTTTTTTGCTTTCCATTTGCTTGGTAATTATTCTTCCATCCCTTTATTTTGAGCCTATGTGTGTCTTTGCACGTGAGATGGGTCTCCTGAATACAGCACACCGATGGGTCTTGACTCTTTATCCAATTTACCAGTCTGTGTCTTTTAATTGGGGGCATTTAGCTCATTTAGATTTATGGTTAATATTGTTATATGTGAATTTGATCATGTCAGTATGATGCTAGCTGGTTATTTTGCTGGTTAGTTCATGCAGTTTCTTCATAGTGTCGACGGTCTTTACAATTTGATATGTTTTTGCAGTGGCTGGTACTGGTTTTTCCTTTCCGTATTTAGTGCTTACTTCAGGAGCTCTTGTAAGGCAGGCCTGGTGGTGACAAAATCTCTCAGCATTTGCTTGTCTGTAAAGGATTTTATTTCTCCTTCATTTATGAAGCTTAGTTTGGCTGGATATGAAATTCTGGGTTGAAAATTCTTTTCTTTAAGAATGTTGAATATTGGTCCCTACTCTCTTCTGGCTTGTAGGGTTTCTGCAGAGAGATCCACTGTTAGTCTGATGGGCTTCCCTTTGTGGGTACCCTGGCTGCCCTTAACATTTTTTCCTTCATTTCAGCCTTGGTGAAGCTGATGATTATATGTTGGGGTTGTTCTTCTCAAGGAGTTTCTTTGTGATATTCTCTGAATTTTCTGAATTTGAGTGTTGGCCTGTTTTGCTAGGTTGGGGACGTTCTCCTGGATAATATCCTGAAGAGTGTTTTCCAACTTGGTTCCATTCTTCCCGTCAGTTTCAGGTACACCAATCAATGTAGGTTTGATCTTTTCACATAGTCCCATATTTCTTGGAGGCTTTGTTCATTCCTTTTCATTCTTTTTCTCTAATCTTGTCTTCATGCTTCATTTCATTAAGTTGATCTTCAATCTCTGATATCCTTTCTTCCGCTTGATTGATTCAGCTATTGGTACTTATGTATGCTGCTTGAAGTTCTCATGCTGTGTTTTTCAGCTCCATCAGGTCATTTGTGTTCTTCTCTAAACTCGTTATTTTAGTTAGCAATTCCTCTACCCATTTTTCAAGGTTCTTAGGTTCCTTGCATTGATTTAGAACATGTTCCTTTGGCTTGGGGAAATTTGTTCTTACCCACCTTTTGAGGCCTTCTTCTGTAAATTCATCAAACTCATTCTCCATCAAGTTTTGTTCCCTTGCTGGCAAGCAGTTGTGATCCTTGAGAGGAGAAGAGGCATTCTGGTTTTTGGAATTTTTAGCCTTTTTGTACTGGTTTTTCCTCATGTTCGTGGATTTATCTACCTTTGGTCTTTGCTGTTGGTGACCTTCAAATGTCGTTTTTGCATGGTCATCCTTTTTGTTGATATTGATGCTATGTTCCTTTCTGTTTCTTACTGTCCTTCTAACAGTCAAGCCCGTCTGCTGTAGGTCTGCGGGAGTTTGCTGAGGGTCCACTCCATACCCTGTTTTCCTGGTTATCACCAGCGGAGGCTGCAGAACAGCAAAGATTGCTGCCTGCTTTTTCTCTGGAAGTTTCTTCTCAGAGGGCCACCTGTCAGATGCCAGCCAGAGCTCTCCTGTATGAGGTATCTGTCGACCCCTGCTGGGAAGTGCCTCCCAGTGAGGAGGCACGGGGGTCAAGGAGCCACTTAAGGAGGCAGTCTGTCTCTTAGCAGAGCTCGAGTGCTGTGCTGGGAGATCCGCTTCTCTCTTCAGAGAGCTGACAGGCAGGAACGTTTAAATCTGCTGAAGCTTCGCCCACTGCCACCTCTTCCCCCAGGTGTTCTGTCCCAGAGAGATGGGAGTTTTGTCTCTAAGCCCCTCACTGGGCTTATAGTTAAGCTGCCTTTCTTTCACAGATGCCCTGCCCAGAGAGGAGGAATCCAGAGAGGTAGTCTGGCTAGAGTGTCTTTGCTGAGCTGTGGTGGGCTTCACCCAATTTGAACTTCCCAGAGGCTTTGTTTATACTGTGAGGGGAAAATCACCTAGTCAAGACTCAGTAATGGTGGACGCCCCTGTCCCCAGCAAGCTTGAGTGTCCCAGGTTGACTTCAGACTGCTGTGCTGGGAGCGAGAATTTCAAGCCAGTGGATCTTAGCTTGCTGGGCTCCCCAGGGGTGGGATCTGCAGAGCTAAACCACTTGGCTCCCTGGCTTCAGCCCCCTTTCCAGGGGAGTGAATGATTCTGTCTCACTGGTGTTCCAGGAGCCACTGGGGTATGAAAAAAAAACTCCTGCAGCTACCTTGGTGTCTGCCCAAATGGCCACTCTGTTTTGTGCTTCAAACCCAGGGCCCTGGTGTCGTAGGCACTCAAGCGAGTCTCCTGGTCTGTGGGTTATAAAGACGGTGGGAAGAGCATAGTATCTGGGCCAGAGTGCACCCTTCTTCAAGGCACTGTTCCTCATGGCTTTCCTTGGCTAGGGGAGTGAGTTCCCCAACCCCTTGTGCTTCCCGGGTCAGGTGATGCCTTACCCTGCCTTGCCCTGTGTGGGCTGCACCCACTCTCTAACGAGTCCCAATGAGATGAACTGGGTACCTCAGTTGGAAATGCAGAAATCACCTGCCTATTGCGTTGGTCTTGCTGGGAGCAGCAGACTGGAGCTGTTTCCATTTGACCATCTTGCCCGGGGATCCATGGATTCTTTTTAGTATATTTAGCAGTTAAAAATATTTTTGACATATTTATAGAAAGTAGTATCAATAACATTATTACTATTTAAATTTTGGAATTTGTTTTGGTAAGAACAAAATTTGAAGCTATCTAATGAAGATTGAAAGTCGAGCTCTCCCTCCCCCTCCCCCTCCCCCTCCCCCTCCCCCTCCCCCTCTCCCTCTCCCTCTCATGCGGAGCCGAAGCTGGACTGTACTGCTGCCATCTCGGCTCACTGCAACCTCCCTGCCTGATTCTCCTGCCTCAGTCTGCCAAATGCCTGCGATCGCAGGCACGCGCCGCCACGCCTGACTGGTTTTGGTGGAGACGGGGTTTCGCTGTGTTGGCCGGGCCGGTCTCCAGCCCCTAACCGCGAGTGATCCGCCAACCTCGGCCTCCCGAGGTGCCGGGATTGCAGACGGAGTCTCGTTCACTCAGTGCTCAATGGTGCCCAGGCTGGAGTGCAGTGGCGTGATCTCGGCTCACTACAACCTACACCTCCCAGCCGCCTGCCTTGGCCTCCCAAAGTGCCGAGATTGCAGCCTCTGCCGGGCCACCACCCCGTCTGGGAAGTGAGGAGTGTCTCTGCCTGGCCGCCCATTGTCTGGGATGTGAGGAGCCCCTCTGCCTGGCTGCCCAGTCTGGAAAGTGAGGAGCGTCTCCGCCCGGCCCCCATCCCATCTAGGAAGTGAGGAGCGCCTCTTCCCAGCCGCCATCACATCTAGGAAGTGAGGAGCGTCTCTGCCCGGCCGCCCATCGTCTGAGATGTGGGGAGCGCCTCTGCCCCGCCGCCCCATCTGGGATGTGAGGAGCGCCTCTGCCCGGCCGAGACCCCGTCTGGGAGGTGAGGAGCGTCTCTGCCCGGCCGCCCCGTCTGAGAAGTGAGGAGCCTCTCCGCCCGGCAGCCACCCCATCTGGGAAGTGAGGAGCGTCTCCGCCCAGCAGCCACCCCATCTGGGAAGTGAGGAGCGTCTCCGCCCGGCAGCCACCCCGTCCGGGAGGGAGGTGGGGGGGGGTCAGCCCCCTGCCCGGCCAGCCGCCCCGTCCGGGAGGCGAGGGGCGCCTCTGCCCGGCCGCCCCTACTGGGAAGTGAGGAGCCCCTCAGCCCGGCCAGCCACCCCATCCGGGAGGGAGATGGGGGGGTCAGCCCCCCCACCCGGCCAGCCGCCCCGTCCGGGAGGGAGGTGGGGGGGTCAGCCCCCCGCCTGGCCAGCCGCCCCATCCGGGAGGGAGGTGGGGGGGTCAGCCCTCCGCCCGGCCAGCCGCCCCGTCAGGGAGGTGAGGGGCGCCTCTGCCCGGCCGCCCCTACTGGGAAGTGAGGAGCCCCTCTGCCCGGCCAGCCGCCCCGTCCGGGAGGGAGGTGGGAGGGTCAGCCCTCCACCCGGCCAGCCGCCCCGTCTGGGAGGTGAGGGGCGCCTCTGCCCGGCCGCCCCTTCTGGGAAGTGAGGAGCCCCTCTGCCCGGCCAGCCGCCCCGTCCGGGAGGGAGGTGGGGGGGTCAGCCCCCCGCCCGGCCAGCCGCCCCGTCCGGGAGGGAGGTGGGGGGGGGTCAGCCCCCCTGCCCGGCCAGCCGCCCTGTCCGGGAGGTGAGGGGCGCCTCTGCCCGGCCGCCCCTACTGGGAAGTGAGGAGCCCCTCTGCCCGGCCAGCCGCCCCGTCCGGGAGGGAGGTGGGGGTGTCAGCCCCCCGCCCGGCCAGCCGCCCCGTCCGGGAGGGAGGTGGGGGGGTCAGCCCCCCCGCCCGGCCAGCCACCCCGTCCGGGAGGTGAGGGGCGCCTCTGCCCGGCCACCCCTACTGGGAAGTGAGGAGCCCCTCTGCCCGGCCAGCCGCCCGTCCGGGAGGGAGGTGGGGGGGTCAGCCCCCCGCCCGGCCAGCCGCCCCTCCGGGAGGGAGGTGGGGGGGGGGTCAGCCCCCCTGCCCGGCCAGCCGCCCCGTCCGGGAGGTGAGGGGCGCCTCTGCCCGGCCGCCCCTACTGGGAAGTGAGGAGCCCCTCTGCCCGGCCACCACCCCGTCTGGGAGGTGTACCCAACAGCTCATTGAGAACGGGCCAGGATGACAATGGCGGCTTTGTGGAATAGAAAGGCGGGAAAGGTGGGGAAAAGATTGAGAAATCGGATGGTTGCCGTGTCTGTGTGGAAAGAAGTAGACATGGGAGACTTTTCATTTTGTTCTACACTAAGAAAAATTCCTCTGCCTTGGGATCCTGTTGATCTGTGACCTTACCCCCAACCCTGTGCTCTCTGAAACATGTGCTGTGTCCACTCAGGGTTAAATGGATTAAGGGCGGTGCAAGATGTGCTTTGTTAAACAGATGCTTGAAGGCAGCATGCTCGTTAAGAGTCATCACCAATCCCTAATCTCAAGTAATCAGGGACACAAACACTGCGGAAGGCCGCAGGGTCCTCTGCCTAGGAAAACCAGAGACCTTTGTTCACTTGTTTATCTGCTGACCTTCCCTCCACTATTGTCCCATGACCCTGCCAAATACCCCTCTGTGAGAAACACCCAAGAATTATCAATAAAAAAATAAATTAAAAAAAAAAAAAGAAAGTCGAGTAGGATATAGTAATTAATAACTTGTTACTTGAATTTTTTTTGTTATTGAAGCCTATCATGTTTTAAAGGATTTCTTGAACTGATACACTTGATTCAATCACAATCATTACTTATTAAGCTAATTAAGAAAATTACTTTTTGGGGTTTATCTTTGATGTGTCCTTTACTTAAAATATCTGTGGAATGTGCAGAAAATGTGTTTCCTGCCTACCACCCTCTTTTGGTCTCAGTCATAATCCTAGTTTGGAGAGGGTATAAAAATGAAGAAGTAATGCTAAATTATCATTTAAAAGTATCAGTCATAATATACCCAGAAAAGACTGAAGAGATGAAAAAAATAAGCTAAACTGGGCAAAATGCCCAGAGATGCCAACAAATATAGCTTACTTTAGATAAAAAAAAAAGGAAAATAATAATGAGTATATAAAATTTATACGTAGGATTTAGGAATTTTGTTCCTTTGCTCAGTGTAGTCTCCTTTTTGTCTTAAGGCTCATTCTTACTTATTTTTATAATCCAAAATTCTAACTAGGGGTTGCAGTTACACACACATACACACATACACACACACACCCATACCCATAAGGCTGTTTGAAAAAAAAAAAATTCCAGTTGCCCGTGGGATAGCCTCCCTCATATCATCTTCTCAACATGTATATAGCACTGGTTCTACTTTTTTGCCCTGTCACGTTAGCCTATTTTTAAGAAGCTTAAATTTTATAAAATGCAAAGTTATTTTCATTTTAATGCCTTGACTTACAAAATAATTCTCCTTCTACCAGTGAATGTAGCGTTACAGTGCATATTCTGGATTATATAGAGCTTAGACACAGATGAAGCAGTGAGAAAATGAATATGGGGATAAGCCTCTGAATTGCTTCATGTCTATTGAGCATCTATATGCCAGGTGCCAGGTGTGGTGTTATAAACACTACAGACAGCTTGTTTCCTCAAGCCAACAGGCTAGTGGACAGACTCATATATAAATAATGAAAATACAATAAAATAATTCCTCTCAGTAAGATATGTACTAGTACGATGTTTGTGTGGGAGAAGCAGTGTCCAAGTTTCCTAAAAAGTATTTGAAAGGTTTTCTAGTGGAGGCAGGGTTTGAGTTGAACAAGAAGGATGAGTAGGCATTTTCTAGGTGGGAATTTGATGGGAGCTCTTCTTGGCTGGGATGGCACGTATGTAAAGGCACAACAGTCATGAGACAGCAGGAGAACTACAAGTATGAGCAGAATGACAACAAAGGATGCTAAGAGGGGACAGGTGGAAGATAAGGGTGCACATATGGGCAGGATGGCTCCTACAAGCAAAGAGCCTCAGATGCCATCTTGGAAGTGAGATCGAATATTGACCTGTGTAACTGCATTGTCATGTGCTAGAAAGATACTGTGGCGGCAGTGTGGAGGGTGCGTGGGAGGTGGTTGAAATGTGAATTAGGACATCAGTAAGGACACCATTTTAATATTCCAGCCAAGAGATAATAAGGGCTTAACTAGGGGAGTGGCAAAGATTATGGAAATTGGGAAGAGATCACAGCAATACTTAGGAGGTAGAATCATTTAATTTGGTGATAAATATGGAGTAGAAGGGGAAATGAATAAATTTGGGATGACTTTTGGACATCTGGGTATTATGTACATGCCGTTGCTAAAATAGGGAATTGAGGAGGACAAGTAGTTTTGTTTTGCTTGATGAGATAATGACTTTAGTTTTTGTCTTCTATTCAAGAAAGAGGTCTGGGCTAAAATTTAAATTGTCAGATCTTTTGGCAGAGAGGTAATAGTCAGGCCAAAGGGGTGAATAAGACTATCAGCAATGGAGTGGTTGTTAGAGTCATAGAAGTGAATGAGGAGTGAGAACAAAAGCACGGAGGTGGAGCCAGTGCTGTGGGAACAAGCGAGGCCACCTTCACAGATACAGTCATTAGAGCTACTAGAACAAGTTAGAACATCTATGCCAAAGTTTTTATCAGGGCCTTCCTTGTGAGTAAGTGAGACCATCATTACAGAAAGTCAGAGATGTGAGGATGAGTGAAACTCAGTATAGACCTAGTTGCCAGAGCCGTGTGGGTGAATAAGCCCAGCACAGAACGGTCGTTAGAGTCATGGGAGGATGTTGGAGACACGAGAGTGTGGAAGGTGTTCTAACTGGGAGATTACCAAAGTGAGAACAGTGTCTGTGGGCTGAGGATGGCAGCCAGATTGCTCTGTGCAGTGAACAAGGGGTGAGGAAGTCCAGACTGAATGGAGGTCACTCTAAATGTTTGTGAACAAAAGGATAGATTTATGACAGTAGCTAGTGGGGGAAAACAGGGTCTTGGATGAATAATGTTTGTGTTCGTGCAGACTGTAAAGATGAGAGGCATTATAATACATTTCTTATATGCTGGGAGTCAAAGACAGATTGGAGACAAGAGGCTCAAAATGTAGAAAAGAGTTTGTTATCACTGTCTTCCCCTCTAGTTTTTTCTGCCAACACAGGATTGGTTCTTAACATATTTTGGTGGGAGACGGGATATTGACTTACAGTTTTCTTTTCTTGTACTTTCTTTGTCTGGCTTGTTATCAAGGTAATTTTGTCCTATAAAATGAGTAGAGAAGTGTTTATACCTCTTCTATTTTGGAAAGATTTTGTATAGAATTGGTATTTTTTCCTTAAATATTTTGTAGAGCTTTACCAGTGAAGCCATCTGGGCCTGAAGCTTCCTTTGTGAGAAGGTTTTAAACTACAGCCAACTTCTTTAAAGATATAGAGCTATTTAGAGTATCTATTATTCCTTTCATGAGCTTTGGTATTTGTTCTTTCATAGAATTTATCCATTTCATCTTAATTGTTAAATTTTTGGTGTACATTATTTATAATGTTTTCTTATTATCCTTTTAGTGTTTATAGCATTTTTAATGATAATCCTTTTTTCATTTCTGGTTTTGATGATTTTTGTCCTCTCTACTTTTCTTGATCAGTTTTGCTAGAGGTTCATCAGTTCAATTAATCTTTTCAAAGAATCAGTTTTGGTTTTCTTATTTTTTTTCTCTGATTTGTCTGTTTTCTATTTTGTTGATTTTGTGCTTATCTTTGTTATTTCCTTTCTTTTATTTGCCCTGGGTTTACTTTGCTCTTTTTAAGGTTGAAAGTTAAGTAACTGATTTAAGACCTCTTTTGTTATTCAATAAAAGGATTGTAGCTATAATTTTTCCTCTAAGCACTGATTTAGCTGCATTCCATTCATTTTATTTTATTGCATTTTTATTATAAAATTTTTAATATTTTATAATTCACTTTATGATTTTTAAATTTGACCCATGGGTTATTTAGAAGTATATTGTTTTATTTTAAAATATTTAGGGTTTTTCTAAATATCTTATGGTCACTTATTTCTAATTTAATTTATTTTGGTCAGAGATAGTTTGTGTGATTTCAGTTCTTTTAAATTTATTTAAGATGTCTTTTATTGTCAAGCATATGGTCTATCATGGTTAATGTACTGTGTGTACTTGAAAAGAATTAATATTCTACAGTTTTGGAGGGTACTATTTTATAAATGTTAATTAGGTCATAAGTCCTCTTTGTTTTGACTAAAATTTTTTTTAGCTTTTCTATAAATTGCTGAGATTAGGGTACTAAAATCTCTTACTATGATTGTGGACTTGTCTATTTCTTCTTTTAGTTCTGTCAATTTTTGCTTCATATAATTTTAGTCTCTGTCAGGCACATACACATTTATGACTGATGACTATTTGAAAAAATTGCCTCTTTTATCATTATGAAGTATCCCTGTTTATCTTCAGTAATACTCTTAATCTTAGTCTGTTTTATCTGATATTATATCTACTCCAACATTCTTATGGTTATTGTTTACATGATCTGCCTTCTTCTTCATACTTAGTTTTCTCTTGTAGGCAAAAACTGCTTTGTTTTTTAAAAATTCATTCTGATAATCTCTGCCTTTTAATTAAAATGTTTAGTGCATTGGCATTTATGTAATAATTAATATGATTGATTTAAGTCTATCATTTTATTAACTTTTTCTGTTACCTTGCTTTTTTTATATTTGCTGTTATTCCTGTTTCCTCTTTCCTGTCTTCTTTTGGATTATTTTTTAGAATCTCACTTTAATTTGCCTTTTGACTTTTTAGATACACTTCTTTACATTATTTTATGAATGATTAATTTGGTAATTAAGATATACATCCTTAATTTTTTACTCAGAGTTAATCTTATATACTTTATATGAAATGTAGAAACTCTGCAGTTATATTACTTCATTAGTCATATTCTTCACCATCCTTTATATAATAGTTGTCATATGTATTATATGTATACACATTATGAACCTCAGTGTGTACAGATGTACATGCACATTGTTATAATTTTTATAACAGTGTTATAACTTTTGCTTAAAACTGTCACATGCATTTTTTAAAATTTAAGATAACATTATAGTCTTTTTTTTTTTTTTGAGACAGAGTCTTCCTCTGTTGCCCAAGCTGGAGTGCAGTGGCCTGATCTCGGCTCACTGCAACCTCTGCCTCCTGGATTCAAGTGGTTCTTGTGGCTCAGCCTCCTGAGTAGCTGGGATTACAGGCATGCACCACCATGTCCGGCTAATTTTTGTATTTTTGGTAGAGATGGGGTTTCACCATGTTGGCCAGGCTGGTCTCAAACTCCTGACGTCAGGTGATCCTCCCACCTTGGCCTCCCAAAGTGTTGGGATTACAGGCGTGAGCCACCGCGCCTGGCCAAACATTATAGTCTTTAATATTTACTGTTTCCAGTCTTCTTAACTTATGCCTAAATTCAGACCTGAATTTCCCTGTGCTATTATTTCTCTTCAGCTTGGAGAACTTCCTTGTTTCTATAGTACAGGCCTGGTGGTAATGAATTGCCTTAGTGTTCCTTTTGTAGAAAATTTCTTTATTTCACTTAGATTCTTGAAGAATATTTTTACCAGATATAGAATTTTTTAAAGATATTTTTCTATGGCTTTTTGGCCTTCATTGTTTTTCTGGTGAGAAATCCATGGAAATTCTAATTGATGTTCCCCTATATTTAATATATTGTTTTTCTCTGGCTAATTTCAATATTTTCTCTTTAGTTGTGGTTTTCATTAGTTTGATTATGATGTGTATAGGTGTTGATTTATTCATATTTTTAGAGTGGTTGTCTAAACTTCTTGAGTCAGTAAATTTATTTTTTTGTCAAGTTTGAGGAGTTTTCTCTCACTATTTCTTTAAATATTATTTTTCTGCCTTATTCTCTAAACTGTTCTTCTAGGACTCCAGTTGTCTATATGTCTGATGTTCTGAAATTGTCCCACATGTCCCAAATACTTTGTTCATTTTCTTTTGTTTTTTTTTTTTCTTATCTTCAGATTGGACGACTTCATTTCATCTATCCTGTAGTTTATTCTTTCCTCAGTCATCTCCAGTTTGTTATTAATCAGATCTGTTGAATTTTTATCACAGATATTTGTATTTTTCAGGTATAAAATTTCCATTTTTTTGTACTTCCTATTTCTCTCTTGAAATGTCCTGTTTTTTAAAATCAATATGAATATATTTTTTCCTCAGTGAGCATACTTATAATAGCTGTTTTGAAGTTTTTATTTGACATTTTCAACATCTAGATAACCTAGACGTTGGAAATATCAACATCTACATATAAACCTCAACAGATTGAGTCACGTTCAATTCTCTGTTCTTTCTATGTTGGGTAATTCTTGAGTACATTTTGGATATTGTGGCTGTTATGTTCTGAAGGCTGTAGATTTCATTACATTCTTCTGAAGAATATTGATGTTCAGGAAAAATAACTAGGTGGTACTAGGTTTAATAATTGGGTGACAGAATAATCTGTACAACAAAGCCCCATGACACAAGTTTACCTGTGTACTCCTAAACTTTTTCTCTTTTTTCTTTTTTAAGGTGAAGTCTTGCTCTGTCACCCAGGCTGGAGTGCAGTTGCGTGATCTCAGCTCACTGCAACCTCCGCCTTCTGGGTTCAAGCAGTTCTCCTGCCTCAGCCTTCCGAGTAACTGGGACTACAGGGGTTCACCACTACACCTGGCTAATTTTTTGTATTTTTAGTAGAGATAAGGTTTCACCATGTTGGTCAGGCTGGTCTTGAACTCCTGACATCAAGTAATCCATCCGCCTCAGCCTCCCAAAGTGCTGAGATTACAGGCATGAGCCACTGTGCCTGGCCCTGAGCTTAAAATAAAAGTTAAATTAAAAAAAAAATAATGTTGATGTTTTCATTTTTGCAATCAATAGCTTAGTTAGACTCAAATTGCAAACTGTCATTGCCTGTAGTAGGCAGTGGCATAGAACTCAATTCAGCTCTTTTAACCTGAGTTTTAAGCTGCTTTCAGATTGCCCCACACATACATGGTTCAGGAGTCAGCCAGAGACTTGGGCTGAGTTTAAACATAGAATCTGGGGTTGTCCTCTTCTGGCTGTCTTCTTTCTTGGGCATCTGCATCATTCTCTAGCACCTATGGTTTTTCCAGGCTCTTTCCCCCAGTTTCCTCCAGTCAGAAAGATGGCAAGAGTTTTTGCTGCCTGCCCTCCCCCAGTCCTTGTGCCAACACCACCACCATTGCAGCTGCCTCCAGGGAAAAACTGCAAAAACCAAATCACTTGCTCCAGGTGTTGACTCCTCTTCAAAATCTATTTTTGTTAAATCTCCAAAGCCTCAAATAGGTTTTCTTCCTAGAATTTATATCTGTTATTTGTAGCAGGATTGGTCTGTAAGGCACTCAGTCTTCTACATCATGGGTCAGCAGATTACAGCCCTTGGGTTAAATCCAGCCACCTGCTTGTTTTATTAATAAAGTTTTGTTGGAACTAAACCACACCTATTTTTCTGTGAGTGATTTCATGCTATAATGACAGAGTTGAGTAGTAGTTGTGACAAAGACCTTATACCTAGAAAGACTAAATAAAATACTATTTGGCCCTTTAGAGACAAATTTTGGTGAACTCTGCTCTGTATCAAGAGAACTCACCTAATATTTTGACCTCTGATCCAGTGATCTGATTCTCTTCCAGCTGCCCACAGGCACAATAACATCATGTTCTAGAACATCATCTGGAATTGCGTCACTGTAGAGCACTTCTGTCTCAGGAGAAGCATTATCTCTTCTTTTTATATGCTTATACCACTTACTTCATCTCCTATTGCATCATGAAATCTGAATCTCTCTTAGCATCCTCATTTCTTTTTCTCTACTGACTCATTCCATTCAACATACAGATAAACCCAGATTGAATATATATTTCTAAAAACTCTTACTTTGACATTTATATCCCCTCAAGCTACCTGTAGTTTTTCTGTTTTTCTGTGTAACTTCTCATTAGGGTTATCTACTCTTAATACTGACACTTCCTCACCACAAGTTCATACCAATCTTTACAATTCTGCATTTTCTTCCAATATGCATTTGAAATTTATTTATTTCAGCTGGTGACAGCTGAAACATCTATCCAAATTGCCTCTTCAGATTATCTTTCTTCATTTTTCTGTAAAATGCAAGATATTGACCATGGTCTGCTGGAAGCTTTCCTTCTGTGATTTCCATGTCATTTTTATCTTTTTATATTTTTTCTGTGTCTATCAAGCTCTTCCCATTGCTGGCTCCTCTTTTCCACCTATCTCTGAAATATGGCATTTCTCAAGATTTTTCTCTGGCCTTATCTTCTTTCCCTATTAGAAATTTTCATCTACTTTAGTTGTTCCAGATATTCTTTTTATGCTAATGACTCAAATCCAAAATATATACGAGCTTTAAAGTTATATACACTTTAAACTCTAGTTCTGCCTCTTACTAATTGTGACCTTAGGCAAATTGTGTGGCCAAGATCTTTAGGACTCAGTTTGGGTAAAATAATAATGCCTTATCTCATAAGCTTGCTTATCATATTGGCAACCAGGGCAGCCCTGGTTGCCCCCAGTGGTAAGCTGTTTACTAATATACCCCGTATTTACTTTTATCTAGTTCTACCCCAGTGGTAAGCTGTTTACTAATATACCAGTATTTTCTTTCTGTCTCACTTCCCTATTCCCTTACTTGTGCTCCTGAAATCGCTTTCCAAATAGATTATTTACACTCACATCAAAGTCAGCTTCTCGGAGTAGCCCATTCTAACACATGGACCCCAAACAGAACTTGGATCTTGAATTAAAGAACAGTCTTTTTGCAGACTTTCATATGGTTATTAACCACTTTTTTCAAGTTTTAGAATTTATGTTAAAGTTAGGGCATTTTATTATAGTAAGAGGAACATGTTACCAATTTATTAAAACCACACTACTACTGTTTGTTTTTTTTCACTGTTTTGTTTATAAATACTACTCTGCTGCCCAGAGTCCTGTGCCTGCCTGTCATGCTGTAAGCCTACACTGACAGTTTGAAAATCTTGGCTATGATTTAAAAATTTTTAGCTGATAATGATTTAAAGTATTTCCTTCTATTCTCAGAGAAAATGCATATTCTCCTGGCTTGAAGACCTTTAAGGCACAAATAAATTGATCTCCAATGGCAAATTCTCTGTCTGTCCTATGGGAAGGTGGTAGAATGATTTGCTCTGGAAAGGCCTTTCTTGTACTGTCAGATTTCGTCATGTTGGGTATAAGGCTGAGTCTGACCTTTTGTTATTTATTGCTGTAAATGATTTTATGTTCACTTTCTTGCAAGTGAATTGCTTGAGTTAGAAGTTGAGGTTCTTGACACAACTTTTAATCCATTAAAAAAAGTTAAATTCATGTATAGAGGAACTGAAATAATTATGTTGTAGCTCCTTATCTTTTTTATGATACACCTATTGCTGTGGGTATAGTGCTCTAAAAACATCTGCTCAGTAGTCTGCTATAGAGGCACAAGAATGCTTTTACATGAATGCAATAAAGTAGCAGATGTTTCTTAATGACAACTTCTCAATTCATTTAGGAAACAAGTCAGTTCTGGAGTTGTTTTTTTTTTTTTCTTTCCCAAGTGTGTCAACTATGCAGGCTAATGATTCCAAAGAGGTTAGAACTGACAAATCAAGTCACTACGTATAATTTTTCAGGGTGCTGCAAGTTAGGCTAAAAGTCTCATTTAATAGCACTTTAATAAAATTAGCATTTTTCTTCCCATGCAAATAATTCTTTGCCATTATAAGTAACCAGGAAAATACATTAATTCAGTATTACCAGCCTAAGCTTCTTTTATTTTCTTCTTTGGAAACTTCTGTTGAATGTTGATTTATCATTAACATTGCAAATAGAAAAAGTAGTCCAATGCCCAGGCTTGGGAACAGGGAGACATGAGGGTCCAGCATTTGGAAGTCAAACATAGCTCCTTCCAGGAATAATTTCTGTCACCTCAGAGAAAGCGATCGTGAGGCACTGGTGATATCCATATCCCCCTTCACACAGTCGTCCACAGGGCTGGCCTTTCCTCAGTACAGTAGGCAATTACCCACAGGCTGTGTTCCAAAGGGTGCCAGAGAAGCCATTGTCACTGCCCCACAGACTGCAGGCTCTGTAACAGAAACTGCATGATCAGTGACTCATTAAGATTTCCATGTTCAGAGAACCTCTTCCTAAAAGCCAAAGAATCTTAGTAGGATTAATATATCCAGATTGTAACATTTAGTATTGGTAAGTTCATCAGGTGGCCTGTGAATTTCAGATCAGAGGGCTGGATTTAAGAGCTTTGTGCTGAAAGAGGAGAGCAAGGCCATGAAAAGCAAGATGTGGAAGATGCCAAGGATCAATTTTGCCTTCATAATTTTGTTTAATAATGGTCTTGGTCACCAGCATAGAGTCTTTAAAGTGAATGCATGCCCCCAGAGGGCTTGCAAAACAATCCATTGAGATGTGAGAAATAACATTACAACTATAATTTATATTTACTTTGATTTTGTGAAAGTTAGGCTCTACTAATATTTAACTTTTTGAAAATTTTAATATAATTTTTATTTTAAGAGAGATGAGGTCCTGCTATATTGCCTAGGCTGGTCTTGAACTCCTGGCTTTAAGCAATCTTCCCTCCTCAGACTCCCAAAGTGCTGGTATTACAGACATGAGTCACTGTGCCCAGCTACTACTAATATTTAAATGTGGATTGATGCTGGCATTGCCACTCTATGCATTTATCAGATAACCAGATGCCATAGAGGTTAATTATGCAAGGCATCTGGGACCTAGACGATAGGAAGGAGCTATCAGTGATGTTTTCACTCCTTTCATTGCATGTTATGCATTGCAGTTTACCTGTGCCCTGGATATCTGGGATGATATTATTCAATTTTAGTTAACATAGCTCTTACTTTTCAGACTAAGGGCTTTAAAAGTTTCCTGCAAAGAATCCCTGGAACAAAAAAAAAAAAAAAATGGTAAAAGGTAAAAACAACAGTCTAATCAGATCTTTCAAAAATTGGCTCTCCAAATTTAAAATTAAGATTATTTGAAATATGGATTTATATTTGCTATTATTAATGATGACCCTTAACCTGTGTGTATGTTGTACCTAATGACAGTATGAAGCAATCATTGACTAACGACTCATTGAAAGGCATCCAGAACTTGAATAAAACCTCTTACAGCTAGAGAAGGGGATTGAAATATGAGATCATGATTTACTAAGTACACCCAGTGATATACTTCCTCTTTATGGATCTGTAGATCTTTCTCATCTGTTGCAGCCATTAAAATCACCTATCAAAACAATGTAAAAAGACCTGAACCCAGATGTTTGAAATGCCATATTACAGTCAAGATTTAAAACACACAAAGAAGAACAAAAAATTACATATTCAATCAAATTGCTCTCATCAAAATACTACTGGCAAGAAAATGTCTGCACCATTACTAAATAAAATAAGTTTAGTTTTCTGTAGCATTTTATTTTCTGAATAGATTTACATATTTGGAACCCAGGGCTCTTTGACTTGGTGCAGATTAGGACAGGGTTCTTTATGAAGAGAAAGGAAATTACCTCTGGCTCTTTAGAGTCTACTTTGAATTAAGGCTGCCGCCCCAGGACTACTGAGCATATGGGATCTAGACATTTGATTTTTGGGTGTCTGATCATCCACGACTGTGAGCAGGACTGGCTGGCTGCTCAGCAGCACTGACTCTGAAGCGTGGAGTCCTGGGAAAACCAGGTAACAGTGTGCTCATTTGCCTGCTATTTACATCTGTCACATTTTGAGGTGCTAACTTTTCAATGGGCACCTTAAAATCAACATTTCTGCAACTTTATTCAATCACAACCACTGGCGCAGAAATCTAAGAGCCAAATAGGCAAGAAGCTCAATGAAGGGTGAGGGTAGAGGGCCAGCCAAGGCCTTTTGGTGCCTGAGCAAAGAGCTGGGTAGGAGGGCTACTTTCATTAGTACCCAGATCATCACCCAACTAAAAGAATGACCTTGAAATATTTTTCCTTCACCTTTGTCTTATCCTTAAAATTTTTATATTTTAGTGTATTTTATAATATACAAAATATATCATATAGAAATACATATTCATAATTGATCAAGAGGTAAATATACACATATTAGGGTTGAGTGCTTAACTTTTTTGACTCCTAGTGTCATGATAAAAAAAGTTTAGAGATCTCTGATTTATAGGATGAAAATGGCAACAGACAATTTATACTCATTCCACTTATTTATTTCACTTAACAAATATTGATTGAATGTCTACTATTTGCCAGGTACAGTTCAGGATGCTTGGAATACGTAAGTGAATAAGACAGGCAAAAGCCCTGCCTTCACTCACATTCAAAGGGATATGTGTGCTGTAATAGAAGCCTTTCCAAGTCTGCCAACTGGATAAGGCCTCAAGATGTATTCTTATATTCTTATAGCACTTGCAACATTATACTCAAATAATTGTTTATGCAATGTTTTTTTCTCCCACGCTCTCTGTAGTTATAAGTTCCTTGAGAGCAAACACCATATCTGTTTGCCAACAAATCTCCAGTGCTGGCACCATGCCTAGCTCATAGTAGATGCTCAGTGAACGTTAGTTAGTTGAATGTATATGTGTGCTGTCCATGCATATACAAGTGGGCACACATGTATAAGTGAGTTATTTGTAAAGCTGAGAAAAAAACTTGTGGGGCATTCTCAAGCAGAAACTATTGCTGGGGGCAACAGAAAGTGTAGGCAGACACTTTTTAGTGGGCTGCAGCAAGAGTTTATCGGGAAGAAGCTTGGATAATCAGAGGTGACAGGGGTGACAGATTCTAAGTGATTAGGCAATCTGGTAAACTTGGACAAAAACAGTTCCTGAAAATCTATCTGGGTGGGTGTTGTGATCATTGAACTAAAATAAGCCTTGGTTAAGGGTGATTAGGATACTAAAATGATCAGTGCTACATAAAACTGGTTTACACTTGAATGAAGCTGAAAAAGAAAAATTAAAATCTCACAAACAAAATTCATAGATTTGGAGGTAAAATTTTATGTACTTGGGGACTCTGTGCATTTTCTCTAATAGTATTTGTTGTAATTATAATTTTATAGCTCTTTGTGTGATTATTTTTTAATGTATTTCCTTATATTAGGACATAATATCTATTATTGTTATCTCTTCTATTCCCAGGCCCCAGGACAGTGTCTAGAGCAGACGATGGCAACTGTGGCCTGCTGCCTATTTTTTTTTTTTTTTTCTCTTTAGAGACAGGGTGTCACTCTGTTACCCAGGCTGGAGTGCAGTGTGCAACCTTGAACTCCTGGGCTCAAGCAATCCTCCTGCCTCAGCCTCCCAAAGCGCTGGGATTGCAGACATGAGCCACAGCACCTAGCCTGCTGTGTATTTCTGTACAGCTCACAAGCTAAGAATGGTTTTTATATTTTTATATGGTTAAAAAAAGAATTTAAAAAGAATAATATTCTATGACATTAAAATAATATGAAATTTAAATTTTAGTGTTCATTAATGATGCACTATTGGAACAAACCCACACTCATTAATTTACATATTATCTAGGCTGTTTTCATGCTGCAGTGGCAAAGTTGAGTGGTTTTGACAGAGACTTATGATGCCCAAAGCCTGAAATATTTACTATCTGGCTCTTTAAGAAAATGTTTGGACACCTTTGATCTAGAATATTTAGTGTATCCTATAACATTTTTTGAATGAATGTATGATTAATTAGTATACCTATGTGCCAGATATACACATTTTATACATTATCTCATTTAATCACAAGGGAAAGATGCCTTTATTTAACAAGTGAAGAAACTGAGGCATAGAGGGGTCAAATGACCTGTCCATTCCATGAGTGGCAGAGCCAGGGATTGAACCCACATCTAGCTCCAAATTCTGTGCTTTTTTATTTTTGCCTATATTATGCTTCTCTGAAGTCTATGTGTTTTTATCCGAGATTTTGAGTGTCTCCTTGAATCCCAATAGAAAGCTGAGAGCTTAATGTTGCTCTCATTACTGCTGAAATATTATAGTATTATTTAAAAGCAACAACCACATCTTTGTCCCAGCACAAGCATAGTGCCTGGCACGTCATAGATACTTGTGGAAATCTTAAAGGGATTCTCCTGGTAAAAACCAAGCAAAGAAACAAATAAATCCTTATTCATATCCATATAATCCAGAGACAGTTTTGAGCAAGGGAAGGAACTCATGGCTTACTGAAACAGTTCCTTGCTGATTCCTAGACATGCTGTTTCTTGTGCATGTGTGAGAGGGCCTGTGCTTTAGGATTCACAGTCCTCTAACATTCCTACAATGCTTGCCTCTTGGTCTGTTTATGAAGGCTTTATCATTTTCACTCTTTGGCAGAGAAATTTACTCAGTTCTGAATTTGAGTGTAGAAGTTTATTCATGTGCTGAAGGAACTTGCAGTTTATTCATCAAGACATTTAAAAATCTCACTTGTTTAAATTAGGGTAGTGCTATCTCTTACTTTAGAAAATGACTTTAGCCAAACTTCAGCCCATTGGATTTAATTATCATTGTCCTTTTAAGGCTCAGAATTTCTTAGACCCTTGGAAATGTAATGTAACATCCTAAGACAGGAAAAAAATGGAAAGGGGAAAGAGTTCACCAAATGGAGATACAAGTCCTTTAATAAAATTCTGTTTAGTGCTTGTAAAAATATAATAAAATGAAATTAAAGAAGGCCTTAAAATTAGGATTTTCAGGGGTAGGCAAACTAAGGTCTATGGACTACAGCTTGTTTTTGTAAATAAAATGTCACTGGAGTACAGCCACGTACCTTTGTTTACATGTTGCCAGTGGCTGCTTTCAGGCTGCAGCTGCAGAGACCTATGGCCCACACAGAAGCCTAAAATATTTACTACTTGGCCCTTTAGAAAAATGTTTGGAGATCTGTGGAACTAGAGATATAAGAAAAATTAGAGAAACTGGGCTTATTCAATATGGGGAACAAATAAATTTATTCATATTATATAAAAATAATGACTCTTTGTTCTTAATCTTCTGCAAGGATAAATCTAGTGGAAACTGATTTACTTTCTAGCAAGGTAACAAGGAAGAATTTTCTGGCTCTGGAGTTAAAACATAGACTGCCTTATAAGGCAAGTTTCACAGATTGGTGGTTACATGTGTGGTGCAAAATTTATTCCTTTTTGGCACTCCAAATTCCATTATTAAAGATTCCTTTTGATTAGGGTTATCAGCCACAAATCTACTGTTGAATATAATAATTGATAAAGGAGTAACATATTAAGCCACTAATGGCCATTAATAGTTTAGCAAGAATTAACTAACCAATTAGAAGGAAAAGGACAAAATGAAGGAAATTTTTATATAGGAGAAGATGAAGGAATGGGGCAATAAACTGGGAGTGGGGGGTGATAAGCTGAGGTCTTAGGTTAATGGAAGTGCATTTAGGCTCCCTCCGAGAGGAGACCAAATGAAGTAACGGTGGTTCTCAAAACATAGATGAGCAGCTAGTGAAGGCAAACCGGTTTATGGCATAATTCTGGGTCTTGGTGAATGAGTTTCCTGACTTTATAATTCCATAGACTACAAAAGTAAAGAATCACAAAGTAGACCCTCCATGTGTATGTGAGGCAAGACCTGCATAGCATCACCAGGAACACTGCTTATAAGGTGAAGTCTTAAAACCCATCCCAGAACTCCTGGATTAGAATTTTGGGGGTGGAGGCCAGGAATACGTCTGTTTAACATTTCTCACCACCAAGAATCTGATGGTCTTTGCAGGCTAGAAAGAACCCTGGACTTGGAGCCTGAAGGCTTAGTTTTGTGCCCTGGCTCAGTTTCTTACTTGCTGGAGACCTTGGGCCTTCCTCCTAGAGCAGAGGAACAAATTACATGATGTACATCAATAGGCTTAGAAAAACTGTAAACTGTTAGAGTTGATGCTGGCCTTTCTTATGTCACATGTAAAGGGTAACACTGAAGAGAAACACACTTGACCGACTTCTGAAGCTTGATAATTTTTCAAGAGGTCAAAATTTTCCCCTCTTCCTCTAGTTTGTCATGTTTTACATAAAGAATTTCTGATTTTCAAATCCATTATTCTGCTAATTCTTTTACTTTTAGATGTATAGAAATAAGTGATAAGTGCGATTAAGCATTATTACTATTTCCTCCTGCCAAAGAACCTGTGTTTTGTAGCATGGACTCTAAGAGATAGCCTCTTCCACAGTTCCACCTTTTACTTGGCGTGTTTGCTGGCTTCCCAGCTCCAGGCACTAGCTGTCTTGCTGTTTCCTATGCAGTCTTAAAAGAAACAGGGTCTAGGAAGCACAGTGGAGCCAGCTGTAAACATCCAGAAAACTGCCAGATGTGCTGTGGCGGGTTTCTGCATCCCCTCCCTCCTGCCTCGCCCTTGAGCATGCCTGCCTGGAGAAGAGGTTTTAATCCTGCACAGGAAACAGATTCTTCCTCTCAGTGGGAACCCACGTTGGCCATGCTGTTGCTAATTCACTTTGGTTGATGTAGCAGGGAGAGTAAAGAATGGCACCTTTTTACCCCCTTTTAAAAAAAAATCAGTAGTAGTAGTGATAATATTACTGGGAAGGGGAGAGCCTCACTAAGATATTATCCTTGGGATCATCTTATAACCACCCTTTTTTGTTTCAGTGTTGCCTTGGATGCTGTTAGACATATGTTGAACCCGCTGATATGTACCATATACAACATTTACAGTTGCTAAAAGAATTACGTTGCTTGCAAAGGTTCTTGTGACAGTCACTTACTCAGAAGCCACAGGGATTGTGGAAAAAGTCATTCTGGGAATTAAGATAGTGAAAAGACCACTCCACTGTATGATAATGAGCCTTGAAACAAACAAAACAAGAGCTGATTACTTAAGGTCCCACAGATTATTTTTATAATTCACTTTAAACTTTTTAATATTAAAATTCTTTATTTCTTGAGGAATTGATTTTTCAGTGGTTTATCAGAAGGCTTCATCAGTCGTTATCACTTCTGAAAATATTAAATGGCTGTTGGCTCAGGAAAATCAGCAAATGAAGAGTATATTACATCGCATCTTTCCATTGTGATGAGATGGTTTCTGTGTCCAGTCTTCAGTACAGCTAAGGACTGTGGACTGTCTTTGAACCAGTGATGTTAGGTTTGAACTAAAGACCTGACTGGTAGAAAACAAACAAATCAACTATCTTTTCCTCAAGGGATGTTATGAATAAAGCTCATTACTTACGTTTGCTCAGTAATAGTAATACAGATTATTAGTGATAGAAGAAAAGTTTTTCTTCCTTCTCTGTAGGCTAAATAGAGATATGGATCTCATTTCCAAGGCCCAATACACTATTTGGGTTTGCTTTCAATAAAATAGCTGTGAAGTGTCTTCAGCATGATCCCTATTTAATGGGATTTAGTTGTAAAGCTTAATTCGTATCAGATTTTTTAAATGAGAGATCACTGTCAACTTATTGTTAATTGAATTCAATAAAATCAAGGTTTCTATAATTAATGTGAACCATTTAATCTTTTAGCTCTTGAATGAATGTAATTTTCTAAATACACATATCTTCATGAAATAGCAACATTTTGAGAAAAATCAATATATTGTGACTTCTTTTTTCAATTACTCTTAATATCAAATGAAATACAGCTGCCCCCCCGCCCCCCATCTCTGTGGGTTCCGTATCCATGGATTTAGACAACCAGGATCAAAACTGTAGTTAGGACTATAGTGGTTGCATCTGAACTGAGCATGTATAGACCTTTTTTCCTGCCATTATTCACTGAGCAATATAGTATAGCTGTTTACATAGCATTTACATTGTATTAAGTATGATAAGTAATATAGAGATGATTTAAAGTATGGGAGGATATGTGTAGATTATATGCAAATACTCTACCATTTTATATAAGAAACTTGAACGTCTGTGAATTTTGGTATCCTCAGGGTGGGGGGGTTCTGGAGCCAATCCCCCGTGTATACCTAGGGCTCACTGTATACCCAAATCCTTTAAAAGTCACATAATAAAAGAAAAATAATAAAAATATTAACTAACTCAAAGTGTTACGATTATGATGTTCAGAACATCAGTCCAAATAAAGCATAGTAACAGTTAAGTGGTATACTACAGTACAAAGAGCAGTGGTTTCAGTGTCAGTAGATAAGGGTTGTAGGCCTTCCTGTACCCCTAACTATATAGTCCCGCTTTATTGGTGTGGGAGATATTTCAGTGGATGCCTGAAACCATAGATAATACTGAGCCCTATATATACTATGTTTTTTCCTATACATAGCTGTGACAAAGTCTAATTTATAATGAGCACAGTAAGAGATTAACAGTTTCTTTTTGGCATATCCAAATTTCCAGTATCACTACCCTTGTGCCTTGGGGCTGTTATTACATAAAATAGGGGTTACTTGAACATAAGCACTGTGATACCACAACAGTAGATCTGAAGACCCAGATTGCTACTAAGTGACTAATGAGCTGGTAGTGTCTACAGCATGGATACTCTGGACAAAGGATGATTCACATCCCAGGAAGGTGGGATGGCAGGAGATTTCATCACACTACTCTGAATGGCGCACAATTTAAAATTTATTAGTTTTTTATTTCTGGATTTTTCACTTAATATTTTCAGACCATGGTTGATCATGGGTAATTGGAAACTGTAGAAAGTGAAACTCTGGATAAGTGGGAGCTAGGTGGCATTGGGTAAGGCACCAACAGGAAGTGTATTGTTGTTTGTATCTGCAAGATGAGCATGTTGGACTAGGTGGAGTGATTCAGGTTTCTTTCACTATTAGAATTCTCTTCATTCTGTGTTCTGTAACATGGTATCAGAAACTTTTTTATCTTAATTTTTTATTTTAAATACTTTAAAATACTCCTTAAAGTAGATAGAACAGTATAATGAACACCCAGGGACCCATCTAACAATCTCAGCCATCACCACTCCATGCCAGTCATGCTCCTTCTATACTTCCATCCACTTACCCCTCTCCTGTATTATTTTCAAACAAATCCCAGACATTAGACTCTCTTTATTAACATGATCCCTCTGTCATCTGTATTATTAGCACCATGAGGTCTTAAAAATTTTATTTAGTTTTTAACAAGCCTCAAATTGCCTCACTGTTTCTGTGCTTTCCATTTTTTTATTGAAATTTTTTGAGATAACCATAGGTTCACATTTAGTAATAAGAAATAACAATCCCATCTACCCTTTACCCAATATCCCCCAGTAGTAACTTCTTCTAAAACTATAGTATAATATCAGAACCAGGATGTTGACATTGATATAATCCACTGACCTTATTCAGATTTCCCCAGTTTTACTTGTACTCATTGTGTGTGTCTGTGTGTGTGTATTTGGTTCTGTACAGTTTTATCACATGTGTAGGCTTACATATCCACCACCATGGTCAAGATACAGAATAGTTCCATCACCACAAAGATATCTCATGTTGCCGTTTTATAACTAGCTCTCTGCCCTCCAGTCCCCCAACACTAATCTGCGGTTTTTGACTTCAAAAGTGTTGTCACTTCAAAAATGTTATATAAGTGGAATCATACGGTATATAACTTTTGGAGATTGACTTTTATCACTTAGCATAATTCCCTGGAGATTCATCCAGGTTGTTGTGTATCTCAATTGTTTGTTCCTTTTTATTCCTAAATAGTATGGTATGGATGTACCACAGTCTGTTTAACCATGACCTGTTGAAGGACACCTCATTGTTTCAATTTTTTGGCTATTCTGAATAAAGCTGCTATGAACATTCATGCACAGGTTTTTCAATGCTCTGGGATAAATCCTCGAGTGCAGTTGGTCGGTTGTGTGGTAATTATATGTTTACTTCTATGAGAAACTGTCATATGGTTTTCCAGAGAGGCTATACACTGTTTTATATTCCAACCAGCAATGTATGATCTAGTTTCTCTGTATCTTCACCAACATTTGGTGGTGTCCACTATTTTGTTTATTTTAGCCATTCTGACAGATGTTTAGTGATATCTCAGTATAGTTTTAATTTATATTTCCCTGATGGCTAAGGATATTGAATATCTTCTTTATGTGCTTATTTGCCATTGGTATATCCTCTTTGGTGATATTTTGCATCTTTACTCCTCCATTTACTTCTTTTTAGTTGTTAGGATGGTGTGAGATTGCTGGTAAATTACCTATGAAGTTTGTTATAACATACTTACATAGGAGGAAACAGATCTTCAGACTGAAATAGAAAATATTGCTTACTAGGGTTCTCAGCTCTGTACTAGAATCTCCAGGAATACAAAAATGAGTAAGACAAGAACCTTAGTCTTGAAGTTCTAAAACCATCTGGCACTTTTAACTGGAAAGAGAAGCAGAATATGTGTAGAAGTCTGAGATTTCCAAATTGCATGACTTCAAGGAATGATATTTTAATGGGCATCATAAAGGTGACCACAAATGATGGAAAGATGCTAGCAGACACAAACCAAGGATTCAAATTCATCTAATATGAGTAAAGCATGCAGAAATGTCACTGCATGTAGATGACTGCCCAGAGCAACACTGGGTGACATAGTAGCAGTCCTAATTAGAGGACAAATACCCCTGGCTTTCACAACCCACAAAGGCACTCAGCTGCCAGTGAGAACAGTGACTGGAGTGAGACTTCTAACAGGATTTTCAAGAAGCTTGTTCTGTCCCCTCCCTCTTATTTCTTGAGCCTCCTACCTGTTCCAGAGAATATGGATCTATGCCTAATTGATCACCAGTTTCACATACCTGGTGTCAACCCCAGCACATTCCTGAGTGCTTAATTCGAGTTTGGGTGAAGGATATTTTTTCTAAAACTTGTATCTTAACTAGCAGCACTGGGTCTCAGGCAGTCTATTTCTGCACTTTTCTATAGAAATTAATGACCCAAATCCTTCGATTAAGTATGCACTTAAGAATTGCACAGTGATGGCCTAAGAAGAGAAATAGCTCAATAGAGAAGATTAGAGAATAAACACACACACACACACACACACACACACACACACACAGAGGTATGGTGACATTTAAAGTCAATGGAAGAAAGATGAACTATTGAAATCATCTAGGAAAATTTCTTACCTCACACTATATACAAAACAAAAATCAGTTGGATTAATGATCTAAATTTTAATTTTAAAACGTGTATATAGTAAAGAAATTTAACATCTTTATAATTTGTAAGACTGAGGTGGGGTACAGCAGGAAGCCTTCTGATGAAGACATGTAACTTAGAAGCTATAAACAGAAAATGTACAGATTTGACTACATAAAAGTAAAAAAAGAAAATCCTTTGTGATAAAAAAGTACAACAAATGGTTGAAAGAAAACAGAAAGTGTTTTTTATATATGTGTGTATATATGTATATATTTCACACATATCCTTGCACACCTATTTTTCTATGGTGCAGACATATATATTTATCTCTAATAGTTATTATTTCCGATGTACAAAGAGTTTATATAATTCAATAAGAAAAATGCAAATATTCAGAAAATAGGTAAAGAATAAAAACAAGCAAATCATGGGAGAATACAAATTACCAATAAACATATTGGTAAAGCTGCTCACCTTCACTAGTAAGTAACCAAGAAACTAGGAATTAAAACGATAAGAAATTGATACTTAAAAATTCATCAACAGGCAAAAATTAAAAACAATATTCAGTATTTATTGGATATAGGAAAAGAGCATTCTCAGACATTTTTGCTGGGAATATAAATTGATACAGCCTTTTTCTGAGGATGGAATTTTTGAGATTCAGCATCTCTTGAAATTTAAAATGCTCATATCCTTTGATACAGTGATTCCACCCTTAGGAATCTGCACCATAGAAAAAATAGAGGTATGCAAGGGTATATGTGCTGTGATATTCATTGCAGCCTTATTTGTAAGTAGCAGAAAACTATAATCAACCTAAAATATCTGGCAATATGGAAATGTTAAAAAAAAACACAACAGCAACTATGGTGTGGTCATGCAGTGAAATATAGAGAAGGCATTAAAAGGCACTAAATCTATAGCAGTGACTTGGCAGCACGTGGCAGGATGCCCACGAGTGAAAATATCCACTCTAGGAGCATATGTATGTATAGCAGGATTTAAGCAGGGGCGGGGGTGGGGAGGAGGTGTGTGTGTGTCTATGTGTGTATATGTATTTGTGTGCCAAAAATCAAAAAGTCTAAAAAAAATACACTCTGGCCTGTTAACGATGGTTACAAACCTGAGGTATAGGAGTGCTGAGATGAGGGGAATTTCATTTTTTCTTTTATGTACTTGTGCAATATTTGTAATTTTTACCACCAAGATAGAATTATTTTATAATATTAAGAAAGAAAGGAAATTATAAATGCTAAGCAACCCAATTATTGACCAAAAAGAAAGAATTTGGTTAAAAGAATTGATGTAATAGAAGGTACAGATACCTATGCCTAGTGAAAATTTAAAAAGAAAACAAAATAGAAAAATCTTTTTCTTGCTACTGTATTAATTTTCTGTATCTGGCATATTTATTTCCATGATTTCTTTCTGTTTATTTTATTATGTTTAATTGATGGTGTTTACTGGAGTTTAGTGAAAAATATTTTGTAAACATCTCCAGTTGTGATTTATCCATTGTAATATCTCCCCAGTGAACTGACTGTGAGTAGGGAATTACAGAATTATCTGTAAAGGAGATACAGATCTTGAAAGTAGTCTGGGGCTTTGCTTATCTCCACAGGAAACCTTATTTCATATTGATAAAGTATGAAATCTTTCCTTAGTTATTTCTGATTGTTCATTGTTGTTACTGTTTTAATGAGAGGTAGAAATGAGCTAAACCAACCTGCTTCATTCCTTCTAGTACTAATTTAATTTCAAAGGAAATTCTTCAACCCCAATAAATAAGTGAAAGTGGATGGAACCAGGGTCTGACTCAACATGTCCAATTAATTGCTTCTAAACAGTAAGGTACATTCTTTTAAAAGCCCCACACACAAAAATCAACCAGTAAAAAATGATCAGGTGAGAAGTGAGATGACTATCATCATCTCTGCTTACAAAACTCTGTTCAAGTTGACATTAATATTTGCCATCTACTCTATTATAAATCAAGATTTATTGTAGAAATATACCAAAGATAGCACAATAATGAAGAAAACAGAATCATCTCAGGTTTTGAAATATACCTAACAAATTCAACCTCTTGCAAAATAACTTTCTTATTCAAAATGGAACTGGGAATTGTTCAGCACACAATGAATCATCTTTTGGCAAGTACAATAGAATCTTTAGGGACATTTCACAGCCTCTTGTTCAATTGTTAGGATGTTTTTAGCTTTCACAGGTAGGGAAGAAGGTAGCTTATATAGCCATCATCTTGTTGCTAAAATTGTACAGTAAAGATTTTTCAGGCAATAGATCTTTTCAGATTTTTTTTTCCTTTTTCTTTATCCAGAGCCTCTTTGTGTCTCAAAAACAATCTGGAATTACTTAATGCTAATGTTTTCTGGTTTTACTATTTACCCAGGACTCAAATGTTAAACATTAATATGGGAAACTCCCTTTTCCTTGCCTCATAGCCTTATATTTATTTAACTGTTATTTTGTGAGAAGAAAATCTCCTCTTTTCCTCTCCATGTTAGTACTTTTCTTATTAAGAAACCCGTTTTCGTTTTGTTTTTGCTTTTTTTTAGGAGGCTTTCGAGCTACCCTTGGATGATTGTGAAGTGATTGAAACTGCAGCAGCGTCCGAAGTGATTAAATATGAGTATCATGTCTTATATTCCTGTAGCTACCAAGTGCCTGTACTTTACTTTAGGGCAAGCTTTTTAGGTAAGAACATGTCTGAAGCTAAAAGTAAATTTATAACATTTACATATAAAGCAAAAAGCATATTTGGAAAATTATTCTCCAGAGGAAAAAAAATAGAGTTAAAAATGAGAAAACTGTGGGTGAGGTAAGGTTTTACCACTAAATTTTCTCATGCTTCAGAAAGGGTATCAAGACTTCAGCGTGAATGATATCATCTCAGCCTTAAGTCTGATCTTCAGATTCTTGGCCTTTTGCCTGAAGTTGACTAAGCCCCCTGGCCCTTTTTCTTTTCTTTACTTTAAACAAGTAGGAACAACTTAAAGCTACAATGTTTATTTACTTCTAACTTTACAGTAAAAATTTATTTTAATCTCAGATGATCCAATTAACTCAGAAGCTCCTGTGCCTCCTTCCCCAAAAGCTAATAATTATTTTAAGAAATGTTTATCAATTAGCTTAAGCTGTATTTAAAAATAGCACTAACATTTCCTTCAGCCATCTATACATCTCCAATGCCTTAGCTTCCTGTGATGCTGTTACTCAACTCATTCCCCTGCCAAGAAGGTGGAATACCCTGTCTCCTTGGAGGCCTTAGCTAATAAAGCTTATTTAATCAGCAGCCACATGGCGTCCTCACTCTGCAGCACAGCCATGGCTTCCCGCTTAGAGTCCACTGCCTAAACCGGGTCAGCATTGGGATGTGCTGCCACCCAGGCCCAGGGACCAAGATGAGCCTCCTGTTCAGCCAACCCCTTGCCCTATTTCTCCTTTTGTATCTGGCCTTATCAGCAGCATTGTGCATTTTGAACAGCCTTCTGACTTTTTTCTGGATAGCTAAGACATCTGAATTTAGCCAATGATATTTTATTTTTAATTCAAAAGTAGCTTAAGCTGCTTGAATGTATGTTTGGTAGATTTAATCACTTGCTGTTATATTGTTTAATGGTCTCTAATTTTGCAGTGTTGGCAGTTTAACAAGCACTTAGGATTTAAAACACAAGAAGAAATTCTCATAGACTCCCTGGTGAGAAGATTTTAATCTGAGGTGCAGTTCCTAAGAACTGACAATTTGGGGTAAATTTTCAACATGGGACATGGGGAATGGAGGACACTGATAGTTCACTAATTCACAAACTCTTGCTGTGGATTTATCCATATAATTATTACAAGCCTTTAAAACACTCATTTTATGGTAATTATATTTGGTTTGGAGCCCAGAGGTTAAAGGAAGTTTCTTGTCAGTGAGCTGTGCTATACTAAAAAGTAGGAGATATATTTGTTTATTCAGGGGGAGGAAAATGTCTTTCTTGGTTCTGGTTTGCAATGGCTCTGCCTTCTAGATTCAGAGACAAGTCGAGGCTGCAGGTAGAGGAAATAAGACATTACTTCTTCAATACTGTACTTTCATATAATTAGTATTCACCATAAGCAGTTAATCACCAGAGAAGAGCTCCCAGAGACAAAACAAGTTGTTTAGCTTGTCAGCATTAGGGAATCAGAGGTGTTGAAACATGACTGCTTCTAGCTGGAAGTGGGTCTTGCCAAGGCCTGCTGATGAGCTCATATGTGTGCTTTGCTCTTATGTGCCAACAGCTCCCCTTACAGTACAGCACAGTAATTGTTCCTGCAAGTCCAATTATATTTTAATGACATTGGTGTAGTTTCTGTGATCCTTTCTTCACGATTTTCTATTCTTTTAAAAAAACACAATTAACATTCTTGGCTTCTATTTGTATACTTTTACAATGCCCTCCATTTATGCCTTATAAAGGTAAACCAAAACAAGTCATTTGTTTTTATGTAGAAGCATTCGCCCCCCACCACCACTGCTTTGTGTTGTGTAGAGTGGGTATTAGGAATTTAAAATTTTATTTTGGCCCAGAATTCATTTAGTGCTTGTTCAGGTACATTAAAATATCAAATTTAATTTTTGTGCAGCATACTGAATGTTTTCTGGTGGAGAAACATGAAGAATGGTTCTTTCTTTCCTTTATCATATTCTAATAATTTATTTTTTCTTTCCACCTAACTTAACCTCATGGATATTTTTAAAATGTATCAACCTTTACTCTGGAGTCACAATTTTTCATTTATTCCCCCCCCAGTCTTTTTTATTCTCCTTACTTTTTCCTGTGATATCTGATTACTCTGGCCCTTCATCTGTTTGTTAAACAAATCTCTGTCAGTGTGGTGAAAGGATTCCTAATGTCTTCCTCTTATTCCAGGCCCGGATTTTTCTTTGTCTCATTCTAAGAGAGTTCCGACCTAGAAAGAGGATGACTGTAAAATTTCTTGCCCAGGGGTCTTTTTTTGTTGTTGTTGCTTCAAAAATAGTTCACTTAGCCTTGTTTTTGACAGATATTTATAATTTCTTTTGCATTTGATTGTTAGTACAAATTAATTTCTCTGCTTTGCTCTAAATTTTCTCCCTGTACCTATTTTTTTAAGGAAAAGCAAAACAAGTAATAAATAGTTTCCATTTAAATTTACATTACCCTTTCTTGTATCAACTTGTTTAGATTTCAGAAGAAATCTTTACTCTGGTTCTCGAAATGCAAATCCCTTAGACTTTGAATTCCTTTTCTTTATATGGTCCAGTTTCCACCAGGCCAATTACTAGTAGCCCAAGACTCAGTTAACATGCCATCTATTCTTGTCGCTCCCATGTCATGTCATGTCATATCATATCATATATTCTATTATATCACAATTTGTACTATAGCAGAAATATTTGTTTATATCTATAAAATGATATGCTGGAACATAGAGCTTCAAGATAAAAACAAGAGTGAAGGAAATTGATACTGAGTGCCTACAAAGTGAGAAGCTTTATTTATGGCTTTGTGTGTATACATGTATAAGATATATGTATGTATATATATGGCTTATTCAGCTGTGGCACAGCATCAAGTATTTGTTAAGTGAAACGATAAAGAAGAATTTCTAGTCATTTAAAAAATACAGCCCAAGAATGGAAACATTGTGATGGTGCCTACTTCAACTGCTATGCCAGGTTTTGAAAGAGGAAGTAATTCTGTTGTCTCCAGGAGACCTAAGACCCAAACCATCTATGTATCTTTACTCTTTAGTCTGATACTTTTCAGAGACTATAGGAGTAGTGGACTTAGAAAAATAGAACATCCTGAGGACTCAAAAGTGGGTATCCAAACTAGCTGAAGCAGCTGTTCCACTTCTATAAACACGTATTTTTATTTAATTCTTGAAGGCAGACAGCCAAGTTGAGACAGCATTCTGCTTCTGCCTCTCATTTCTACTACTTTGGTGTACAGGAGCTCAGTTACCAAGTGGGCAACGTGGATTTAAGAGAAGAAATAAGCCCTTCCATCCCAATGTTCTGTTTTTCTCTAACTACTTTTGTCATTGTAGGTTTGGGAGAGGTGGTGGGACACAGTTAATACCCTTTGTCACTCAGGAGAGGGTGAGACATAATTGCACGTCTGTTGAGTAATAATAAATAGCCTACATTGGAATAGTGCCTTATAGTTTAGTAAATCCACTCCCACAAAGCATTGACATCTTCAAGTGCATGCTGTTTTTTTTTTCTTTTTTTCCCACTGTTTTTGAAGCATACCATATTAAAGAATTTTTTGTATCATGCCAAAGCCTTCTATCCATTCCCTACCATTCTTATTCCCTGACCTTTTTATGTCTCATTTTCCCTTTTGAGGGCTCAGCTTTGATCAAAAGCTAGTGGCAAATGTTACAAAGGTGGTAAAACCCTTAGGCACATACATAATGGCCTTTTGCCTTACCAGAGGCCTAGGCTTAAATATTTTCTCCTTACATTTAGCTAGAGATTTCTATATTTATTTCATCTTGAATTCTGATTCATCTCTTTCTTTTCATTTGTTCTCAGTCTCTATTGAAAAATGGACCAAGTGGTTCTTCTTATTTTCAAAACATTTAATTCTTTGGATGACATATGGGTTCTTCTTGGGAGCTGTTTTGACATATTTCTTTAATTAGTCAGCAGGGCTGCATTTGAATAGAGGAGGAATCTTTTCCTCCATTCAGCAAAGGAATGGCTGTCCTTTATGGAGACCATTCTATTATTGGCCCAGGAAAAAAGGGTATAGAATTAAAAATGTAGCCTAAATATTTCATGTGAAAGATTTGTCCACTTGTTGTAGGCCTGAAGGATGCTCATGGAGAAACAGGGCAAAAGAAATAATCAAAGAATAGTTCCTTCTCAAAGGCAGCATGAATCAAACTAAGATAAACGCCATGATAAAGAAAGAATAATGGAAAGTTTGGAATTAAAGCAGCATATAAATCATCAAGCAGGAAAAGGATTGTCTGTGGTTTGCAATAAGAGGACATCTTTGGAGTGCATAGAGGAGAATGACAGCAAAACAGGAAAGATGGGGGTTGGAGGAAGCCGAAGAATAAAAGTAGAATATCCATAGCTCTGTCCAACAACTTGTAGAGGACAGCCACAGGTTGGGTTTCTTGAAGAGGTTAGGAAAAGCACTGTAGAAGGGGAGGAGAGTGAGTGCCAAGCTATGGGGGCTGGAGGGCTGGAGAGAGCCCACCATATTTGGAGAACAGTGAAGGACCAGTTTGGAGTAGGGGCTAACTTAGGATGACTTACGGAAGAAATAGTTGAAAAGATATGTTGAGGTCAAATTATGGAAGAGATAATGGTTAGGAAGGGGTTGGAAGATATAAAGAAAAAGTGAAAGAGTTTGAGCAGAAGTGAATGAGACCAGAGGAAGGATGTCCTAGAAATTGTGCCTGAGTAAAACAGAAAGAAAAGGAATTGAAGGGTGAGAGTGAAATTTGGAAAAAAAAAAAAAAGGATTTGGCTTTTTCATTGTTGTTGTTATTAATTTTATAACAATTTAAAAACAATAACCTCTTAGAGAAAATGAAGAAAATGAGTTGGAAAGAACATATTTTCGGGGAAAGATGTATTATTGCAAGTACGGTAAGAGTTATGGTTAAGGCAGCTTGTTGAATAGGAAGAAAAATAGTGGATTAGAGAAGTATTTTAAGACTGGGGCAAAAACGACTCTAGTTAATTACTACAGTGAGCAGAAAATAGAAAATTATTTGACAGATAATTTAATTTAGAGTCTTAATTGTAAAGAATCTTTAAGAAAGTTTGTGTATTTATATTTATGTTACACATATGTTTATGTAGACAGTAAATCTAGCCAAGGTCATGATAATGAACCATAACATGAATTTTGGTGAATTAAAAAGAGATTCTAGGGATTGAAATGAATTTGAAGAGCAAACAGTGAAAGTTATTTTTAAGAATAATGAAAAGTTATCTAACTAATACAAATATATTCAAACTGAAAAGTCCAAATAACAGAGGAAATCTAGTGAGAATTATTTGTTGAGCCATGTAAATGTTTGAAATATTTTGGGGAATTAGGATAGAAGTCACATGCTGGGTTAGAACATATGATAGCAATAGAATCTCATTGAAAAATCAAGCCCTGTTTTGAAAATGTACTAAAGGAAAGGTGCTAAAGAAATGGGAAGTAAAACTACAGAGATAGCTAGTTAGCCAAAAGGTTTATTCTAAGCAGAATATTGCTTAGCCACATATACAAAAGGCAAGAGATTTTAGTTGGACCCAGAGGCTTGGGAGAGAAAATAACAAGGTAAGTACATTAATTTTATTAACCTGTAAGCGACTGTATTTTAGCTTTCTTAGGTGAATGTTTGTGCCATATGGAAAAAACATCTCTTTGCTTACTATTGGCACAATGAGCCCTGTTTGAAATACCTATTAAAATATACATGAGTGCCTACTGTGTGCACAACACAAATCTCATTAGCCTCTTTTTAAAATATGCTGAAACAAATCACTGCCTAACTTGTAACTCATGTATTGTTTTTCTGCTCCTTCAAAGTCATCAAAGCAGTATTCGAGTCTATATGTTAGGTGCTGTTTTGAGAAGGCAGAGACTGCATTCCATGAGAAGGAGACCAGGTTGGATGGTGGAAGTAAGGGTATTCAAAGTGCTGGTATAGAGTAATATAGTAGTAATAGGTCCATGATGTGGGGATAATGTTTGAGGAAAGCCAGGAATACAAATTACTGAGTATTAATCTCAAGAGTTTGGGATCAAAACCTCAGAATACTTTGGATAGGATTGAAAATAGAGTGTTGGCAGGGCGCGGTGGCTCACACCTGTAATCCCAGCACTTTGGGAGGCCGAGGCTGGCAGATCACCTGAGGTCAAGAGTTCGAGACCAGCCTGGCCAACATGGTGAAACCCCATCTCTACTAAAATACAAAAAAAAATAGCTAGGCATGGTAGCAAGCGCCTGTACTCCCAGCTACTTGGGAGGGTGGGGTGGAAAATCGCTTGAACCCTGGAGGCGGAGCTTGCAGTGAGCCGAGATCACGCCACTGCAGTGACAGAGCGAGACTCTGTCTCAGGGAAAAAAAAAAGAAAACAGAGTGTCTTCTGCTTTAGAACCAGCAGACCTTAGGCTGTAGATATCCAGCTGGTAGTATGGTTCTCAGATTTCTGGATCAATAGTGGTATCACAGGGCTGATGTCTCAGGTATCTTGTGGACCCAATGTTGCTTCCCTTGGGACCATTTTCTGATTCAGAGGTTCATCAAAATGGTCTTATATGTCCTTTACTAGGTTAAGTGATTCACTTAATTTAAATGGAAGGGTATAACATCACTTGCGTTATTCCATGTTTCTTAACACTGTGTGTGGACAGTTTAAGATGATTCATAATTGCTCCTTTATGTGCTATTGGGCATATGTTCATAAAAATAGATTGTAACACACATAAACTTTCTCATGTAATTAAAAACCATGTTAACATCTATTTTTTCTATTCAAGACTGCTAGACAAATATATAACATTTTAAGCTGATAATTTTGAAAATATTTATTAAGCAAGACTTTTAAACCATCTATTTGTGCTATATTAGATGTGTACCCCTGGTTGCAAATAATTTGATAAGCAGGAAAAGGCTTATTGAAGGGTAGATCGTAGAGTCAACTGAAGGTGGTAGAATGACAAGGCAAGGGAATATCTGCCTCCCTTTAGCTTTGGTGGTAGAAATGGGGCTCTGCCTCCTACTTATTTTGGAATTTATCTCCCAAATTGGAAGTGTGTTTGGATACTGAGAAATCACATATCTGCTATAGCTGCATCTGCTTAATGCTATGGATTTATGTGAGTATGAGGGTTTTTAAAAATATAAATGTAAAACATTTAATCAATTAATTTTATTATGATCATTCAGCCATTATTCTTAGAATGTGCTAATTACTCTAGAAATAATGTTGAACTTTCATCTGTTCATTCATTTGAAAATATTTATACATAAGGCATGGATATGTTTCTGAAATGCTGAGATAAATAAAGGAAATCAGAGATGGATAATACCATCAAGGAGCTTACAGTCTAGTGAGGGAAACACAAGATAGGTCTGAAATTCACTATAACAAGTAGAATATGTTAAGGACCATAAGAGAGGTAAAAGGCACCAGGGCTTGGAGAGCTATGACTACCTTGAGCTGTGGTGATCAAGAGAGGCCTTGGCTGGACATGGGATTTGTCCATGAGTGATAGGGGAAAGGGTGAGCCAGGCTTGGGAAGAAAATCATGAAAGGGAAAATTCCAGATACTCATAGGTTAGGCAGTGTTGATGGGGACCACTAGTAATAGTAGCAACAAGAACAATACAACTAATATGCATGTATAACTTTACACTTTACAAAGAACTCCTGTGCACAGAAACACATATAATGTAGTGGTGAAAAGCGCATGGTCTAGAGTCAGAAAACTTTAGTTCTGATTCCTAGCTCTGCTGCTTACTAACCTTATGACCTTGGGCAAGTTATTGAACTTTGCCATTTCTTTTCTTTCATCATCTGAAAAAAAAATTGAGTTAGCAATAATACTGATTTCAGAGTTTCGAGGATCCTGAGCTTATATTGGAAATGGTGCTTGACACTTAGTGCCTTTCAATCATGCTAGCCAAATTATATATCTAGATCTTCACAATAAAATTAGAAGGTAGTAACTATTATTACCCTCATGTGAAGACAAAAACTGCTCAGAGGGGTTAAATTATTTATTCAAGGGTACATAGAAAACTGTAGAGTTGGGACTTAAACTCTATAGCCCATTTTTCACTACATGACACTTTCATTCAAATAACTGAAATTTAAGAACCATATAGGTTAAATTAATTAATTGATGTTATATGCAAGCAAAAGAAAGTTGCCATAGTTCATATTTTTGGAATTTCATTTAGATTTCTTGAGCCCAATAAAGATACAAAGTCCTAAAATGCTTATAGGAATAAATAAAAGTTACAGAATTAGCCAGTATAGTAGCTGAAATGAATGTACGTGAACAATTGCACTCATTTCATATCACAATATAATTTTCTCACTGAAGCAAAAATGAATTTTCCCCTTTGGTGGAGCTTCATCTCTGCCTTACTGTGGAGTATGACATGAATTTTTATATCTTTCAAAGCTATGTTGAAGACAATATATTGAATAATGACATTTTTTGTTGTGAAAAATCTACTCTTTCCTTTTTATTTCTAATGGCCACATTCAGAACATTATTCTTAAACTTACTCTGAATTATTTGTACTCTCTCTAGTCTTCATTTTAGGAGTTAAAAAATGTTAGTGAAACCGTGCACAATAAGGATAAAGGTGACTCCAGCGTGCTTGCACTAGAGTTAGATAGTGCTGGTGAAATATCTCATGCTGTTATTGGCTCATGAAAACTAATAGCCCTGAGAAATTTAATTTAGAAAGCTGCACATTTTGAGTAATATATAGATTACTTGACATGTGGGTTATTATTCAATTGAGAGATTTTATATGAAAATGTCAAATTAAATGCTACTGGCAGTTGCTAAAGATTGTACTTTTTAATTATTCTATTTTTCACCTAATGTCTCTTCTTCTTTTGTCATTGACACTTTAGATTACTGACAGAACATTCCATTAGCTTAAATGTGTATTATCATTCCAAGTGATACAGGCACATAGTAGGCACTCAATAAACACTTGTTATATAAATGACCTCAATTTACCATGCTCACTATGTAGGTTACTACTGAAATTATTTTGGCTTCTACTTCTTTTTCAAGTATTCAAGAGATTTTACTGAGCTACACAGCCTCAATGTGACTAATGAAATTTCTAAGCATGTTAAAATTGGTGCGATTGAGTATCTTGGATCTGAAACGAAGGAGTTGTTGATTGAGTATGCTTATGTCTCCTCTGACTGAGGCCAGATGTAAAAAAATAGACTCTCTTAACATGGTTTAAAGTTTCTCATTGAAGATACTTTGAATTGAACATGCAGGCACATAATAATGTGTTTTATGTACTTAACCAAGTATTTATGTCCGTGTTTTAAGTTTTGAGTCTTCAGTTTTCATAAATAAGTGGATATGTACAACATTCTTCAGGTTTCTACTTTGTTTATATGATGCAGTTCTTTATACATATATAAATATCCCAGTTTGTTTCAGTGGGATTTCTCAAGTATCCATTTTGCTTTTGAAATAATTAGTCACGATCATATTTGAATGCATTTTAGATATTAATAATGTATGCCACGATTTTGAAGATATTGCTGATTAAGTTAGATCTTTTGTTTTTGTATGAAAGATCTCAAAAACTAACTTTTGTGTGTCTTTGATGATGAAGGTGTGAACTGTGACTAGGCAAACCAGTGACGAAGGCTTAGGGAACAGAAACCACATCATACCTCATTAAGTCATTGTTGTCATAGAGACAAAGCTATATTTACCCAGACCTTTTACAGTGTAAGTGGTCAGCAGAAACTGGAGAGATTTGCAGAGACACAGAGGAAAAGCAAAATTATATACTTTTGCCAACCATACTCTGATTACTCAACATATTTTGGGAACTGCTGGTTTTGAAACTTCTTCCAGTCCTTGTGGCTAGAAGTTGGAAGATGGTTACTTATTAAAGGTGAATTTGTTTGGCGACAACAAAATCATTTGGAAGCAAATATATGGAATAAAATAAGTATAATTTTTTTTCCTTTGATTTAAACCTATTTGGGACTAGTAAGTAATTAGTTACTTGTCTGGCTCTGAAGGCAGTTCAAAAGTTCAAAGGCAGTTCCATTGACAGAATTACAGCATTGTTGGAATAAATATTGGTTGAATTTGCTGAATAATCAGGTAACCTCCCTAGGTGACTGTTTTGAGGAACAGTGGTCTTTTGAATATTTAAGACCTGATATGCTTGTTTTAAAAACATGTAGTCCCACCAGGCCTAGCATGCCACCAGCAGGGGGTGCCAAACACAGAACTTCAATAGGTGCTAAAGAGACTGCAGTGGCCCTTGAGATAGCCGTTATGGGCCTAGAAGAAGCAGATATTTTAACAATGGTATTATAATTGCTTGTTGACCTTCCTCAGTTTTTTTAAGGGGGTTAGATTTTGGAAGTTGGAGACCATGGTTTGGAGAGGGTATTCATGGAGGTCACGACTGTCTAAGCCATCTCAACCAGTTGCATCATTGTGGATGTATAACAGACTTGCACTGTTATATTACCAATTTTTCCATTGGTTTCCTCATTTGAAGAGTCTACTTTTCAAACAAAGCTCTGGTTACAACAATCAAAAGCAAGCAAGTTGGTTTAGAAAGTTGGGGTGAGAAGAAAATAGTGCTTATTCTGAAGAAAAAGAAATAAAGCTTTGCCAGGCCTCATTGGGATTGCAGCTAAAGGACTCCACTGAGGTAAATACTTTCCTGGCCTCTTGTCTCTGCCCTTCCCTATATAGCCACATTTTTGTAAAGATGGAGTCTCACTTTGTTGCCCAGGCTGGTCTCAAACTCCTGGCTTCAAATAATCCTCCCACCTGGGTCTCCCAAAGTGCTGAGATTACAGGCGTGAGCCACTGTGCCCAGCTGTTGTTGTTGTTTAAGGTGATGAAAATGTTCTAAAATTGATTGAGGTGATGATTGCACAACTCTACGAATATAACTGAATTGTACACTTCACATGGGTGAATTGTATGTACGTGAATTATATCTTGATAAAGTTATGTGTGTTTTTTTTTAGTCATTGGCTTTAAGTGACGAATGTTAGTGATATGCATGTAGTGCTAGTGATCCCCTACCCAGCCCTGGTGGTCTTTCCACTGGTTGGCACCTCTCCCTGGAACGCTGTGCCTCCCAGTGTTTGCACACAAGTTACTTTCTCACTAAAGTCTAAAATTGCAAACCCACCTCTGGCTGGCACTTCTTAGCCTGCTTTACTTTTCGTTTTCACCATAGTATGTATCACCTCCTAAGATAATATACAGTTTACTTGTTTATTGTGTTTATTGTTTATTTTCACACACACACACGCACACACACACACACACACACCCCAAGGCATAATGTAACCTCCATGAAAACAAGGATGATTGTTTTGCTCACTGATGTATCACAAAGGCTTGGAACAGATGCCTGGCATATAGTAGGTGCCCAATTATATAAAACATCTACTTCTAAAATTAACTTCTATCCAAACCATTTACTCCATACTTACATTGTTGCCTGAAATACTTTAAGGAATAAAATTAAAATCATTACTGATTACCAGATATGAAACCCAGCATTCTTCTCTAGGTCTGAAAAGCTTTATGGTAATAGAAATAAAGTTAAGGAAGGCATTTTTTCATCATTTATCATTTGCTCAGTAAATATTTGTAAAGCATTTGCAGTGCCTCTGCCCTCAGAGGCAGCGTGGACCAGCAGGAAGAGCATTGGTGAGTCCTGAGATCTGGATTCAGACTTCAGTTCAGTCATGAACCGGCTGCATACTTTTGGCAGATACATATTTCGTAAGACCTTGGCTGCCCTATTTATAAAATTAGTGGTTATACTAGCTCTAACATTTTATTATCCTACTACAGGTATTTGTTTACTTCTAACTTTGACGTGTAAAAATTATTTTAAAAGCATGTCGTTCTGTAATTTGATTAGTTTACTATTTGACACTAAAGTTCTTAAGATCTTATTTGCCTCTTCCCACACCAATACACACACACACGCATGCGCACACAGACACACGCACACACATACACATATGCATGCATGGCATTTGCATATTTCAAAGATGCATAGTGCTTAAGAGCAGAGTTTGGCCCTACTCTGTAAATGTGTTCAGAAAACAATATAACACAGATACTGAAGGCAGCTTGTTTTTAACTTGTAGCTAAACATGACATTCAAATGTTAATTGGATGAATAAATCTTGTTCATTTTACAGACATGGAAATGTCAATGGAATAAAACTATTTATCACAAGATAATGGTCTCCTGCCGCTAGATAAATGCCAAGATGAAGATACTTATTGAAAATGTATCAAAATATTCTATTGCTATTTATTGAAAATAAAGGTTGAGGAAAAGTTCAACTTTTTAGGTCAAACATGAGAAATGCCCTGCTTATAATATTAGTATGGTACTATATCAAAGATGATATGCACGGTATAGCAACATGGGAAAATTCTAAGAAATAACAGTCTAGAAATGAATCTTTTAGGTTTGAGAATTACTGGAATAATTGTGTGAGGGCTGGGAGGAGATTCCTGATATTTATTGAGCTCTTATTGTGTGCCTAACACAGTCCTGGGTGCATTCACTAATGTAAGCCTCAAAAGAACAATACCCAGAAAGGATCATTATTCTCATTTTGCAGGTAAAGTTAAAAGCAAAATAATTTGCACTCACATGGAGAGTAAGTGCCAACACCAGGATTTAAAACTTAGTCCAGATTCCAAATCTAGTGCTTTTTCCCCCAACATCATACATTTCTACTTATACTTGAAAGTCTTAATACAGTGATTTTTGGAGCTCTTGAGTAGATTATTTTCCTTATGCTTTGTTGCCCTTGATGACCAAATACTTCTTTGGTCTAAATATTCAGTATATTGCTATGTGAAATATCTTTAAGTGATATCATCCATTAGCCCAAAAGAGCACGCCCATAAGTCTTGAGGGCCTTATAGCTCTGAATGGATCAAGTTATATTGGATTCTAGCATTAAGACACCTTCTTTCCAGTAGTGTATGGTTTGAAATCTTTAGGTGACTTCTTCTTTCTGCTTTCTTTTCAGAACTTAGATACCTATTTTTCCACTTTACTTACCTTGTGTATAATGTAAGTGCCATAGTGGTCTTTGTAAAATACATTGTTTGGGTGGATACAGAGGGATAATTGAAACAACTTAAAGAAAAAGAGCATTATTGTTCAATAAAGCTTTTACTGCCCTCTTCATGCCAACCCCGTTCTCTTGTCCTTCCCCACCCCAAGAGTCCCTTTCTCCACCTGCCATAGACACCAAGTGTTAATATCTCTCTTCCTTGGACCATCAGTGAGCTTCAGTCTTCTTCAGGCAGAGACCACTCTACTGTAATATACTTGTCATAGTTTCCTCAGTAGATGTTAGGCTCCTTGTTAGGAGAAATTGCGTGTTTTTCTTCTCTCTATTCTCCATGGTACCTGATGGAGTGATTTGGACATTATAGATACTCCATGAGAATGTGAAAGATGCATGGGTATGGCTTCTTTGTTTTAAGGACTAGAGTAAGTATGAAGGATTCAGAGTATTCATGGTGCACCTTTATGAATATGGGAGTCTGTTGGTTCCTTTGCCTGTGCTTGCATCTGTCAGTTCTCTCTAAAACACATTTGGATTTTATTTATTTTGTAAAATTCCTAGAGGCAATGAATGAGCAGACAATTTAAATGCTAGATGGATACAAAGCTGAGAAGCTTGAATGTTTAAATTTCCCTCAGGAAGAAAATAGTAATTCATATAGCACTCTCTTGATATATAAATAGCATGTGCACTGAAGATCTTTCTAAAAGTCATGATATTCTTCCAGGAGTTTTAGATTGACACCAAGCACCATTGTGTCACATGAATTACTAACTCAGTCTTTACCATGCACTTTCACAGATGGGAGACCTTTAACTCTGAAGGACATATGGGAAGGAGTTCATGAGTGCTATAAGATGCGACTGCTACAGGGACCATGGGACACTATTACGCAACAGGTTGGAGAGTATTGTCATTTTATTGTATGCATGTTATTGTATTCTTTCCCGCTGCTCATCTTTTCTGCTAGTTCCCTCTCCAACTCTTTTCCCTATTTCACTTGTCTATATCTTTACATATTTCACCTCAAAGACAGTTTCCTTAAAAAAAAACCTTCCCAGACCCAGTCTTGGTTTAGCCACCCTATTATAAGCTCTCAGAGTGCCCTATAATTATCCTTTAGAATGCTTATTCCAATTTTAAATTACATATTAGGATGATTTAAAAAAATTGATGTCTGTCTTCTCCACTATACAGATACTCCTTGACTTACAATGGGAATACATCCTGATAAACCCATCGTAAGTTGAAAATATCTGAAGTAGAAAATGCATTTCATACACCTAATCTACTAAACATGAAAGCTTAGCCTAACCTACCTTAAATGTGCTCGGGACACTTACATTAGCCTACAGTTGGACAAAATCATCTAACACAAAGCCTATTTTATAATAAAATATTGAATAGCTTCATGCAATTTATTGAATACTTGACTGAAAGTGAAAAACAGAATGGTTGTATAGGTATCAAAATATGGTTTCTCTTGAAGATGTATCACTTTTGCACCATGATAAAGTCTAAAAATTGTTAAGCTGGACCATCCTAAGTCTGGGACTGTCTGTACTGTGAGCTCTCATATAGGCAGACCATGTCTCTTTTATTCTTCATTGTACATGCAGCACCAAAACAGTACTTATCATGTAGTATGTGCTCAATAAAAATGTATTAAGCAAATGAAAATAGAAACTAAGTTGGCTTATATATTAAGAAATAGATGATTTGGCTTATGTAATCTATACTGTTTTACAGTTTTACTCATAAATACATTTGCAAAAAAGAAGAGCTTTTGATTAATAATATGGTTGCAATAGTGATTTGCAAAAGTAGAGAAAATAGATCTGCAAAAGTAGATATAAAAAGTAGATTTGCAAAAGTAAAGGAAATAGATCTGTCAATCATGTAAGTCATTACTGCCTTGCTAAAATCAGTAGTTATTTTGGAAATTTAAAACTACTCATCACCTTGCAACCAATCATCATCTCCTTAAAAATAATTTTTACTTATATCAAAAATATTATTTTTTCCAAGCTTCTGTTCAGCTAATGAAAGCTTCCTTTAAAAATGAGTTTATCAGTTATTAGAATTTTTATGCCCTCTTATGTGTTTGATCATAATGACAGTTTACCTCCCAATCAACATAAGAATCCTTAGCATCTTGTAAGTGGTTCTTTAACAATGACCATTTTCTAGGTTTTAATTGAGGACAAAACTAGCTTTAGGTATTTGTATCTTTCACACTGCCCCTCAAATTAATCTTTTCTCTTCCCACTGTCACCCTCCTAGATCAAGCCCTCTGACCTCACGTGGAACAATTAGTAAAGCCTCTTACCTGTGGTTTTCTGCTCCTTTCCTCTCTGCCCCTTACCTGTAGTCATATCTTTTTAACCACTGCTGTGCTTACTTACCTGTGCTCAAACCTGCAATAGTTCTCCGAGGGCCTATGGGATGTGGTCTAAATGCTTTGCCTGGGCATCAGAGGTTGCCACTCCCTGGTTCCAACCTGCTCTTCTAGGTTTATCTTCTACTCCTCTGCTCTATACAGCTCTTGCCAAATATGGTTATTCATCTCTCTATACTCCTCTTGTGCAGTTTGTTCTTGTGATCTTTTCTAGATCTAATGCCTTCCCTCATTTTTCTGTATGCATTACCTGTTACTACCTGTCCTCTCATACATTCCCTTCTCTGAAACCACTTCAACTCACAAAAATTGCCCCTCTGAAATCCAAATCTGTAGACCAGGCATTGGTGGTGCTGTGAAGAAGGATAATGTGAAATATGAGAAAACCAACCCTAAAGATTTGGCAAGAACATTTTATTTTATACAAACTATTTTGGATTAACCTTTAAGTATGTCAAGATGAGTGCTAAGAGTTCCAGCTTCTAGTGTCTTGTCAGTGGCCACAAACTGTACAAAAATTTGTATTGTAGAGTCCTTATCCACAAGACCCAGAAAATGTTTGGTTGTAAGAGTCAAGAAAGATGGCAAAAGATAGAGGAAAAATATATTCAAAAATATATGTGTATTTAACTTTACACCCATTTATCAACTCTTTCTCAATTCCATTATACTCTTGAATCCAGTTCTTACCATTTTCCTTTTCTGCCTCTAGCAGATAATTAATCTCCTTAATGCAGGCCTGTATATAGCACAATTTCTAGTGGTCTGTGATATTTTATATTTTAATTCCACGTGTCTTTGTTCTGACCCATGACATAAGAACAAGATTTTGATACAATGTTGACATAGATTTCTTTTTATTGATAGAACTCTTACATTGTTAAACTCACCACTGAACCAATCTGTATATAGATTATTTTTAATAGAATTGACGAATGTCTTTCATTTTATAGTTATTTCACTGTCACACAGCCTATTAGTGTACCATCTTTTTCCTCCCTATCGTAGTACGGTATTACAGATCAAATCCTATCACAACAAGCATTACTATTTCTAACACTAAGGCTGGGGCTCACTTAATAGGAGGGATATTTGATATAACCACACTACAACACAACTATAAAACTTAGGTGGTCCTTTGGAATTGATCTTATTGGGATTTGATCTGTGAACAGATATCCTACTTCTAATAACAATGTTTATTTAAGCTTTAAAATTGCTCATCACAGTGCGTGTCGAGGCATTACAGACCAAGTAGGGGAAACTCATTTGCAGCCATTGCACTACTTGGCATTTGAAAATCATCATGAATATTTCCTTTGGAGATCTTGGCTTTTAATCCCAGATTGGTTAATGGGTTGGTATTTATATCCTCTTCTTTGCTTGAGATCTTTGGGAGAATGGGTCTTCATTTTTTAGTACCACATACAAAAGAAAACAAGGTGTCCTCAGTGAGATGGAGGGGGAGAAGATGATACAGCACTAGGGAAGAATGGGCTGATAGAATATTGGTGGTGTTGAATAGTAGACACCGTTTTGCAGAATTATACTAAAGAATCATTAGCTTGCGGACTGAACATGATAATAATATGCTGTCCTCCAGAGTGGCTTAAAAACAAATGCAGCCTTTGCATAATATAAAATGCATTTCACTTCATTTTCAGGCCTGATTGTGCTCATATAGTTTGTTGCTCTTCATCTTTAGTAATCACACTTCTGTTCTTTCAGCATTTGTCTTGATGATAAGGACCTATTCATGTCAGATGTAAACCCCCTCTTTTGAAGATAAGCCACTCATAAATTTCATACATTTGATTATGGTGATTACTTACCTGCTTTTGCCCAACATTACAGACTACCTATTATATCAACCCTGTAGCCTAATAAAAAAACTTCTGAAAGAAAGTTAACAGGTACTTAGGTTGGATCTGCCTTAATTGTTATAGTGAGTGTTACAATAATGATCACTGGAAGGTGTTGGCTCTATGTTTTAAGAAAGGGATTCCTGTGATCTTGGCATGGCCTAAAGTCACAAAATAAAAATGGGTACCTTCAATTTCACTTTAAGATATGTGTGTTTATGTGCAGGGTGTATAGTGGTCAGATAAGTAATTTTTTCTTAGTGGATTCTTTTTTTGAACTTTATATTATGGAAAATTTTAAACACATACAAAAGTAGAGATAATTGTGTAATGTGCTTATTAGCTGATGAAGAGTTTGGTTTTTTCCATATCTCATACAGTTAGGAACTTTTTTGAAGCAATTCCTAGCATCATTTTATTTCATCCCTACATATTTAAGTAAATATTTTTAAAAGATAAGAGTTCTACATGAATGTTCGTATCAGTTTTATTTATAATAGCTCAAAATGGAAAAAAACCCAGGTGTCTTCAGTGGGTAGATGGTTAAACAGAGAGTAGCATACCATTACCATGGAATACTACTTAGCAATAAAAAGGGACCAATTATTGATATACTCAGCAACCCGGATGAATCTTCAAAGAATTATGCTGAGTGCAAAAAGGCAATCCCAGAAGTTGCAGAGTGTTTGATTCCATTTCTATAACATTTTTGAAATGACAAAATCATGGACTGAAGAACAGATCTGTGGTTGCCAGGTGATAGGGAGTGTGAATGGGAGGGAAATGGCTGTGGCTATTAAAGGCAACGTGAGGGAACCTTATGGCAGTGGAAATGTTCTGGATCTTCACTGAATCAGCGTCAGTATCTTGTTTGTGATATTGTACTATAGTCTTGCAAGATGTTACCATTGGGGGAAACTGGATAAAGGATATGAGATATCCTTTTGTGTCATTTTTTTAAATTTTTATGTTTAAAGTAGAGATGGGGGTCTTACTATGTTCCCCAGGCTGCTCTTGAACTTCTGGCCTCAAGTGATCCTCCTGCCTTGGCCTTTCAAAGTGATGGGATTACAGGCATGAATCACTGCACCTGACCTCTTTGTATAATTTCTTACAACTAAACATGAATCTACAACTATCTCAAAATAGTTAATTAAAAAAGGTAAGGACTCAAAAAAAACATAACCACAATTCTATTATCACAGATAAAATTATTAATAATTTCTTAATATCATTAAATAAGCAATTAATGTTTAAATTTCCCAAGTTCTTTTTTTATAGTTTGTTTATATCAGGATCCAAAATAAGGTTTACACATTAAAATAGTTAACATATCTTAAGACTTTTGGAATCTTACAGATTCTCATTCCTCCATCTCTTTTTTTTTCCTGGTAATTTTTTGTTGAAGAAACAGGTTGTTTGTTCTGTAGTGTTTTGCAGTCTTGATTTTTTTTTTCTAATTGTATTTCTGTGGTGTTTACTATGTTCCTCCCTGTGTTTTTTTATAAACTGGTAGTTAGATCTTGAGGCTTGATCAAATTCAGGCTCGATTTTTTGGCAAGAATACTTCATGGTTGCTTCTGGGTATGCCGTCGGGGGGACATTATGTCTGGTTATCCCTCTTTTTTGTGATGTTAGCAGCCATTGATGATTATTGCCTAGACCCATTAATTCATTAGTGATTGCAAGATGGTGATGTTCTAATTCTATCATTCATTATTTATTAGTTGGACTACTTCTATAATGACAAAGTTTCTCTCTCCATCTTACTTACCTGAGGTATGCTTTGATTAGGAAGGGCAGGATAAATGCTTGATTCTTTCCCTTTGTGAGCTAGCTTTCAAGATAATGAGTTGGTTCTCTAGTATCCTCCAAAGGTAACCAAGAACCTTAAAAAATATGTCTTTATGGACTCATAAATGTTTTGTATGTGTCCGTTCATAGTAGTGGTTATCTTTATTGATGTTCAGTTTACCTCATCTTTAGCCAGTGGAAGTCTGGCCAAAGACATTGGCTCCTGAGTCATTTTGATACAACCCATGTGGCTTTGATGGCTTCCTTGTTTAGTGGTATGACAAGTGGTTGCACATGCATGTTGTGCAATTCCTGCCCAGACTTGTTGGAGTCAGCCAAGGAGAACTGGTTCCTTTGGGAAATGGTAGTGCCTTTATCTAGGTGTTGGAGCCAGAGAGAGTGGATTTGACTTTGTATGCCACCACTTACTAGCTGCATGATCTTGGTTAAATTACAAAGATTCTGTGTCTTAGTTTGATTTTCCATTAGAGGTTACAGTAGCATCTACACAGAGCGAATGGGAAGACTAAATGAATCAATATATGTAAAATACGTTGTACATTGCCTAGCACATAATATGTAGTAAATATATTATGTAATTATTGTAATCATAATCATTATTATTTTTTCCAGGTAAACATAGTTATTTCAGTGATTTTCTCAGCCATTGAAGATTAAGCTATGCCAAATTTAGGATCCCCCCTTCCCACCCTGGAATTTATACTAAACTTCTGGACCCTAACCGATAATATCTACCCCAGGGGCTCTGTTTCAGGTCTGTGCTGCCTCTTTCTCCTCATCTCTGTCACCCTCGCTGTCTCTCTCATCAAACCTTTGCTTTCTAGGACCACATCCTGACTTTTGTGGGCCTTAGATACATTTACCTTAACGGACTCCTTTCTCCATAAAAAGGTATTAAAATTATATTTTATAGCTGCATTATTAGAGAGATGACTGTATTCATACTATATATTAAAATACTTTCTTTGACCTACAAGTTTATTATTTTATTTTTTAAAAAGCAATTAAAATATTTTCATGGATTCCTAAAGGTATTGTAGACCCCAGGCACCATGCCTACTCTGTCTAATGAATAAGTCAGCCCTACTACACCTCACTCTTTTCTGCTACCGCAACAGGGCTGCAGAAACATCAGGTGGCTGTCTGCAGTCCTTCTATGCTCAGAAAAGTCTGGCTGCCCCTCCTGTTTTACAGCTGCCTAAATATAATGATGATGATGGAAGGGACTTTTCTTCATGAAACCTACTGTGTACTAGAACCATATCCTCTCTATTCTCAAATTTCCAAACCACAAGAGATTCTATTGTGTTGTGTTATTTTGTACGCATGTATATGCACACACATGAGCACGTACACATACACATGCCCCTCTTGGGAAATGGCTTTTCAAAATTGCCTCTCTCTAAGCCCCTGCTTTCCTTCCCAGCTCTGAGGAGAGAGAGTTGTATATGAAACTCAATCTGTATCTTATCTCCTTTTAAATATATTCTTTCTAACACTTGAACTATGTGCTTAAATTTGGAAACCAAAACTTTGGAGGTTCTTTATTTTCTGATTCCATATGTCTGGGAAAGGAAAGTACAAGTGAATGAATGGGGTTGGAGGGATAAAAGTGGGAAGAAACTCGTTGATTATTTTCCTCATTTCGTCCTACCATGCAAGTATTTAATACTATATAAGAGTAAGTTTAAATGTTTGTACAGAGTGGAATAGGAGAAGCCTGTGCAGCACACATTTTGCATATCCCAAATACCACTGAGTTCCTTTTGAAGACTTCGGAATGCCTAAAACATGCAAAAACATGACAATTAATTTTAGTGGGTTTCATTATGTTTCCATGATAAATTTCTCAGGGTAAAAAAAAAATAAAAACACAACAAAAAAAACATACTCCTTAGGTACCTTTTGGTGAATAGATTGCTTTTGACTCTCAGTGATGCAGGAAGTCACTGGTTAAGGATTCTTAAATAATGAAGCTTGATATGTTGCCTGGTGATTTATAATGATGGCTGATAAACTGATGATTTAATTGTGCTTCCTCTAGTAATAATCTTAAGTGCTCAAGTGAAGTTCCAGTGATTGGCTTTCTTCTGAACTCAGTCTCCCTGGAGTCTTTAGGCATCTCTTTTACACAACATCCGATAACTGACTTTTAACTGTTTCTATTTTAAATAATACAAATCAATTAAAACACACAGCTGTTTAACAAAACTTCTCAGTGTTGGTATAGGTCTCAGTGGGTATTTCCTGATGGCTGATAATGACATCAATTTAGTGCACCTGGTAGTATCTGTGTGAACTGGAAGTGGTTTAATTCTTAAATGACGAGAAAATTAAGAAGGCTTTATGGATTGCTGCTGCTGCTGCTTCAGAATCACTGCCAGCTTCCTTTGCAGGCTTCCTTCATGGTGGAGCTTTATTTAAATGGGACTACAGATATCATGTGATTGTTTTCTCTGTAATTCACTGCTAATTTATTGAATCTGAGTTTCTAAGTATTAGCTGTGGGTATTAATAAGTCATTTAGGGGGCAGGTTTATGGCAGCACAATAAATGTATCTACCTTGCAGGCTTTTTGTAGAAACGTTCCTATGTTTTAGCAGTATTCAGTGATTCTGCCACACTTTATTGTCTCAGGAGTGTGAGATATACTCTGTTTGTTATATCCTTACTTTGGTATCTTCGAGTAATAATGACAGTTCTGTTTGTCTCTGTCTCTACTAGCAATTATTTTTAGATTATCAGTCTGTACATGCATTGTGACTTTTAATGTTTATTAAATGTTGATGCTATGGGTACCATACATGGTCAGGGTACTTTCCATATTCATTTTTTTTTTTTTTTTTTTCAGACAGAGTCTTGCTCTGTCACCCAGGCTGGAGTGCAGTGACATGATCTCGGCTCACTGCAACCCTCGCCTCCCAGGTCAAGTGATTCTTATGCCTCAGCTTCCCAAGTAGCTGCGATTATAGTCATGCGCCACCATGCGTGTATTTTTAGTAGAGAAAAGGTTTCTCCCCATTAGCTTGGCTGGTCTTGAATTCTTGACCTTGAGTGATCCGCCAGCCTTGGCCTCCCAAAGTGCTGGGATTACAGGCGTGAGCCACCGCGCCCAGCCAATATTCGTTTTTTTATCCATTCGGAAATGTTTACTGTCATTCATACTCCATTGTGCTTTTCCTGTTTGGGGAAACAAAAGCACATTTTAATGAATTCTGTTTGTTCCTTAGACTTCCCCTACATTAAGAAATATATGAAGAATGGCCAGGCATGGTGGCTCATAACTGCAATCACAGCTACTCAGGAGGCCGAGGTGGGAGGATTGCTTGAGCCTAGGAGTTTGAGGCTAGCCTAGGTAACATAACAAGACCCCATCTCTTAAAAAAAAATGGTTATTTGGGTGTAACTGATTTTTACCAGAAGTCTCCAGAAATCTCACCTTTAAAAAAAAGGCATATGGGCCAGGCATGGTGGCTTACACCTGTAATTGTAATCCCAGCACTTTAGGAGGCCAAGGCAGGTAGATCACTTGAGGTCAGGAGTTCGAGACCAGCCTGGCTAACATGGGGAAACCCTGTCTCTACTAAAAATACAAAAATTAGCCAGGTGTGGTGGTGGGCACCTGTAATCTCAGCTACTTGGGAGGGTGAGGCAGGAGAATCACTTGAACTGTCGGGAAGCAGAGGTTGCAGTGAGCAGAGATCATGCCACTGCACTCCAGCTTGGCAGCCTGGGCAACAGAGTGAGACTGTCTACAAAAAAAAAAAAAAAAGCATATGAAACTTCTTTCTCACTATCTTTCACTAAGTAATTTATTTTCTTTCTTTTTTTTGAAACTGTGTTTCGCTCTTGTTGCCCAGGCTGGAGTGCAGTGGCGCGATCTCTGACCTCTGCTCACTGCAATCTCTGCTTCCCGGGGGTTCAAGTGATTCTCCTGCCTCAGCCTCCCAAGTAGCTGAGATTGCAGGCGCCCGCCACCACGCCTGGCTAATTTTTGTATTTTTAGTAGAGACGGGGTTTCACCATGTTGATCAGGCTGGTCTCGAACTCCTGACTTCAGGTGATCCACCCACCTCGGCCTCCCAAAGTGCTGGGATTACAGGCATGAGCCACCACACCTGGCCAATGACTTATTTTTCTTAAAACTTTTTTGGCTTTACACCTTGGAGTGTTTGTGGAAAGTCCTAAATGCATATTGAATGCTATTTAGGCATTGGTATAACAGTGCTTTCTCATCCAGCTTTTACTTTCTAAAATTTTCTGACCACTAACCGCTCATTAAGTGTTTAATCTAAATAAAATGGGAGTTGATTTATTATTGGATTCCTATTGTATTGATTTCTAAGATGTTTTATCCCATTTTAATGGGAGCTTAAGATATATAGCTAAACAGGATATATTTCTTATAAATAACCAGGATGCTGGATTTGGGTCTTATTACTTCTTTAAGTTGAAGTTTATTTCACTACATAATAAAAACAAGAGGCTGGTTAATGTTCTTTGTTATGTGTACATCTGGTTGAGCAGAATATTGCTTAGCTTTTTACCATCAAAGTTACACTTTTGACTCAGCACATGCTTTGAATGTATACAAAGGCCTTCTTTTAAAGAATCTCCCAGCATTTCATTGATCCCTGGAATTACTATTTCTTGAAAAGGAACAGCTTATCAATACAAAAATAAAATACCATTTAAAATATTGAATAATTAATTTTAATATTATTCATCTTAGCACGTTTCATTTTGATAATTACCTACCATCAATTATTATTTTTTAATAAACATCTTAGTCCCCAAACTTCAAGTCTGAGGAATATTTATATTCTTATTTCCAGTTTTTGAGAAAGAGGTTAATGGCGGGTACACAATAAAGCAACAGCTTGGAGCAGGTGGAGAAGCCTGGGGGCTGGGGGTGAGGACCAGAGGCAGGCAGAGGACCTGGAGGGGAAATGGAACACAGGCTCTGCTGCTACACTTACCCGTGTATGTTTTGAGTCCTTAGTAAGGAGTATATGCTACCTCAGAAAGATGCTATTTGTTTTATCTTTTTTTTTTGTACAATAGTTGCTGTATACACATAATTCCACCATGCAGTTATTGCACATTATTTTCTTCCCACTTTCTACTCCCTTCAACTTCTCTTCTCACTTGTCATTTTCTCTGGTTCTCTCCCATGTCAGCTGCAAAATTCTCCATATTACATTTGCAGCCTGTATTTTTTAGTTAAAAAGTTGGTCAATAAATAGAGATAATACCAAAGTATATAAAGTAGTTGTGCCAGTTACATTTTTTTGTAAGCTGATGTTATTTTTTTCAGTATATTAATGCAGTGTTACTTCCCTTAGTCCAATCTGAATTCCAAAACTATTTCAAGTGGTTTGTATACATACATTCTCATATGCTAATAATACATACATATACTATAACCATCAAAGCAAGTGAATAATAACTAAATGGTGGATGGGAAAAGGCAGTTTTAATAGAAAACATAAACTAAGGAAAGATTTTGAGCTTTCTAAAATAACAAATAACAAGGGAGAGCCAATTAAATACATTGCTTTCATTCTGTTACAGAAGGAAACAGACAAGATTATCAGGAGAGACAGACTTTTTCTTGTATTAAATTCTAGATCGATCATTTCACAACTATGGAAAAATAGTCTTCTTTATAGATACCACTTAAACCAATTCCAAGAGATGGGGAGGGGTGATGCTCAGTTGTAGTTGTGTGAGAGTGTTACACTAATGTACTCTGTGTGTGTAGGTTTACACTGTTAAAGTCTTTACTGGCAGCTTACTGTTCAAATTCAGCCTACAGATGCTATTTTAAGTGTTTTGAAATGTTTTTTAACTTTGTTTTTGTTTTTTGTTTTTTTTGGAGATAGGGTCTCACTCTGTTGTGGAGACTGGAGTGCAGTGGCACAATCTCGGCTGACTGTAACCTCCGCCTTCTGGGCTCAAGCGATTCTCCTGCCTCAGCCTCTCAGGTAGCTGGGATTACAGGCATGCACCACTACAACCCAGCTAATTTTTGTGTTTTTAGTAGAGATGGGGTTTCACCATGTTGGCCAGGCTGGTCTTGAACTCCTGACCTCAAATGTTCCATCTGCCTTGGCCTCCCAAAGTGCTGGGATTACAGGCATGAGCCACTGCACCTGGCCGTTTTTAATTTGAATAACTTTAGACTGGATACTTGCTCCATAGTTAATCATGGGCACCTCCTCTCCCTATTTCCTCCTACTGTCTATTTCACTTATTTACTTTGCCTGCCTGTCTTCAAAAAGCATTTGAGTTTGCCTATTCTTGCAAGATGCAAAGAAAGAGCCTAGAGATTCTGTATGGATCTGAGCATCTCAGTACATATTTTGCGCTGTCTTCAAATAAAAGTGGTATGATCTGGGCTTAAAATTCTTTATAATCATTTTTTCTGATTGAAAAAATAATATATACTGAAAATTTTAAATAAAATACAAAATATCATAAAGAAGAATTATTCATAATCCCAAATGTTAAAAGTTACCACTGTTAACCTTTCAGTGCATAGCTTTCCAGAAGTTTATATATAGCTTTATCTATAATGTATATTCATATATATTATATATAAAAATACACATGCAAATGAATCATACTATGCACCCTTTTATTTTGAAATTTACATCACAGACATTTTTGCATCCCAATATTTAAATACATCTTCATTTTCCCTTTAATAGTTGTGTAGAATTCCGACCAGGCATGGTGGCTTATGCCTGTAATCCTAGCACTTTGGGAGGCCGAGGTGGGCGGATCACGAGGTCAAGAGATCGAGACCATCCTGGCAAACATGGTGAAACCCTGTCTCTACTAAAAATACAAAAATTAGCTGGGTGTGGTGGCGGGCGCCTGTAGTGCCAGCTACTTAGGAGGCTGAGGCAGGAGAATGGTGTGAACCCAGGAGGAGGCAGAGCTTGCAGTGAGCCGAGATCACACCACTGCACTCCAGCCTGGGCAACAGAGTGAGACTCCATCTCAAAAAAAAAAAAAAAAAAAAAAAAAAAAAAATGGGGAGAATTCCATTGTAAGGTAAGGTCGTAATTGTTTTAACCAATTTTATGTTGTGAACACTGAGTTTTTTAAAAATGTGCATTATAAACAAATTTCTAAGTGAACATCCTTGTATATATAATTGATGCAATTGTCAAATATTATTTGGAATAAATTCTTAGAAGTGGAATTGGTGAGTCAATGAATATTCACATTTTAAAGGTTTTGTTAGATATTCCCATATCAATCTCAGAAAAGATGTACTAATTCTAAGATGCCAGCAGTGTCTTAGAGTACTCATTTCTCAAAGTGCTCACTGATACTGATCATAATCATTCTTCTTAATGTGTTACAGTCTGATGTCAACCAGTCTTTTGATTGGAGTCACGTATCAATCAACTTAACACTGAAGTTACTGATAAATAGCTGAAATGTAGGTTTTTCTTGCAATTGATTGGCACATACATTTTAGACACTGGAGTAGTGGACCTACTGTCAGAATTAAAGGGTCTGATTTATATTCTTGCCAAAGCTGAACATTGTTTCTGCTGTCCAGAGTTGGTCTGTGGGAGTACCTGCCAGCAGGGCTGGGCTTTTCTTTGTAAAATTCATTATATTTGCATAAATGGTTGAGCAGAACTCCATGGAAGCCCTTAAGGTCTGCTCTTTTAAGCACGGAAATACTACTTCACACATATTCTTTCACTTAGTCTTTGAACACCGTTATGAGGTTGATACTATTCTCCACACTTTAGAGAAGGGGAAACTGAGACACAAAAAGATTAAGTAACATGTTGGAGGTCAGACATCTAAGTAAGAGAACTGGAATTAGAACTCAGATGCCATACTAGGGAGCTCACGTCTTTAACCATTATGTTTTACCTTCTCCCACAATAACAATCTTATTCTCAAAACGGTATTGTATTATTATTTTAAAGCAGAACTGATGAAGTTTTAGGTCATGAACCCCTTTTGAGAATATCAGGAAAGCTCTGGACTCTTTCCCCAGACACACAAACTATTGCAGCCCTAATCAGGAGTCCCCTAGGACTCGTCAGGACATCCAAATCCTTGGAACTTGTAATAGCTGTAGTGGATTAAAACTCAACTTCCAATCTGCCCTTCTTCTCTCATGCCCTTCCTGTACAGCAGACACTGGAAAGCTAATACACAGTTCTCACACGTCTCAAATAGGGGCCTGAATTTGGTTCAGGAATATCATAGTAGATGCATTTGTGCAGGATTTGGAAGGCAGAAGCATGTGGAAACTGCTCTTGTCAGAAGCATTTCTGGCATGGAGGTTGTCTACGTGACCTTCACAGAGGCTTCACTGTCCAGAGGACGGGGCATCCATTTTGCTGGTGGGAGTTGTAGCAGGTGTGCTGTGGCTCTGGAGGTGGCCACATACGGTCAGGTTTTTGTTCACTGGAGTGGGGATGTGATTCTAGAATGACAGATTCCTGACCTGAGAAGAGGCGGTAGGTTGGATGGTGTTCAGTTCTGCAGGATTGCTTCAGGAATTTTTCCTGGAAAGTCATCTAGAATTTGTTTATTCAGTCCTCTCTCCCTATTCAACTAGCCAGAGAGCTTCAAGTAGAGAATAGATTCTGGTTTTTGCAACTGAACATTGACTGATACCATATTATATAGCTTGACCCAAAGAGAGTTTCTTCAACAGGTTAGGGGTTGGGCTCTGGAGTCAGAAACACTTGGGTTCTTACTCAGGTTCTTCTACTTATTAGCAGTGTGACCGAGGACAGTTATTAGGCGTTTCACCTTCCTCATCTGCAAAATAGGAAATTATTTCTACATAAGGAATATTATGAGGATGATTCCAGTGGGTTGTTATGAGAATTATGTGAGTTAGTGCATGTTATTTGCTTAGCATTGTGGGGCACATAGTTGATACTATGAATATTTATTATCATTAATCCATAAATATCATGGAAAGGAAAAGCAGTGGACACAATTTCTATTCTATATAAAATAAAGCACTGCTGGTCAATAGAATTGTTGAGCTTCAGGTTTCCTACAGCTGTGCATTCACAGGCCAAGGCTTACAGCTTATTGAGGAGAAAGCTGACATAGTATACTTAGTACATTTACTTACCTACATAATGAATTGTGTCATTTTCATTCAAAAGAAGACTTAAAAAACTGAATTCTCTGGTAGTAAAATTTCTTTCTCAGGAGAGACCTTCAGCTTTAGATGATTAGTTGGATATGCTGTTTACTATGAGGTGGGGTTGGCAGATCACAATAGGTATGTCCCAAGGCTACAATGGCAGCAGAATAGCCCATCTGGGCCTCAGTGAGAATCTGCCTCCATAGTGCTTCTCCCCCAACCGTGCCATTAGCAGTTGCATTCTACAATCTAAAGTTGTTATTGGGCCTGTACCTAAACCTACAGCTTCCCATTGAAATACAGATGTATCTTAGTATGTCCTACAGTTCATCTAGAATTGGATAGTGTCAGTATTGTACTCAATTTTTTAAACCACTTGTTGGTGAAAGGAGTTAAATTGAATACATGTCTAAGTAGCTTCCTCTCATCAATAGGCTCATTTTCTGACAGATTTTCTCTCCTATCTCCATCCCTAGCCCTATTCAAATCATCTTTAATAACTGAGATTGCAGTGATCTGTCCTTCACAGCCTCACACGGCAGTTTGGGTTTTTCAAATTTAAACTTGTTCGTATACAGCTAGGGTAAAACCTCTACTGGAGGATAGTCAGAACAAGGCAAAGCCTTAGACTGTAGAAGGTCGCATATGGTAATCCATGTAGAGGTTTTTACAGCTTTCCCTCCCCTACCTCTACTTAAAGGTCTTCATGCGATCAAATTAATTGTAAGCAGCTGTTAAAGGATTGCAAGCAACTGTTAAAGGAGAAAATAAGTTTAAGGGTGAGTTCTATAAAATAATCACTTTTGATTCGCCAAAGTCTATCTCATTGGTAGAAATAAACAGCAAAATCAAATTATTTTTTACATAAAAAAATTAATTTCAATTTCTTCACAAGCATGTTTGACATCAGTTCCTTTATCGGATGATAAAGAATAGAAAGGCTAAATGATCAACAGTGATAGTTTCTTGGATATGCAAATGACAGTTCTCCTTGGACTTTGCTTTAGGAGAATTAAGTCGTAACTTTACACAAGTTTGGTGAAATGTTTTCCCTATTTATCAAGGCTGTCCCCACAGCTGTGGACCATGGGGGAACAAATTGTCTCACAATAGGTCTTTCTTCTGTTGATGAAGCTTTAATAAAATCATCATTTCTTGTACTCCTGTCTCAAGAAATTATTGTGTCAACTAACTTGCGTTTCATACTGGGTTCAGGAAAGCCCCATATGTGAGTGGAGACACATTGGAACTATTATTTGTGTGTGTTAGGGTGTGTGTGTGGGGAAAGGGACACATTTGGAAGAAGCCAAGTAAAATAGGTGGGTCTTTGGAGCCCTCTACCTTACTTCAATCAGAGTACCTCCATTTTCTTCTGTTTTATGGTATCTTAAGAGGTCTTATTTGCAGAAAGTGTTCTGCTGCTTTAAAATGTTTGTAAATGGCTAAGCTAGAGGGCACATCGCCTAGATGTTATTTGAAAGATTGTCAAGTTAAAGGCAGGCAGCTGACACTGACTTGGGTTTGGACAAAGGGAATTTTAGTATTAAGATATGAACTTAAATATTCCGGATTCAACAGGTCTATATTTTAAGAGAGTTATCGGGAATATGTAAGTCCATTTTGTTTCTTAAAAGTTGCTCAGAAAAAAAAAGTCTTTTGATCTTAACTGAGATCAGTGTGGCCAGGCCTACCTTTTCATCTGCTAAAATTATTTTGTTGAGTGATTGAATAAAAACAGTGCTTAGATCCCACAGCCTTGGATATTGGATAGTATGGATTTCATTCTTTCACAAGGAGGCAGTTTCTAACCTCTAAAAGTAGGGCCCAAAAAGAAGGTGATCAGGGCTTTTGAATTTAGTTCTTTTTCCTGGCATTTTATAGGAGACAGGCTTTTGGCCCTGTAGGTATGCTCTGGAACTCCCTTGGAATCAGAAAATGTAGCCAGTTAACTTGGAAACTAAGGAGCTTAAGTTTCCATCGCTGCCAATAGTGACTCCCTTGCTTCTGGGTTATTAAGCTAACCTAGCTAACTTGTACCTTTGATAAAGATGGCCAAACTGCACATGTACCAAAGTGGCTCAGGGAAGTCACCCAGGTCACCCCATCTTCCTTGCTTATTCACAGTCTGCTTTCACTCTTGTCTCATTGTTGCCTGGCTTCAAACACTTCAAGCACTTTGCTTTGTAACCTAGTGTTGACCCTGCTGGTCCCATGAACTTGGTATTTGAGAGTAGACTTCTTGATGCACAAGCCTGAGCTCTCTCTTGCCAACATTTGCTTTGATATTGGTTCCCTATGTTACTTGAAAAAAATTCCTCCTGTCTTTTTCTGGCTTGCAAACAATACTCTATCCCCAGACTTGGCAGGACCTCTCTAATCATACCAAACTCTTTTTAGCCAGAATTGGACAGAGACTAAAGAAATCTGAAGTATAGCATAACCAACCAGTCACTGAGATGGGAGGTTTTCTAAACCAGTCAAAAGACACTGGTGACTGTCTGGGTGATGGTTTGCAAATCTTAAGGGAGCAAAGTTTAGGTCATTGAGGGTCAGCCCAGAGGAGATCTTGGAGGGGTTTGTATGGGAAGGCAAAGACTATGTTTATCACGAGTTTACGTGTGCTCCCATTCCTTCCTCCTCTCAGTTGTTGGCAACCACTAATTTAACTTTTTTCTCTATAGAGTTGCTTATTCTGGAGATTTTATATCAATGAAATCAAACAATATGTGGCCTTTTGCTTATAGCTTCTTTCATTTGGCATGTTTTCAAGGTTCACCCATGTTGTAACACATATAAGTACTTTATTCCTTTTGACAGCTGAGTAACATTCCATTATAATAGATATATGACATTTTGTTTATCCATTCATCAGTTGATGAACATTTTGGTTGTTTCTACTTTGTGACTGTTATGAACAATGCTACTATGAAGATTTGTGTACAAGTTTTTATATGAATATGTTTTCAGTTTTCTTGTGTATATAACCTAGCAGTAGAATTTCTGGGTCATGTAGTAACACTATGATTTAATTTCAAGTAACTACCAAACTAAGTTTTACAGAGGCATCACCATTTTATATTCCCACCAGGAATGTATGAGGGTTACAGTTTCTCCCCATCTTTGCCAATTCTGGTCCACTTGGCATTATCTTTCTTTTAAATTACAGCTATTCCACTGGGTGTGAAGTATCCAATTGTGGTTTTGATTTGCACTTAGCTAATGTCTAATGATGTTGAGTATTTTTTCATGTGCTTATCAGCCATTTGTATTTCTTCTTTGGAGAAATGTATACTCAAATCCTTTGTGCACTTTAAAATTAGTTTTTTTTCATTGTCGAGTGATGAGAGTTTTAAAGTATATTTTGAATACTAGACCCTTATTGACTATATGATTTGCAAATTTTCTCCCATTCCATTGGTTGTCTTTTCCCTCTCTTGATAGCGTTCTTTGGCTCACAAAAGTTTTTTATGTAGGTAAAGTCCAATTTATCTATTTTTTTATTAGATTTATTTCGCCTTAGGTATTATATCTACAAAACTGTTACGTATCCTAAGGGCACAAAGATTAAACCCTATGTGGTCTTCTAAGAGTTTTATGGTTTTAGCTTTTACATTTAGGTCTTTCATCTATTTTAACTTATTTTTGTATGTAGCAATGAGGTAGGGGTGCAAATTCATTCTTTTGCATGTACTAATAAATATCCAGTAGTCTCTGAACCATTATTTGTAAAGACTATTCTTTTCCCACTTAATTATCTTGGCACCCTTGTCAAAAATCAATTTACCATAGATGTATGCATTTATTTCTGGACGCCAAATTCTATTCCACTGTTTCATATGCCTATCCTTTGTCAGCGTCACACTGTCTTGTTTACTGTGGCTTTATAACAGTCATTTTTTGAAATTGGGAAACGTAAGCCCACCAACTTTGTTCTTCTTTTTGAAGATTGTTTTCGCTAGCTTTGGTTCTATGCATTTCCATATGAATCTTAGCATCAGTTTCTCAATTTCTGCGAAAATGTCAGTTGGAATTTTGATATGGATTGCACTGGAGCTATACTTCAATTTGAGGAGAATTGCCATCTTAACAAGATTCTATCTTCCAATTCATCAATACGGAATGTCTTTCCATTTACTTAGCTCCTCTCAATTTCTTTCAACACTGTTGTATAGATTTTCAGGTGACAAGTCTTGAATTTTTTCATTAAATTTATTCCTACATATTTTGTTCTTTTTGATGCTGTTGTGAATGAAATTGTTTTCTTAATTTCATTTTCATATTGTTCTCTGCTAGTGTAGAAATACAACTGATTTTTTGTGTGTATTTTTTTGTATCCTGTAACCTTGCTGAACTCTTTTATTAGGTCTAATAGTTTTTTGTGGATTTATTAAGATTTTCTATATAAAAGATCATGTCATTATGGCATGTCTTGATTTTTGATGACAGAGAGAATACAGGTAATAGCATGTTGTCTGAAAAAGAAATTGTTCAAGAACTAAAATTCTCTAACCCTAACCAGCTTATCTATCTATCTATCTATCTGTCTATCTACCTACCTACCTACCTACCTACCTACCTACCTACCTACCTGCCTATCTACCTATCTGTCTGTCTGTCTGTCTTTCTTGGGAATATGACCTGTGCCTGTGTCCATCCTTTGGTATTTGGATGTGGCATGAATCCTATTTACATTACTTCCCATTGTCCTCTCAGTCGTTTTCTTCCCACCCACCTTCTCCAATGGTTAATTGCATCCTTCTCTGATTATACCTTACCTCTCTGTCCCATTATTTTCTTTCTTTCTTTCTTTCTATCTATCTATCTATCTATCTATCTATCTATCTATCTATCTATCTATCTATCTCTATAGATAAAATGATTTGTTCAACCAAACTAAGTTCTTTTTACTGTATCACATTCAGCAGTTCAGGTGACTTACCTCAGCTGAGTTTCAGTACCCTGAGAACTCTTTTTGCAAAGGACTGGAGTTTAGTAAGAAGTCCATTTCTTGATCTATGATGTTTTCCTCAATTCCTGGCTAATGCCTGGTATTGTGTGCCCTGTTCATGGAAAAATAGAACTCCTCACATACTTTAGAGTGAAATATGAGGGAAATTGAGAAGCATAGGAGGATTGGGCCTGGGGAAGGTTGACTAAGGGGATTTAGCTGGTAATGCAGAGTATTTTCCTTGAGATTTTCATTTAATTCACTTGCTTAATTGTAGGTTTTTGTGGAAATTTACTTTTTAGACATTCTTACTAAATAATATTAGACTACATAAAGAGGGAGTGGTATAAAAAATTTACCTTTGCTCAAGTGAGGTAGAAGGTGAGCAAAAGAAACCAGATTTGCATTTAATAAACAAAATAGAATGCTAAGTCGCCCAGGCTGGAGTACGGTGACAGGATCGTGGCTCACTGAAGCCTCCACTTCCTGGGTTCAACTAATTCTTGTGCCTCCACCACCCAACATGGTAGGTAGTTGGGATTACAGGTGTGCACCACCATGCCTGGCTAATTTTTGTATTTTTAATAGAGAGATGGGGTTTTGCTAGTCAGGCTGGTCTTGAACTCCTGGGCTCAAGTGATCTGCCTGTCCCAGCCTCCCAAAGTGCTGGGATTACAGGTGTGAGGCACCAAGGCAGCCAAGGATGTGCACTATCTACATGTTTTCTGTAGTTTTAGCCTTAACTGTAAACTCAGCCCCCAAAAACAGAGATTTTACAACCTGAATCTATGGTCTAAGAGGTTATTGCTCTCATTTTGCCACATTCTAAGGACAGGCCACTGTTATTATTTTAACAGAAGAAATTCCCGAAAGGGAACAGTACTTGGGATTGGGGGACTTGCCTGAAACTATTTAATTGCTGTTTTGCTTGACTTTTCACATTGACTCTTCTGAAGACCGAGCATCCTGATTTTTGTCAGTGAAGTATTACCTAATGTTTAGTATGATCATTTACCATTAGCTTCCTAGAAGGAGCATGATATACAGTAAACATTTCCAGGTACAACATTCAGCTTTCACACTGATACATTATATAGCTAATTTTCTCCTAGTTTTTCCTGAAAATGTTCCAGTTAAAAGCAGGCAGCTTCTTCTGATCATTTATCTCAGCCACAGGGAATCTTCAATGCAAAATGCTCATATTTATTTCTTTTTAAAGAGAAACCTGGTGAAAATTTTGAAATTTTAGTAAGAGTAATGAAGGATTTCTGCTGTTATTAAAAGAAAACAAGGTAAGGAATCTTCAAATTAAAACAGTATCACCAGTATTAATTGAGTAAACATTTTCCTGGATACATATTTACTGATTTTTGGTCGATTTTTCTCAAAACATGAAAACTACATTTATTTCTTGGTAGAATTTGTGTGCTTGTGAGAGATTGTCTCAAATTTTCTTTTTAATAAATTTCCCAAGTCTTGACAGCTAACTAGACTTGCGAGTCTTTAGAGATTGTCTCAAATTTTCTTTTTAATAAATTTCCCAAGTCTTGACAGCTAACTAGACTTGCGAGTCTTTAAGATGTATTGAAAGGAGCATAGACTTTACAGCAAGAAAGAGGCAGGATTCAAAGCTGGTTCTCCCCTTGCTATGTCTTGGGGTAAATTACCTAAAAACTATTTTACCTGATATCAATATAAGCATATTAGCTTTCTTTTGGCATTTGTCTGGTAAATCTTTCTCTACCTTTTAACTATTAAACTTGCTCCGGTTTATTCATTTCCTTGCATACAGAACATTATTTTAAAAAATTTACATACAGTAAAGTTTACCTTTTTTGGCAGACAGTTCCATAAGTTTTAGAAAAATGCAGAGATGTGTAACTGACCAAAATCAAGATACAGAGCATTTCCATCCTTCCTCCACCCAAATTCCCTTGTGCAGCCCCTTGTAGCCAACCTTTTCTCCCACCCCAAACCCTTGTTCTCTGTCCCTATTGTTTTACGTTTTTCGGAATGTCATATATGGATTTCTAGGCTTTTGAGTCTGGCTTCTTTCACTTAGCACATATATTTGAGGTTCATTTATGTTTCAGTATATATCAATAGTTTATAACTTTTTATTGCTGAGTAGTATTCCATTGTATGAATGTACAGCATTTGGTTTATCCTTTTACCAGTTGAAAGACCTTTGGGCTGATTCCAGTTTTTGGTGATTAAGAATAAAACTACTAAAAACACTCATTTGTAGGGTTTTTGGTTGACGTAAGTTTTCATTTCTCTTGGATAAATACTTAGGAGTAAGATTTCTGGTCTATATGATAATTTTTTTTTAATGCCAGACTATTTTGCAAAGCATTGGAAGCATTTTATACTCCCACTAGCAATTTCTGGGAATTCTAGTTCCTCCATGTCTTTACCGGCACCTGGTATTGTCAGTTTATTTATTTACTTTAACTATAACAATATATGTGTAGTAGTATCATACTATGGTTTTTGTTTTGCACTTATTTAATGACTAATGATGTTGAATATCTTTTCATATGCTTGTTTACCATTCGTATATTTTCTTTGATGAAGTATCTTTTCAAATCTTTCCCTAACTTCTTTTTTTTTTTTTTTTTTTTTTTTTTTTGAGGGACAGGGTCTGACTCTTTTGTCCAGGCTGGAGTGCAGTGGCACAATCATAGCTTACTGCAGCCTTGAACTCCTGGGCTCAGGAGTGATCCTCCCACCTCAGCCTCCTGAGTGGCTGGGATTATGGATGTGTGCTACCACTCTCAGCTATTTGCCCATTTTAAACATTGGATTTTTTTTAAATTAGATTCTTTTATATTCTTATTGTTGGGTTTTGACAGTTCTTTACGTATTCCAGATATAAGTCCTTTGGCGGATATGTTATGTATAAATACTTTCTCCCAGTGTATGACTTCTTTTTATTCTTTTAACAGTTTTTCACAGAGTGAGAGTTTTTAATTTGTATGAAGTCCAATTTATTTAAAAATACATTATTTATTTATTTATTTATTTATTTATTTATTTATTTATTTTGAGACAGAGTCTCTCTCTGTCACCCAGGCTGGAGTGCAGTGGCGTGATCTCACTGCAACCTCTGCTCCCCGGGCTCAAGCAATTCTCCTGCCTCAGCCTCCCGAGTAGCTGGGACCACAGGCACCTGCCACCATACCTGGCTAATTTTTGCATCTTTAGTAGAGATGGGGTTTCACCATGTTGGCCAGGCTGGTCTTGAACTCCTGACCTCAGATGACCTGCCCACCTCAGCCTCCCAAAGTGCTGGGATTACAGATATGAGCCACCTTGCCCGGCCTAAAAATATATTTTTTAAATCTACTGCACTTTTGGTATTTTATCTAAGAATTGTTTGCCTCGCCCAAGGTCACAAACATTTTTTCCTAGACATTTTATTATTTTTATTTTTAAGCTTATGTCTAGGATTTATTTTGATTTAATTTTTATGTAAGCTGTGAGGTTTATTTTATTATTTTGTATATGAATGTCCAATTGGTGCAGCTCCATTTATTTAAAATACTAAGCTTTCTTGATTCAGTTACCTTTGCACCTTTGTCAAAATCAATTGACCATATTTGAGTGGGTCTATTTCTGGACTCTCTGTTCTGTTTCATTGATCTATTTTTCTGTTCTTCCACCAATACCACATTGCCTTGCTTATTGTAGCTTTATATTAAATCTTGATAAACCCTGTCTCTAAAGAATGAGTCTTCCAACTTTGTTCTTTTTCAAGAAGGAACCTTTAACTTTCTGTGTAAATTTTTGAATCAGCTTCTGAATACCCACGAAAAATACTGCTGAGATTTTAACTGGGATTGTGTTGGATCTGTGGGTTGATTTGGAAAGAATTAACATCTTAATGAGTCTTCTAATGTGTGAATAAGGTATAACTCTCCATTCTTGTATGTCTTCTGTGCTTTCTTTCATTAGTATGTTATTGTTTTAAGCATGCAGATCCTGTATACATTTCCTTAAATTTTTATGTAAATATTTCAATTTGGGATGCTATTATGTTTAATATCTGTTAAATTTTCAAATTCTAGTTGTTTATTGCTCGTATATAGAAATACAATTAATTTTTGTATATTGTCCATAGGTTCTGAGACCTTGCTAAACTCACTTAGTAGTTCTAGGAGCTTTGTTATAGTTTGGGGAGGGGTTTTCTATATTGACAATTGAAGACAGTTTTGCTTCTTCCTTTCTAACCTTTCTCCTTTTTTCTTGCCACATTGCACTGGCTAAGACTTATAGAATGATGTTGAATAGCAATGATATGAGGGCCATGATGGTTAATTTTTTGTGTCAGTTGGCCAGGCTATGGTATCTAGATAGTTGTTCAAACATTATTCTAGCTGTTTCTCTGAAGGTATTTTTAAAATTAGATTAATATTCAGATCAGTAGATTTTGAGTAAAGCATATTGATGGGTGGGTCTCATCTGATCAGCTGAAGGCCTTAACAGAAAAAAAAACTGACCTCCCCTGAGCAAGAAGGAATTCTGCTAGCGTCTTTTGGACTCTTAAAAACAACTCTTCCCCCCTGCAGACTTTTGACTTGCCAGACATCCGCAATCATGTTAGCCAGTTCCTTGAAATAAATCTCTGTCTCTCTCTTTCTTTACCTGTATCTATACAGGGGTGAGCTAAGACTTTTATCTGTACACAGAATTGAGGGATCCATTACTCCAGCTATGTGCTCTCCAGTATTTCTCCCACACTCTAGGGATCTCAGAGGCTCCTTTTCCTGGGCTTCTCACTAGAAAGACAGGGCTTCTCTTGGAGTTTTAGCTTCCAGATCTGCTGTTCCATGTAGTTCCGTGTGACTAGTACTACTCTTGAGCAAAACAGCAAGAGAAAAGAAAGAAAAACAAACAAACAAATTAAAAAATGGTATTCTACTGCAGCCTTCAGGCCATACTGTTCCCTTTTCCAGTTCCCCTGGCCTGAAACACGTTTCTCTCAAGGGTTTAAGCTGCCATTGCAGTGCAGGTCTATGACAGGGACTACTCTTTGGGCAGGGGTATGAGAGAAGAAAGAAAGAAAGACAAAAGAAGTAATGGGGGGCTGGGTGTGGTGGCTCATGCCTGTAATCCCAGCGCTTTGGAGGCCGAGGCAGATGGATCACCTGAGGTCAGGAGTTTGAGACCAGCCTAGCCAATGTGGCAAAACCCCGTCTCTACTAAAAATACAAAAATTAGCCAGGCTTGGTGGTGCATGCCTGTAATCCCAGCTACTCAGGAGGCTGAGACAGGAGAATTGCTTGAACCTGGGTGGCAGAGGTTGCAGTGAGCCGAGATCGCACCACTGCACTCCAGTCTGGGTGACAGAGCAAGACTCCATCTAAAAAAAAAAAAAAAGTAATGGGGAAATTTTCCACCTTTCCAGGTTGTCTGGCCAGAAGTGGGGTTTCTTCCAGTGTTTGGTTGTTTACCCTCCCTGCACAGTTCCACAGTGGGGCAGCCATTGGGTCAAAGCCAGGAAATAAAAGACGAAAAACCAGGTGACTTACCCCCAAAGAGGTTATTTGAATTTTGGCTAGTCTTTCCAGTCTGCTACTATCGTTAACTTTTCAGAGTCATAGGGTAGTTGCTTTTTAAATTTTGTTTTTTTAGTTTTAATCGGTGGGAGAGATAGGCTGTGGTGGGTTTACTCCATGTTGGCTGGCACTAGAAGTCTTGTGTCCTTATGTTTAAGTGCTATATATATTTTTTATCTCATATTGTTGTACTTAAAAATTCCACTCTAGTTTTTGTCTGTAAGCCAGGGGAGTTTAATCTGTTTACCTTTATTATGATGACTGATATGTTTCAATTTTTTCCTTTTATCTTATTTGTGTTTCTGTTTGTTCTGTCTTTTTGATTTCCTCTTATGACATTCTGCTCCAATCTTAAGGAAATGATGTGACTCTTGTGACTGCTTTTTAAATCTCTAAAATGGAGATAAAAGGATCTAACCAGTGTGTTATCTTAAAAATGAAGTAAGATAAATATTTAACACTTTTATTGCGGTCCCAGGTATAATCAATTTAATTTAATAATATTCATTGAGCACCTATGAGGTACTCAATAACAGAATAGGTAAAAATTGCTGCTTTTATGGAGCTTATATTCTAGTGGGGGAGACAACAATAAACAAAAGAAGTAAATTATATTGTATGATAGAACATGAAAAGAGCTATGGAAATAAATAAAACATGGAAGAGGATAGGGAGAACACCATAAGGGTAAAAGTGACAATTTTAAACTGGCAATTCAGTTATTTTTGCATGTGGGAAGTAGTACTGCTTTATTTTTTGTATGTTTTATTTGTGTAGTGTTTTATATAACACCTTCCAAAGCACTTTAACCTCATATTTTGCTTTTATTCTTATACATTGATTCAACAATAGGGGCCAGACTTATACTAGACTCTGGGGTACAATGAAGAGCAAAAGCAGACATGAGTGATATTCCCGTGAAGTCTTTAGAGCATTTCTGTATTACTTCCATATTAGATGAAGTCAATAATGCCAGTTTATTTATCTTTTTGATAAATAATTTTTGTATTTTACAATGTACCAGACACCTATAGTAATTGCGAGGTTAGCAAGATAGACATGGTCTCTGTTCTCTTGAATCTTACAATTTAATGAGAAAACAAATTTTTAAATAAACAATTTTGGCATGTTCTGGCTATAGAATGGAAATGATTGGAAGGGAGCAGGACTGGAAGCAAGGAGAGATGAGTTAAGAGGGAGAAGTAACCCAAACAAACTAGGATGATGGCCTACATGGTAGCAGAGGCATGTGGAAATAAAGAATGATACTAGAGATAAAAAGAAGCTACATTTAAGAGGTGGAATTGACAGTGTTTGGGGAAATTGGCTTATGGATGATGCAATTCATAGATGAGGGATAGGATGAATTCCGTTTTCAAGATCCTAAGTTTAAAGAGTATGCAAGATATCTGAGTGGCATGTCTCTGAACCTCATGAGACATGTCAGGAATAGAAATGTAGAATTGGACGTTATCAGCAATAAATGGTAATTGAAGCCATGAGAATAGATAAGGTCTCTAGGCAGATGTAAAATGAAAGGAAAAAATAGCCTAAGAGATAATTTTGAAGCATATCATCATTTAAAAGAACAGAAGACTGCCTGTGAAAGGTACTAAGAGAGGGTGGTCAGAAGTGTACGAGGAAACACAAGAGATTCTTGAGCCCTGGAGGCATGTTTTTTGTTTGTTTGTTTGATTGCTTGCTTGCTTTTTAACACTGTGAGCCTATCCAGTGTTTCAGAGAAGTCAGGTAAGAAAAGACTGAAATGTGCCCATTGGGTTCAGCAACAACAACGTCATTTGTGTACTGTGGTGAGTAAGCAGAATGTGGTTTGATGCCTGAGCTGGGAGATGAGGGAGTTGACAGAGAATAAATATTTTTTTTGATGAATTGGGAGAGGAAGATAGGGTGATTCTTGCAGAGGGACATGGAGGAGAATTTTATTTTTCATTGTAATTTACTTGTTTGTTTTTAAGATGAGAAAGACTTTATTATTTTAAAAACTGAAAGGAAAGACAGGAGGAAGGGAAGATAGGAGGAAGAGAACTGAAAGAGCAAAGTCCTAGAAAAGGTAGGATGGTAGTGGGACAAGGGATGACTTCCATTTTAACAGAAGCTATAGACGACAAAATATGAGTATGGATTCAGATGTATTTTTAGTTTGGCAAGAAAGGACATTTTATGGTTTTTATTTTTTATTTTCTGTGAAATTGGACATGTGAAATCTGCTGTCAGAGAGAGATTTTATGGCTTTAGAACAAATGGAAAAGATTTGACTTCTTTCCATGGGGAGATGGAAGAGTAGACTAGAGAAATATATTAGGACAAACAGAAGGCATGGAAGCTACGCTTGAGATAGGCCAGATTATTTGATTTCTTAAGCAGTGCAACTTTGATGCATGTACAAAATAGAGTCAGCCAAATTTGGGATTTTTGCAAGGGGTTAAGATGGAAAGACAGTAGGCAAGGAAGTTGATACTATTGGTAAGAAAGTGGTTGGTGTGACAAAGAATAGAACCTAAGTTTAATAAGGAAGAGAGAAAGAGAGCTATAGAAAAAGGGGACTAGAGATCCCTATGAAGTCAAGGAACTGAAATCTTGAGAATAGTTGACTAAGAGATCTGAAGACATAGGATATTTGGTCTGAGAGTTGTTTTAAAGTGGGGAGTGATTCTTGTATTGATAAGTTTCTGAGTGTGGCTATTGGAGTGCTATGCTGACATGGAAGTCAAGAAAGAGAGGCTGTAGCGTAGGATGGGGCAACCACATGGATGTAAAGTCATCTTGGATAATAGTGAAACTTGAGATAGAAGGAAAGACTGTGAATCAAATGCTAAAATCTTGGAGAGAGGCAAACATAGTAAGCAACAGAAAGGAAGAGGGATTGGAAGGTATTATAGCTAGATGGCATGTATATCAAAGGAACTGATTTTTAAAAAACTTCTCACCGGGCGCGGTGGCTCACACCTGTAATCCCAGCAATTTGGGAGGCTGAGGCGGGCGGATCACAAGGTCAGGAGATCAAGACCATCCTGACTAACACGGTGAAACCCCGTCTCTACTTAAAAAAATACAAAAAATTAGCCAGGCTTGGTGGCATGTGCCTGTGGTCCCAGCTACTAGGGAGGCTGAGGCAGGAGAATCACTTGAACCTGCGAGGCGGAGGTTGCAGTGAGCCGAGATCGCACCACTGCACTCCAGCCTGGGCGACAGAGCGAGACTCCATCTCAAAAAAAAAAAAAAAAATTCTTATTGAAGTGTAATGTAAGAAGTATACAGATCCTTAATTATCACACAACTCAATGATTCCATCTGTGTAGCCCAGTCAAGAAACAGAACATTTGTAAAATTATACCTACTCCCAATCACTTTCTCTCCCTTTTTCATAGATGTAACAATTGTCTTGACTTCTAAAGCCCTATGTTAGTTTTGCCTGTTTTTTGAATGTTGTATAGATGAAATCATATTCTATACATTGTATTCTTTTAATTCTGGTTACTTAAACCCAATTTGTGTTTGTGAGAATCATCCATGTTGTTCCATGTAGTAGGAGTTCATTAATTTTTATTGCTATAAATATAGTATTTGCCAGTATTATAATACAGTATTTGATTTTATGACTATATCACAATTTGTCTTTCTACTATTAATGGCCATGTGGTTCCCCCTGCCCCAGGTTTTGACTGTGATCATTCTATGATCATGTCTTTTGATGCATATATGTATGTATGCATTTCTATTGGGTATATATCAAGAATAGAATTGCTGGGTCATAGGACATGCATATATATGTTTAACTTTACTAGTTAATACCAAACAGCTTTCTAAAACTGTTCTATCAATATATAAATTCCCATCAGCAGTGTAGGAATTTCAGTTGCTCCATGTTCTGATAACTGTTTGATATTGTCAGTCTTTTTAAATTTAGCCCTACTGGTGGATGCATTTTGGTGTATCATTATAGTTTAAATTTCATATCCCTAATGATTAATGAGGTTCATCTACTGTTTTGTGAAGTTCCTGTTCATGCCTACTGCCATTTTTTTCTATTTGGTTGCCTGTCTTTTTTTTACTGATTTATAGGAGTTTTTCACAAATTTGAGGTATGAGTTCTTTGATGGATGTATATATAGCAAATAGCTTTTTCAGCATGGTAGCCTGACTTTTCATTTCCTTTGTAGTGTCTTGATAACCAGAAGTTTTTAATTTTAATGTGGTCTAATTTAAGAATCATATCCTGTATTTTTTATGCTTTTTGTAGTTGTTTGAGATCATTGTCTACCCCAAGATCATGAAGACAGTTCATGTCCAATGCTGTCCAATAGAACTTTCTGCAAAGATGGAAATGTATATATTGCACTGCCCAATGCAGTGGTCACTAGTCACATGTGACTGCTGAGCCCTGGAAATGTGGCTAATGTGATTGAGGAGCTGGATTTTTCATTTTAACTGTAATAAATTAAAATAGCTACATGTGACTGTTAACTGTGTTATTGGACAGATTTGTTTTCTAGATATTTTTTAACTAATTTATTATGTTATTTAGATTATATCTATGAGCCACTGGGAACTAGTTTTAGTTTAGTATGAGATACAAGTCATATTTCATTTTTTCCCGATATGGATATCCAATTTTCTCAGCACTATTTATGAAAAAGATTGTGCTTTCTGCATTTCTTTGTCACCTTAGTTACACATAAAGTTTCCACATGTTCTTGGATCTGTTTTTGGATTCTCTGTTCCATTCAGTTGTTTCCTTGTGTCAATACCATACTATTTTTATTACTATAAGTTTATAATAAGTCTTGATATCCAGCAAAAAAAGTTTCCTAACTATTCTTTTTTTTTTTCCTTGCCTATGCTGGACTCTTAATTTCCATTTAAATTGTATAAGCAGCTTGTGAAATTTCACAAAATAATACCGGGACTTTGGTATTATAATAAGTTGGATCTAGAGGTCAATTCGAGGAGAGTGGTCATTTTTACAAAATTAACTCTTCCAATCTATGAATATGGTACATCCTCCATTGATTAGTTTTTAATGTTTTCTTTTAATATTGTTTTATAGTATTCTACTTATAGAACTGGCGCGTCTTTTGTTGCATTTTCTTAGCTTCTTGTTTTGTCTAGGGCCACCAGTACATTGTTGGGTGGAAGTGGATATGGGTATTCTTATCTCATTTCCTTCAGAGGGAGAACCTTCAATATTTTAAGTGTGAGGTTTGCATTAGATTTTCTGCTAGATATTTTTTATCCAATTAAAGAAGTTTTATCCTATTCCTAGTTGAGTCAGTGTGTTTGAGATGTTGATGTTTTAAAAAGATCAAATGCTTTATTGGCATCTTTTGAGATAATCAAATGATTTTTCTGTTATACTCCTTTAATTGATTTTCAAATGTTAAATCAACTTGTATTCTGGGGAAAAAATACAACTTCGTTGTAATATAGTATCCCTTTAATGTATTGCTGGATTTCATTTGCTAACATTTTGCTTGGGACATTTTCATTCATATTCATAAGAGAAATTAGCCTGCAATTTTTTTTCTTATAATGTCCTTGTCAATTTTAGAGATCAAGCATATGTTACCTTCATAAAATGAGCTGGGAAGGGATCTTTTTTTTTTCCTTTCCTCTGCAGGAGTTTATGTTTTGCTGATGTTATTTCTTCTTTAAATGTTTGGGAAAATTAATCAGTGAAGCCATCTGGGTTTGGAGTTTTCTTCTTGGAAAGATTTTTAATAAAAAACTTGATTTCTTCCATAGATATTAATCTGACTTATTTGAAGGTCGTCTTTTTTAAAAAAATTTTTCCTGGCTACTTTTAATATTAACTTCATGGTTTTTTTCTACTGTTATATATTGCTGTAGACTGAATGTTTGTCTTCCACCAAAAATCGTATGTTGAAACCTATGCATCCCCAATGTAATGGTATTTGAAGGTGAGGCCTTTAGGAGGTGATTAGATCATGAGAGAAGAGCCTTCAAGGTGGGATTAGTGTGCTCATTAAAGGGATCTCAGAGAACTGCCTGCCTCTTCTGCCATGAGGACATGGCAAAAAGATGGCCATCTATGAACCAGGATACGAGCTCTTAACAAGCACCATGTGTGTTGGTACCTTGATCTTGGACTTTCCAGGTTCTAGAAGTGTAAGAAACAAATGTCTGTTGTTTATAAACCACCAAGTTTATGGTATTGTTGTTACAGCAGTCTGAATGGACTAAGATATGTGTCTGCATATTATGTAGTCTTCATATGTATCCTCCCGAGATTCATGGTTTCCTTTTAATTTGTGGCTTGATGATTTTCATTGGTTTTTGAAAATTTTGGGCCATTTTTTCTTTAAATAGATTGCTTTTGCCCCAGTTTCTCTATCCCCACTTTTTGTGACTCCAGTTACAGGTATTTAGACCCCTTCACCATATCTCATATGTCTGCTATGCCTCTCCCACCCCACTGACTTTTGTTTCACTGTGCTTCATTCTGAATTTTTTTCCTGACCAGTCTTTCAGTTTTATCTTTGTTAATCTGCTCTGAAAGTCTTTCATTGAATTCTAAATTTGAGATGTAGTAGTTTCAGATCTAGAACTTTTATTTAGTAAATTTTAAAAATTCCACTTCCTTACCAAAATTCTCAAGCTTGTCTTGAGCACATTAATAGAAGTTTGAAGTCCATGTCTGTTAATTCTTTTATCTGGATTATGTGCATTGTTTCTATTGTCTGTTTTTTCTCTTGGGTTTTGGTCAAGTCTTTTCATAGAAATGTGTATGTAATAGCTTCTTTTTATTTAGAGCCAGATGTTGTGCATATAAAAAATTTACAGAGATACTTTAAGGCTCTGTGAAATGTTATTTTTCTCCAGAGAGGATTTACTTCTGCTTCAGGGAGGCAGCTAGCTTAGGGGCACTAGCAATTTCTGATCACATTAATCCAGCCAAGGATTGAGATGTTTCCAAGTTGGGTTTCAGTCCCTATGAGAGCTGATCTGTTTCCAATACCCTTACTTTTGAAGTGTAGTCTTTCCAAATCCCATCTAAAATCCTATGTGTTTACCAGGGCTCCTCTTCCTTGGTATACCCTGAACTTTCAGGATCAGTAATCTTCCAAATACCAGGCTCATTTCTCTGGGCTTCCCTTTTCTCCTGATTCTTTGACCCACAATTCCTCAGTGTTTTTGTAACACTCTGATGCCTTCAAACAGATTTTTTTTTCCCCAGCTTTCCTAGTTCCTAGTGGGAACCATGTTGGACATGGAGCTTATTTAAGCTGGGGCTTTTAAGGAGGTTGATGGCGAGGGCAGGGAACTTTGGAGTCTGCAGTGGGAAATGATAATACCTGCCCCACCTCAAGGCACTGAGTTTCTACTAAAGAGGGCTGCAAGGAAAATAGAGTCCTTAGGGGCTGTCAGGTTTTACTCAGGACAAGAATGTATGATATATGCTGAGAAGAGACTGAGGAAGTTGGAGAGTTTGGAGGCAGGGAGAGTTAATATAGTTTCTATCTTTCTTCCTTTCTTTCTTTAGGATGGGGTTGGTTGAACTAGATGACATCTAAGTTTCCATGTAATTTGAAATTCTAGGATTCTATTAAATGAGCTGGGCTTCCATTTAGGTTAATTTAGAAGTTTAATTAGAACTTAAAATTCCTCCTGTAGAGATAAGGAGGCTTATCATCATAAAGAAAACTTCTGGGTTTTAATTTCAGCACGATAGCTCCCAGTTGTAAAACACTGAATCGACTTCTTTCCATAGTGCATGATGGGATTCTAAAATCTTATGTCCAAAGGGAACCAGTTGCAATATTATCTGCTAGGAATTTACTACTCTGTGAATTATTATGTAGTACACATTTATGAAAACTGCCTCATTTCTTCCTATCTTATAGTGTATTATGATTTTATTATTTCTTATATATAATCTACAGGTTCTGGATTATTCTCTGCTCATGATGTAAGTGCCTCCACTCATCTAGCCCTACACGCCTGGGTACTTATATGTATTCCTGTCTGTCCTTTCTCTCCTCTGACCCTGTTTCCCAGTTCTCCCTTCCCTGCTATACTTTCCACTATGCTCTCTGGAATTCCTTTTCCATGGTGGAAAGGTTCCCTACATTCTCTTTCATTGAATATTTCTTTTAGCTATTGTCGTCAACTGAACTTTGGCTCTCTCAAGAGGATTCTGCTTCCCCTGCACCTTCTCTTTCCTGCAGATCTCAAGCTGCCATTCCAGGCTCAGGACTCCTTCATCCCTGTGGAAAATCTCCAGCTCCTTTGGGGCCTGGGCTTAACCCACTCTCCTGATTGCTTTCAGGTACTCCCTGCTTCTCACACTCCCATATTTCAACTCTAGCGTCCCCCAACTTCATTGGGTTCTTCATCCATTAATGCCTCTGCTTCTCACTGTTACCACCTCCACATCTCAACTTTCTCACATCTCTCTATGCCCAGTGTAGATTCTATGGCCCAGGCCAATAATCATTCTCTTTCAAACTCTTTAATATCCTTGTATCTCTCCCATGTTGTACCCATATCCAAGCAATTGAACATCTCTGGAGAAAAATCACACAACCCCCTTGTCAAGGCTCACTTCAAATGGATGACCATGAATCTCAACGGACATGCAAAACTGCCAAGTCATTCTATTCCCCTCCTCTAGTAATTCACTTTCTGTCTCCCCAAAGGCAATATTTCACACCTTTCCTTCTTGTGGCCTAAGCTCCTCTTTGCCTACTTATACCTCATAGTGAGAATAGATATAATCAGAAGAGAGCCACCTTATCTTCTCAGCATTATTCTAGAGCCTCCTGACTTCTGTACCCACACTCTCTGCCTTTGCTCTGTTACTATGGGAAAAGAGAAACTGCCCCTTTCCACTGCCAGCTCCCTCCCTTGTGCTCTGAATCCTAAACTCTTTCTTCTCAAGGATGACTCCTGAAGCAACACCCTTTCTCTCTTGCATCATTATGTCTCCTTGCCATAGGATTCTTCCCATTGGTATACAAGCACCTTTATTATCAACTATCTTGAGAAACTTTCCCTTCAAAGATTTTGAACCAGGCAGTTCACAGACAAGTACAAACAAGTATCTTAAATATTTGAAAAGATACTCAAGTTCACTAATAAAAAGAGTAATACAAATTAATACTACATGGAAGTGCCATTTTAAACCTACCATATTGGCAAAGATATAAAAGTTTGAAAGCACATAGTATTGGGAAGGGTATGGGCAAAAGGGCCCTTTCATACTGTGCCATTGAGAGTAAACAGATACAACTTTAATGAAGGTCAATTTGGTAAAATCTAGCAAAATTATTAAATTGCATATGCCCTTTGACTGGGCAGTCCCACTTCTCAAGTTCATCCTATATTGGACGTGTAAATGTTAGAGTACCCCAGGGCTTTGTCTTTGACCCTGTTCTCTTCTGTGTCTACATTCTCTCCCTAGGTGGTTCTATCCAGTTCCATGTTTTTAAATATCTTTAATATACCAGTGACTCTAAAGTTAGCCTTCAGCTGAGAAACTCCTCTGCACTCCAGGCTAGTTTATCTAAACCAGCAATACGATAATTTTATGGTATCTCAAACTTTCAGGTAGTCCAAATAGGATTGATTTTTTTCCTCTCCAAATCGTTACCAAGCCTTTTTCATTTCAACAAATGATACCACTGTCTTCCCAGCTTCTCAGGCCAAAATAACCAGTGATGCCTTTGATTTCATTTAGTCCTGAACTTTTTGCGTCTATTTATTTCCTGACTTTATTCCATTTTGAACTTAGTTTAACTCAAAGATACTGACTTTGTTCTTCATACACGAATTTCTCTCTTAAATTTCCCCTTTGGACCTGAAGCCAGTTAACATATTCCAGACTAAGAGTTGGTTCCTCTTGACCGTGGTCTTGGCTAGTTACCTCTCTCTTGCCTTGTCTGTTTCCAGATATCTCTCCTAGTCTTACCTGGTGAGCTTCCTTCCTCTGGCCACCACCTTGCTTTAGCTATTTGGGCAAAATGCAGAGAATGCTAAGCAAACTCTTGAGTGACTGATATGGAAGACTTAGAATGCCAGTGTATTAATTTAGAATGATGAACTGTAACTGCCAAGCAAATTGGAAAGCTTGTGTCAGCTGATAAGAATTCAGGAAGATTACTGGAAACCACCTTATAATGAGAATATTACCTGGTGAACCTAGAAGCAAAGCAAAAGAGTTAAATCTATCTTAAAGGTAACATCCAGCCTTGTGTGGCCAACTCCATGCATATTCCTACCAGTTCGACCAGTCACGCTGTCATCTTGTCTACTAGAATGTAGGGTGTCTAAGAGCGGAATTCATGTCTTTTATGCCTTCAATAAGTCCAGTGTTTAGCAGGTGGATAAGTACTCCAGAATTCTCTGCCCTGGATGATGCTATGGGAGCACTGCCTAAGTCTGCCCTCTGACTCCTATCTTTCTCTGATCTCTGCTATTATCTCTCTTTTGTTGATACATTCTTTCAGAATTATTCAAAGCAGAGTTGCTCTCTCTCGACTTTGGGCCTTAGATATTGTATACTAAGGTGACTTCTGAGCAAATGTGATCCTGACTACTTTGAGTTGATTTCACCAGTTTCATATGAGGCTCTGCCTCACCGTCATGTCCATGTACTACCTAAACTACTCATTGGCCTAACTGTGCTGCCAGAAACTAGAAGGGTAAGATGTCTGCTCATACCTGCTCATACCATGTGGACTTCCACATGGTAAACTTTGAACATTTCATAATTTGTAAATACTTAGAATACATCATAATCACAAATATTTAAATATGATTGACTTAAGACTTTTCAAAAAATGTAACTGATCTTCAGTTACATTTACAAATGCAAATTTGCCACTAAAGAATGTGCCACAAAATCTGTGAATAGAGTTAACTTTTCTCATAGGTGAAACTACAACCAAAAAAATACGCCTTGTAATTCGCTAAATGTATGATATTTTGTAAGCTTGATAGGAATAATTTAGTAGCAGCAAACGAAGACTACTAATTTACAAAAGATTTGCAGTTGCATTGTTGTTGCAACAATTATAATTGGTTTCTAATTATAATTACTATTATGATTAGGCTAATAGGATGAAGATTTTTTTAATATATGAAAATTTTTATTCAAATCTCATTCTTACGTTTATGTGTAAAAGAATTTGAGAATGAAAATAGCACTACCTGTATATGATTGGGATCTTGTTGTGCCTGAGAAGAGGACTTTAGGCCCCTTGCAGCAGGGAATAATTTTTCAGACTAGACTATAGCTCACCAGAGGCCTTCTGCAAGAGAGTGGATCTCTCAAGGTGGAGGGACTCTCTTACGAGGTGGCAGCTAACCCTCATTGAGACTCCCATGGGGAAACAAGTGCAAACTGGCAGCCAGGCAAGAGCATACAGGATAATCTTCTCCTGGGCCCAGAGGACAGGGATCATGTGTGTTTCATTCTCCACTGTATTACCAGTACCCAGCCAAGAGGAACTCCAGTGCACCTTGCACATAAGAGGCTCCTGTTAAATATTTACTAAATAGCATGGATGAAGACATGTATTTCAGAGCTTTTATTTTTATTTATTTCTATTAACAAATTACCTAAACTTAAATGATTTAATACACTTATAATCTTACAGTTTCAGTGGGCCAGGAAATCAGGCATGGCTTAGATGAGTCCTCTGGTTCTGGGTCTCTCACTGGGCTGACGTCATCTCAAGGCTTGATGGGGAAGGTTGGCAGGACTCAGTTCCTCACAGGCTCTTGGACTGAGAGGCCACCCTCAGTTATATGCCATGTGGGCTTCTCCATAGAACGTCTTACAATATGGTAGCTTACTCTATCAGAGCCAGGATATGAGAGGGCAAGAGAGAATGCCAGCAAAAGAGAGTGTTAGTAAGGTAGACATAACAACCTTTTGTAACCTAGTAATGGAAGTGGCTTCCCATCACTTTAGCCATATTCTATTTGTTAGAAGCAAGACAGTAGATCCAGCCCATACGCAAGGGGACACAAGGGAATTATTGAACCGTTTTAGAAAGCTGCCTACCAGACCTTGAGTTTTTTCAATGGTGATATTCTCAGAAAGAAAAAATTAATTTTTATATATCTTTAAAAAACACTTGAATTAAATGTCATGTTTGTTAAGAAACATCAGCTCATTTTGTCCTGAAACAAAGGCTAACACTGATAAATACAGCACCTGCATTGACCATATTTTAAAAATATTTCCAGGCCAGACACGGTGGCTCACACCTGTAATCCCAGCACTTTGGGAGGTTGAGGCAGGTGGATCACCTGAGGTCGGGAGTTCGAGACCAGCCTGGCCAACATGGTGAAACCCCATTCTCTACTAAAAATACAAAAAATTAGCTGGGCATGGTGGCAGGCGCCTATAATCCCAGCTACTCGGGAGGCTGAGGCAGAATAGCTTGAACCTGGGAGGTGAAGGTTGCAGTGAGCTGAGATCGCCCCACTGCACTCCAGCCTGGGCAACAAGAGCGAAACTCCATCTCAAAAAAAAAAAAAAATCCAATTTGTTACATTGTAATAAATAATGACCTTCTGAGAATTCAAAGACCCAAATACAAGGGAGTGTATTGCAGCAGGCTTAATCAATGTTTAGTGATGATAGAATGTATAATCGAAGAGCCAAGGATAGAAATCAAATTGCCTTTCTGCAGAAAGATCCTCAACAATTGAAAAACTGCTCTATAAAACTAAAGAACAGCTTGATGATTTAGAAAATAGAAACTGCAGAAATATTCTGTAGATCCTAGATATGTCCCCACTGCTTATTACCTTGTCTGCTTCAGAGTAAAAAGGAAGGGCAACAAAAAGAGATTCAACTTAGTGAATTTCGCTCTGGCCTGGAGCCACCCTGGCTTAAGACTATTAGCTAAGTATATCCTGGTCTAAAAATAAATCTTCTACCCTCTTATTTTCAAGTAACTTTCCTTTTTCATACCCAGACCAGAGAAGAGACATATATTATTAACTTACATCCAGACTTTGATAGATTCTTTAATGAATGGATTTTGATGTTCTGATATGGTAAAATTATGCATCACATCCACAATAATAGTATTGTTTTAAAATACCAGAATCAAGTAAGCCACCTGAGCAACTTGTGAGACTTCAAGCATGCTAATTAGGTATGAATAGAATGGGAGATCAATGACAGACTGGCAACACTTCAGCAAAAGCCACTTCTAGATACTTGCCTTATGACCAGGAAATGTCTTACACTAGCAATAGATTATTGTAATATGCCAAACCAATAAAACTCATGCTATTAGGAGTTTCATTAGATTTATTTGAGTCCACAGCTATAAGAATGAAGATGGTAGCAACAGGCCAGGCGCAGTGGCTCATGCCTGTAATCCCAGCACTTTGGGAGGCCGAGGTGGGTGGATCATGAGGTCAGGAGTTCAAGACCAGCCTGGACAATATGGTGAAACCCCATCTCTACTAAAAATACAAAAATCAGCTGGGTGTAGTGGTGCGTGCCTGTAGTCCCAGCTACTTAGGAGGCTGAGGCAGGAGAATCACTTGAACCCGGGAGGTGGAGGTTGCAGTGAGCCGAGATTGCGCTACTGCACTCCAGCCTGGGTGACAGAGTGAGACTCAGTCTCAAAAAAAAAAAATGACGATGGTAGCAACAACTATCTTCTCTTTTTACTTGAAACCTGTTTTATAGAAGCAGAATACTTAACCACTCTGTAAGAATGCTTAGGCCTATAGTAAAATTGGGAAGATCATGAGTTTTGCAATCAAACAGACATCAGTCTCAGCCCAGCCTCTTACTAGCTGTTTGGCCTTGGGTAAGTTACCTAACTCCCTTGGAAATTCAGTGTCCTCCTATATAAAATGGGAGAAATAATGGTGGTGATGGTGATGATGACCACAACGAACATTGTTAAGCATTTGTTATTTACTAAACACTGTGCTATTTATGTGCATTAGTTCATTTACTACTTTTATTACATAGTAATATTACATTTACTATGTGCTTATATATTATATTACCTTATAATTCTTATAAGGTATAAATGCAATCTTATCCCTTATATATCCTGTCATATATATGTGTATGTGTCAGAAGCTATTTTTTGCCACATGAATCTTTTGTGACAAATTGTAGAATATATATGCATATATATACACACACACACCCATATACATACACATATAGGGCATAATATTGATTGGCAGCAGTTTACACAGGCAACATGCTTTACATGCATTGTCTCATTTAATTCTCAAAACAGCTGGCCATGTGTGGTGGCTCACACCTGTACCCAGCACTTTGGGAGGCTGAGGCAGGAAGACTGCTTGAGCCCAGGAATTTGAGGCCAGCCTGGGCAATATAACAAGACCCCCTCTCTACCAAAAAAAAAAAAAAAAATTAACTGGGTGTGGTAGTGTGCACCTGTGGTTCTAGCTACTCGGGAGGCTGAGGTAGGAGGCTCGCTTGACCCCAGGAGGTCAAGGCTGTGGTGAGCTGAGATTGTACCATTGCACTCTAGCCTGGGCAACAGATCCAGACCTTGTCTCTAAATTAAAACAAAACAAAACCAAACAAAAAAACAGCTGCATAAGGAAGGTTATAACAGAACACTGTTCTCTCTTTACACACACACACACACACACACACACACACACACATCACACGTACAGGAATTATTTTAACCTATCAGTTACATGGTGGTTTCACAGGTTTCAACTTCATCAACCCAGAACCACAATCACAGATTTTGGCTAGACTCTGACTCTCATCTACTAGTGATAACAACAAGTTCCCTGTGGAAGTTTATAGCCCCACAGATTATCAGGGACCATTTTTGCTTTCTGTACCATGTGGTTCTTTCCTGCTACAGATTCAAAATGCTTTTTTGTCCATTCCTAATACTTTTCATTTATACTGATTTCTTTGATGAGAATAACCTTAAATTCATATGTCTTACTTTCATCCTAGGGAGTTTTTTTTGTTGGTACAGAATGATCATTGCTATTATAGTTTGCTTTTATTAAACAGGTTCAGTTGTTTTGGTACAGCAGCCAGGCGGGAGTGGTGGAGATAGACCCATCATCACTGGGATATGTCATTTTCCTTCATCTCCATTTACTAGCCAGATCTGGGGCTATTTTTACATGAATCCAGAGTCTCTGTGTTTTTTTTCTCATATGTAGTTAACAATCTGAATGACACATTCTTTATAGTACCACAATAATTCCGTCCATTACATCACTTAATTTATGGGAGTGCTAACACCAAAATCGATAAACATTATTTCTGAAATGTCAGGAGTGTTAATGGTGTGATTAAAAAAGAAAAAGATTCTAAAATCTCTCTGCACAGAGCTCTTTGATATACTGTTGTTGAGGCGCACCTAACCCAAGCTGTGATATGGAAGACTTAAATCATTAAGACTCTGTCAAGTTTAAAAATGTGTGTTGGAAGCTATTTTTAGCTGCACGAATCTTTTTTGCCATATTGTGGAATTCTGTTAGTGGAGAGAGGGAGAGACTACATGTCTCAGAGAAGATTGTCTCAGGTTGTTTTGAGACATATCAACAGTTGCTAAGGAACCGTCGCTAATGCTTCTGGGAAATTCTGTAATATCTTACTTAAAAATTGGGAGAAATTTTTACAGAGCAAAGCTTCTTAGACAAGGAAAGCATATGAAGAGTGATATTAGAGAACAGTTTCAAACTGGAAAAAGTATTTTAAAGTTTTCTAGAAGATTGAGTTTAAATGGGGTTTCATAGTACCATGTACACTGTAATCGCCTCTTGCAGAATCCTGAAAGCTTTCATTTACATCTGATTTTAGAACAAGTAGTATTTTAAAATCTGGTCACATTTGAGTTTATTTTCCATGATTGATGCTTTAAAATGGAGATTAGTACTTCTTTTCACACAGAGAATTAATTAGCATGCTAGGATGGCGGTTCCACTGATTCCCTTCTCTTCTGGTGAAAATCTATGTTAATAGGAAACATTTAATAGGCACTGACTGTTTACTAGGTCCTGCAGACACATAGTGTTGGCATGTAATGGTATTATATTATAACCCAAATAGTCCTCTCATATTAGCCTTGTCTTTGTAGCTAGTGAGACTTTCACATGCCACAAGACTGTGCTGAGGCTTATATGTTGCTTAGGAGTCAGACTAGGAGCCTAAAACCAATACAGCTGCACCATTCTGGCAAGGACTGTTGGGCCAATCACCAGCAACACCTTCACATCCATTAGCTGCTGCCCACCTGGCCACAGAGAGAAGACTCACCTCACATTCATTACTAACATTACTTTTAGCCAAGCCAATTTTAACTATACTGTTTGCTCTACATGCTTTAATTACTTATGGACTTATTAGAATCTGAGAAGGGAGTAGAAGTGATTTATTTTTTCCTCTTTCTCTCATTCACAAATATTAAAGGAGCACCTATTATGAGCAGTTGTTATGGTTAGTGCTGGGGATAGAACACAGCTAACACACAGTCCTTGCCCTCAAAGAACTTATATTCTGGTGGGGAGATGGCTGTGCAAACAAGCAATTGCAAAACAGTAGGAGAGCCACTGTAAAGGTATCTAAGGAGTTAGGAAGGAACAAGTGCAGTTTTTCTGCCTGGGAGAATAAGCAAAGGCCTCATAGATGGAGTAATCCACCAACTGAATCAGCATTTGTTGGTCATGCACATGGGGAAGGGAATAAGAGGGAGTGAGCAGTGCGTGCAGGGTCACAAAGACAGGACCAGCAAACAAATTCTAATCAGCTAATGCTGGTGGCTGGGAGCATGGCAGAAGGTCAGGGACAGAGCAGGACAGGTGGGCAGTGGAAGGCTTTTTTTTTTTGAGATGGAGTCTCGCTCTGTCACCCAGGCTGGAGTGCAGTGGCGCAGTTTCGGCTCACTGCCAGCTCTGCCTCCCGGGTTCACGCCATTCTCCTGCCTCAGCCTCCCAAGTAGCTGGGACTACAGGCACCCGCCACCACGCCTGGCCAATTTTTTGTATTTTTAGTAGAGATGGGGTTTCACTGTGTTAGCCAGGATGGTCTCGATCTCCTGACCTCGTGATCTGCCTGCCTCGGCCTCCCAAAGTGCTGGGATTACAGGTGTGAGCTACCGCGCCTGGCTGGATTTTTTTTAAATCACAAATGCAGTGTGTTTTAACTTCTCTCCCTCATGTACTCCATCTCTCTCTCTCTCTCTTTTTTTTTTTTAAGATGGAGTCTTGCTTTGTCGCCTAGGCTGGAGTGCAGTAGCGTGATCTTGGCTCTCTGCAAGCTCTGCCTCCTGGGTCCCTGATGTACTACTCCATCTCTCTCTTTCTCTCTCTTTTTTTTTTTTTGTTAAAGATGGAATCTCGCTTTGTTGCCCAGGCTGGAGTACAGTAGCATGATCTTGGCTCTCTGCGACCTCTGCCTCCTGGATTCAAGCAATTCTCCTGCCTCAGCCTCCCAACTGGGACTACAGGCACGTGCCACCATGCCTGGCTAATTTTTGTATTTTTAGTAGGGATGGGGTTTCACCATATTGGCCAGGCTAGTCTTGAAACCCCTGACCTCGTGATCCACCGTCCTTGGCTTCCCAAAGTGCTGGGATGACAGGCATGAGCCACTGTGCCCGGCCTTCCATCTCTTTTATGGTTTCTATATATACATGCTGTTTATTGACTTCAGGCCTTTGCTTCTGTGCTTCTCTCTGTCTGGAACACCTTTCCCGCCTGGCCTAGGTTTCCTTTCTCAGCTAGCATGGCTCCCTTCTGGGCCCTGTGATGCAATACCTCTGCATTTCTCTCTTTAGCATTCCCAGCTGGAAACTGTTGTTTCCAGAGAGATGTCAAGGCATCTCTCTCCTACTGAATTACAACCTCTTCTACAGTAGGGGCTATATTTTGTTTTGTTTTGGGAAACATTCATAAGTGGTTTGTAACCTCTTCATAACATTTATTAGGACTAATAAATGTTCAATGACATGACTGATCTGATAGAGCTCTTGAAAAACACTATGTACACTTTTTGCCTTCTGGTTGCAGATCAGGTACCAAGTGCAGTGATAATTTAGAAGACACCCATATGTTAGATAATCACAGGGACAGAGCAACCTATACACCGTGTCTTGGTGTGGCCACCATCTATTACACTGAGGCTTTTCCAGCAGCCAGGGAAGCCAACAGCCAAGACAGCATCAGACCATTTGATAGGACTCCGAAGCCACCATTTATTTGATAGGACTCAAAAGCCACAATGTAGAGATGGTTCAAGAATGTGATGCTGGCAATATAAGATATAGGCATGCAAAAATATATTTTGAAATGAGTAAAAATAATGATAGCAGCAACCAAATGCTACTTTCAGACTGTTATGTGCTAGAGGAATACAGAGGAGATACAGATGGCCAGCAGCCCTTGAGTATATTGTTAGCAAACTCAGCATTAATTCTGAGTCTGAAGCCCTGACTTTGCACTCCAATCAGAATATTAACCAAAGAAACGTTTTGCTAGTCTTTTAGTGAATATGTTAACAGAAAATCTTGTATCGGAGTTGCATTAAAGGTCATGCTTGAAGTAAGCCAAAATGTGATATTGATTAGTGCATTTCTTCCTAAGTTAAAGAAACAGAAGTTAGAGAAAATGTCTGATGGTTTGAAGAGTACTCTCTCCCCAGTGTTATAGAAAGAGCAGCAGCCTTCTTGATTTGTGATTTTGTGCTTGTATTTTTCCTCTGCCATGGCAAGACAAAGTATAGTTAGTGGTACACCAACTTCCCAATTTAATAATGAAACTAGTTAAATGGGAAGTGGTATAAAATAGTGATTAAGAGCCTTTGATTTTACAGCCAAACTGCCTGGATCAACTGTTGGCTTTTCCAAATTAGTTGTGAATACTGGAGCAAGGTACTGAGCCTTTCTATGCCTTAATTTCCTCATCTGTGAAATGGTGATCCTAGTAGTACATCCCTCATGAAGTTTCCTGGATTAAATACAATAGTAAATATAAACTATTTAGAATAGATCCTAGCACATAGTATGCAATCACACTGGCTAGTACTGTTATTAATGATCTTGTCTCAAATTGATGATGAACATAATTTCCATTAATTTATTCACCAAATTCCAAATTAACACTACTATGTGTTAGTATAGAACATAAGCTCAAATAACAAATGATGTTATATTTAAATAGAGAAAGATTCATATATGTATTTTTTGCCATCAAACAATCATCATTTGGTGGGCCATCTGGTAGTGATTATAGTTTTATGGAAATTTGCTGCTGAGGTAAATAGCTACCACGTGGAGATTGCCCCAGGTCTGGGAAGGCAGAAGACATTCTTCAGGATTTCAAAGGCACATCAGCTGTGCAGTTGCACAGGCATGAATGGAACTGTACATGCCAGGATAACAATCAGGGCATATTGTTCTTTCAGGTTTCAAAGAAAACAAGTATCATACTTAAGAAGTGTAGTCACACTACCCGTGATATAGTCCTAAGAATAGTGTTGTAATTTGTATGCCGGGTACTTGGTTTTAACAAGGCATTTAATTCTGTTAAGCAAGTTGGTAGGTTGGAAAATCTTTCAAAGGCAGGCTGTGTGTGGAAGTTTATAAGCAACATTTGTTTACTCTGTGAGGAAATGATGGTGAGAGTTATAGATGCAGACGAGAGATAGCAAATGCATTTACAGTCACTAATAGCACCAAACAAGGCTGCAGTTGTATGCCATTATCATTTGCTATCTGTTTTTTTGTTTGTTTTAAGATGTTCTTTGTTGCCTTCAAAGATTGCACTTCAGGTATTAACACTAAGATTAGGTCAGAAAAGAATGCATCCAATCTCTACTGTATTTAGATGGAAAAAGCAAATTATTATTTGGAATATAAACAATCTTATTACATATTGTCTGCATGCCAATGTCTGCACACTTGTGGCTCATAGTCACAATGATGAATAACAGTGGTTAGGTTGGTTTACTAAGTTGTGCATCACTTTGGTCATATTATCAATCCTTAAGCAGTGAAAGACTCTCCTAAATGTCTATAGATCGCCCTTGAAAGTTAGAGATAAGTTTCATCATCTTGGTGGCATCATCTTTTGCAATCAATCACCAATAACCAACAAATAGAGATTTAGTGGTGGTGTATATAAACAGCACTATGAGAGACAGCATTGTTCAGGAAACAGAAATCTATGGCATGGTCTTCTTTCCCCAAAGATGGGGCAATAATGCACAGATTACACAGAAGAATTAATCAATAATAAAAAATTACATAATGAAACAACCTTTATAGTCTTATATAGATGTTACAGGCACATATATATGATAAAGTGCTAGGTCACTGATAGAAATTTTAAGTAGAGAGTTTGTTTATTATGAACTGAAATGATTCTAGAAAGATTTGAGAATGAGAGAGAGAGGCTTGATACTATCTTAGAATATTTGGTAGATGAGGAAGGAAATGAGGGAGTATTCGAGATAGGGGGATGAACCCAGAGGTGAGGAAACACTAGTCATCCTGTGACTAGAGAGCAAACCAGAACAAGAATATAAAATGCATGTGAAGCCAGCCTTCTAAAAGTAAGGATTGCATACCTTTGGAAATAACCAGCAGTCGGCCAGGGTGTGACAAGGCAAAGGATGACCATGGGTCGACAGAATATGAGAATAGTAGAACCTTTGTTGTTGTGTTTGCTGCTATGTATTTAGGGCTTAGAATAGTCCGGGGCATGGTAGGTGCTTAATGAAGCCCCCACTCTTTTCTGTGATTAGGGGCAGTCTGATAGATGATAATGCTGGAAAAGTAGTTTGTGCCAGCCTGCAGGGAAAACAAGTAGAGGGCCATGCAATTGAAACTTTATTATATAGGTTTAGGATTTTTACCTAGAGGTCACAAATACCCAGGCTTCAGGGTTTATTTAAACCACATGCAACATGGGCAAAAGCCTGTATACATTATGCATTATTCTGAGGTCCATAGCTCTCATTGCATATTGAAAGGGATCCAGGCCCCCAAAAGGTTCAGCTTTACCTAAGAAGCAAGGGAGTAGTTAGAAATAATTTTGAGCAAGGGAGTGGCATAAAATTAGTAGTTGGGACTATGAATCGGGTATTTGCATGCAGGGGGAAGGAGAGAATAGAGGCTCTAAAACAAAGGAAAGCAGGTGGGAGGTTCTGGCAGGCTGGAGGGAAAGAGATGCTTGTGAAAGCCCACTGTGGAAGTGATTGTCTTCAAGGAGATAGAGTGAAAGGAGGGTGTTTAAAGGAAAGCTGTGCTGGAGGAATACTGACAAAATGCTTATGGAGAAGGTGGGGGAATGGAGGCCAGTGAAAGTAGATTCAGTTTCTAAAGAAATCCATCAGTCAACATTTATTCAAGCCTCTTAAATCTTCACCACTTTGGTGTAAGACTTTGAAGTAAGGATGATATTCCTGTCACAAGGGGAAGTTAGACCTTCCTTGAAATGCCTGATTTAAAAGATTGGGGTGTCTGCCTCCCATGTATTAAAAATAAGGACATCTATGTATTATAAACTACAAACTTACATGAATGCTGAAATTAAATTAGTTTCTTTCAAAATTGTCTGATTTCAAATTTCCAATTAAATTCATGGAAGCTGACATTTCTTCAATATTTTTGGTGCTCCTGTTCTGCAGGTATTTAGTTGACCAATAGGATAATTGAGTCCTTGCACCCTTTTAATGTCACACACTCCCAAGTGAAGAAATTTCAAATTTTATGGGTATTTCAGAAATAAGAGTCTCTCACTGTGTCAGTGCAAAGTAGTTTGGGTTGATCATATTTAATGAAAGAATATTAGACTCCTGAAAAATAACTTATGCCAGCACTGACTGTGTGGTCAAAAAATCTTATACCTATCCCTCAGGTAATACAAATATTTGGGGACCATAACATTAGGGGAATGCACATATTTGCTTTCGATCATTTAAGTCAGTAGAGAAAATGAACCTCCTGGGTTCTAAATTAACCCCACCCAGCTGTTTGCAGATCATCACATCTGGAAAGCAGGTCAAGAGGAAAGGAGATGCTCTCTGGAAAGGTAAAAGCATTTTGCTTTCCAAGCAGATTCCAAGTCCATCTAGCTGCTGCTTTGTAGGCAAGCCACGAATGGTCTCAAAATCAAAATGGCCTTGACCTCATTATGTGACAGAGAATGTGGTTGTAACAGGGCTACTGGCTATGGCCTCTGCTGCCTTAACCGATGCCAAAGCCCTTTACAGACAGCCTGGTGCCTTCCTTGCCGATTTCCACAATGGCAGGTACATTAAGGAGTGTCTCTGTGCCTACCGGGTGATGGATGGCTCTCTGGCGGTCTCTGGTGGTCAACATTATAAATGCTTCTAGAGGGAACGGGAATACTTGACTCCATTAGAGCAAATGCAAAAACAAACATTTGGAGAATTATGCTAACATTCTCTAGTGTGAACCTAAGTCTGATACTAACTTCTAGCTATGACTCAGATGGATCACTATGGTATATTGTTTATATGTAATATAGAGTAGCATCTTAGAGTGAGTTATACGTATTTAACTTCTTTAGTGGAAGAAGGTGAAGAATTCATCCCTTTAAAGTCAATTCATATTTATTCTTACTTTCTCTCTCTCTCTGTCTGTCTCTCCCCCAAATTCACATTTCTTTACTGGTTTTTATAACAGGCAGTTTCCAAGATGTGACTGTGTGTGTATTTGTGGGCATATTTAAGTAAGTGTGTTAACTTTTTGATTGCCAGCTCTCTGTAGATCTGAACATCAAACCTTTTAATTACCACAGTTATAAATGCCCATATTAGCAGCTTGCTTTCTTGTACCAATGAGTGAATTGGAGATAGGTAGTTGTTACGTTAAAGAGAGCTGGTGAATATGCTTCAACACATACATTTCCACACTGCATCTTACTAGGTACATGAGGGTTCTTTTTACTTCTTTTTTTTTTCTTTCTAATTCTTGGTAGACTATGTATAGTCAGTGAAATAAACATCACCCATTACTCAGTTCAGTCTTCCCTGAAGTATTAGTATTTCAAACAATCCTATTACCAAAAGATTATTTTGATACTTTATTAAAAGTCCTACAGCTCTAGCATTGCTATACTCAAACACAGATTTATGCAATTAGGATTATAATGGAAGCTTTATTACAATGATATATAACTTGTATCATCCTAATAAAAGTTTCTGTACATAGCAATACTTTAATAACATTGTTTCTGTAACAGTGATTCCTTAGTAATGGAGCTTCTCTTATAGCAACTTCATTATTAGGAAATGATTTCAGTAATAGAAATGCAAATAAAGATTTTGAAGGGAGCATTTTATGCATAGCACTATTACAGGCCTGCTATCTTTTCATGCATTACATCTAATCATTATAAACTTATGACGCAGATTATAATTATGCTTATTACTATCCTATTACACTTTAGAATTTGTATCCTTTCAAATTATTGAAATTAACTGCCATTTTAAAATTCAAGGGTTAAAATAATTTAAATTTTAATTAAATTTTGTTTCTAAAGCATTAAAAATGTTTCACAAAATCTTCTCTAATTTGTATTGTATTAGAGATTATGTGAACCAATGGCATTCAACCTGGAGTATGTGTACCCTTGGCGGTTGATGAAGACTTCCCAAAGATACATGGGCATGAGAGTTTTAAAGGAATTAATTTTCAGATCTTCTATTCCTATATGCCCCCTCTTGTAAAATCCATCTGCTTGAGAAGGCACCTGTGGTTGAGATTTTCCTTGTTCCCCTCCCCTTTTTTACTTTCTTCCAGTGTACAAAAGAAAGACATCTGACATCCGACATCCATCCCTTACCATGACATATTGCTTAGCCAGGGCACTGAAAAAGGAGAAATTTGACAACCCCTTTATTTAAGGTATCCCCAGGTCCCAATTCACACACATATATATATATTTTAAAATTTTATTTTATTATTATTTTTTTGAGATAGGATCTATCTGTCATCCAGGCTGGAGTGCAGTGGTGCGATCTTGGCTTACTGCAACCTCCACCTCCCAGATTCAAGCGATTCTCCTGCCTCAGCCTCCCATGTAACTGGGACTACAGGCGCCTGCCACCATAACTAGCTAATTTTTGTATTTTTAGTAGAGACGGGGTTTCACCAAGGTTGGCAAGGATGGTCTCGAACTCCCAACCTCAGGTGATCCGCCTGCCTCGGCCTCCCAAAGTGCTGAGATTACAGACATGAGCCACCACTCCTGGCCCCAATTCATGTTTTTAAGTCAGGATATATAGGGTAGTGGTTAAGTACTTGGGCTGTTGTGTCAGAGGTCTGTGCATAGATCCAGGTTCTTCAGTTTGCTAGCTCTGTGACCTGGATTAGTCATTTATGCTTACTCTATCTTAGTTTCTACATCTATAAAATGGGGATTATAATAATAGGTTATTGTGGGGATTAAATTGATTCATACACATATGAATAAAAGCATGTACTATATAAAAAGTATGTATGGGCTGGGTGCAGTGGCTTATGCCTGTAATCCCAGCACTTTGAGATACCAAGGTAGGTGGATTGCTTGAGTCCAGGAGTTCAAGACCAGCCTGGGCAATATAGAGAAACCCCACCTCTGCAAAAAATACAAAAATTAGCTGGGCATGGATGGCATGAACCTGTAGTCCCAGCTACTCGGGAAGCTGAGGTGGGAGGATCGCTTGAGCCTGAGAGGTCAGGGCTGCAGTAAGGAGCCATGACTGTACCACTGCACTGCAGCCTGGGCAACAGAGTGGGACCATCTCAAAAAAAAAAAAAAGTATGTATGTACTATTAAAAGTATGTATCAATACTATATAATGCCATTAACTCATGATTTCCAAAAATATTTTACTTTATATATTTGCTTATCAAATTTTATAATATATTTATGTTGTTTTGATCAATTGAATACTAGCAATGATTATGACAACTCAATCAGACATCTAAGTTAACATAGAACAAAATGGCCACAGGAAATTTTAAAACATAAACTCCTTTGTCTCTCTATTTTTTTGGTTATGAGAAGATGATCAATAAAAAGCTTTTAAGCATAAAATATACATTAGGATGAAGTTCTTTGAGAGGAGCACAATAGAGATATGAATTCAAGGAGAAATATATAAAATGTCCAATTGTATTGCATATATTTTTTAAGTGAATGATGATGGATGTTTATTTTCAATTGAATGCATTTAAGATAATGATGTAATATTAATAGTTGTATTTAAAATTGTCAATATGTACCGTGCATTGGAAATCATATAATTTGCAACTATTTAATGAAAACCTTTAGAGGTGAACTTGTGTACCTGGGGTATATAGATAGATGTTTTTTAAATTTAGGTGATGCAAACAAGTTCAGAGACACTGGAATAAAACACTGATTTACAGGAGTAAGGACATAAGTGAAAGTAGAGGCATAAAATTATCTTTATAATTTATATTTTCCTGAGTACCAGCTATAAGAACAATACCTTCCTTATCAAGTTGAGAAAGTAGGTAAATTATAGAAGCCTGAGGTTCCCGTGGCAGAAAGTCGATTTGACTTGTGTGGACTAACTTAACTGAAATATCTTCAGTGTTTCACAGAGAAGGTCAGTGTATAAAAAACACATGTACTCCCAATTTGATGAGTAATTCCTAGGAGAGATCCCTTGCCTTTGTAGGGATGCTGGATTTGTCCCTTGAAGTTTTTGTGAAACGAGCTATTTCTGAGTGGACCCCTCTCCTGAGGCAGAAATGGAGAGGCCGGATGGCTTGGATGCATGCTCTGAGACAATTTTACTTCATGCTGGAGATGGCAGCTGTTACAGTACTGGAGGAGCACTGGCTAAGACAGGAAAGAATAAATGAGCCTCTTAGGAGGAACATGCTAGAAAGGAACTATTTTCTACTTTAAAAAATAAGTGTTGAAGAACATGTGCATGCCCTAAGGTGTGTTTACTGCTAATTATATGAGTTTGACAGGCACAATTTTGATTTAAATTTTATTTCATGCCATGCTTCAAGTTGAAAGTTTGGATGCCACTTTCTTATTGGGCAAGTTTCATGTCAGTGTATCCACAATTGTAAACTGTAATTAATATATAATTTTGTGTGCTGGTTTTTACACTTAATATCATTTTTCAGACCCTAGCCAAGGAAAATAAAGCTTTTTAGAGAAGTGGTGTGTTAATGCTATAGCCATATTTTATACAAACTGGCACAGAATCTGAGTAAGTTGTGAGCTTTAGTTAATGTGACTTCTTATTTGAATGGCCCGTGAAGACCAAGGAATAGTCAGTCCTCCATGTCTGCAGGTGTCCATATCTGTGGACATGGAGGGCCAACTATACTAGCCACTTTACATAAGGGACTTGAACATCCATGGGTTTTGCTATCTGTGGCAGGGAGGTAGGGGGGTCCTGGAACCATTCCCTGTGAATACCAAAGGATGGCTGTACCAGCTCATTGGAAACTCACGTCATATAATGCAGGCCTGTTCGTATACAGATTGGAGCCTTGGCAAACTATTTTTGAAAAGTTACTGATCCCTGCACTGGTCAATCTGAAAAGGCATTATCCAAGGACATAATGTGGTTATAAACATTCAAGAAAGTTGCCCAACCCCATCCCGAGCCCTAACCCTTTGCATGTTCTCTTGCATCAGGTCACTAATTCCTGAAGGTTGCAGCCTACAGCCAAGTTGAAAGAAGCATAAGGGCTAAGCTAGTTGACTAAAGTCTTTATGGAGTCTATGTGATGTTTTTGTGAAATATTTCAAAGGAAGGGTTAGTTCTCACATTAAGACAGGGCTACTTAAAACAGTGAGGGACTAATAAAGCAGTTTGTATTGGTGGCAATAATGTAGTTTCATCTTTTTGGAGGGAAATGTGATCATACAAATCAACAAATACGAAATACAAATATTCCCACTGTTTTTATTCATTCCAAAATTTTTATTATAAGGAAATAATTCATAAAGAGGAATATATAGTATATATGCATAATTTATAATAGTATAAACTGGCTGGGCACGGTGGCTCACGCCTGTAATCCCAGCACTTTGGGATGCCGAGGCGGGTGGATCACGAGGTCAAGAGATGGAAACCATCCTGGCTAACATGGTGAAACCCCATCTCTACTAAAAATACAAAAACTTAGCCAGGTGTGGTGGCACGCTCCTGTAGTCCCAGCTACTCAGGAGGCTGAGGCAAGAGAATCGCTTGAACCGGGGAGGCAGAAGTTGCAGTGAGCTGAGATCGCACCACTGCATTCCAGCCTGGGCAACAGAGTGAGACTCCGTCTCAAAAAAAAAAAAAAAAAAAAAAAAAGTATAAAACTGGAAAATCTAAATGTCTAACCATGGAATGATGTAAATATCCATTATGATATATTAGCTAGATGGAAAATTATGTAATTAAAAGAAAGTTATAAGGACTATGTAAAATATGGAAAATTATATATGAAATAATGTCAACAGGTAAGAGGAATAATGGAGTCACAAAAGTATATATTCACTATGTGCATAACTGATAGATAGATAGATAGCTATTAATAAAATTTGAGAAGAAATAAACCTTTAAGAGGCCCTAG